>NC_000004.12:4200023-4506520 GCF_000001405.40 Homo sapiens
TTGCAATAAAAAAAGATCAAATATATAGTATAAAATCAACTATAAGTAAATGGCACACTACAAAAAAATAACCAAACGTTCACAGCATTTACTGCATTTCTGGGTAAGTGTTGTGGATTTTTTTGCTTCACACTTTGTCATTGTTTTAGTTTATGATATGTATATATTACTTATAAAATCTGAGAAAAGCAGCTGGGCGTGGTGGCTCACGCCTGTAATCCCAGCACTTTGGAAGGCCGAGGCGGGCGGATCACAAGGTCAGGAGACTGAGACCATCCTGGCTCTACTAAAAATACAAAAAATTAGCCGGGCGTGGTGGCAGGTGCCTGTAGTCCCAGCTACTCGGGAGGCTGATGCAGGAGAATAGTGTGACTCCCGGGAGGCAGAGCTTGCAGTGATCCGAGACCATGCCACTGCACTCCAGCCTGGGCGACGAGCGAGACTCCGTCTAAAAAAAAAAAAAAATCTGAGAAAAACTATATCGTAGCATTAATTTTACTGTCACAGAACACTATGAAATTTTCTTTTTCTTTTTTTTTTTTCTTTTTTATATAGGGTCTCCCTCTGTTGCCCAGGCTGGAGTGCAGTGGCACAAACACAGCTCACTGCAGCCTTGACTTCTTGGGCTCAAGTGATCCACCTGCGTCAGTCTCCCATGTAGCTATAGCTGGGACCACAAGCCCATGCCAGCATGCCTGCCTTTTTTTTTTTTTTTTCAGAGCTGGGGTCTCCCTTTGTTGCCCAGGCTGGTCTCAAATTCCTAGGCTGAAGCAATGCTCCAGCCTCGGGATTACAAAGTGCTCAGATTACAGGCATGAGTCACTGCCCCCGATAATAATCTTCAATTCAAGCAGGGCTTCCCTAGCACTTACAATTCAATACGGTGTTATGCAGAAGACCAGGGAAGAAAGCAGGAGGAAAAGTTCAGAGTAACAGAATGTTAGAGCTGACAGAGTCCTTTTTTAGAAAATTAATCCAACCTCATCTTTCACAGAGGGCCTTGAAGCCAGATTGTTAGGATTCAAATCATGGCTCGATCACGTGTTCACTGTGTTACCCTGGGCTAACTTCTCCGTGGCTTGATGGCTTCATCCATATAATGAGGTTAATATTGTCTACCTGAGGCCAGGCGCAGTGGCTCATGCCTGTAATCCCAACACTTTGGGAGGCCAAGGCAGGTGGATCACAAGGCCAAGAGTTCGAGACCAGCTTGGCCAACATAGTGAAACCCCGTCTCTACTAAAAATATAAAAATTAGCCAGGTGTGGTGGCACGCACCTGTAGTCCCAGCTACTCAAGAAGCTGAGGCAGGAGAATCACTTGAACCTGGGAGGCAGAGGTTGCAGTGAGCCGAGGTCACGCCACTGTACTCCAGCTTAGGCAACAGAGTGAGACTCTGTCTCAAAAAAAATAAATAAAATAGAATAAATAAATAAATATATATATATACACACACACACACACACACACACACACATACACACACACATATATAGCCTACCAGAGAGATTGATACCAAGGAGGACATGAGGCCCAAACACCAAGAGTGGCTGCTGGTTGGGGGTGGTGACTTCGTTGTCTCCACCCCACTGATGATGAAACAGGTTCAAAGTGGCTCTCCAGGACAGCCTGGGTTTACAAAACTGCCACAGACTTGCTGCATGTTAAAGCCGGAAGGGATCTTTGCAAGTGCATGATTTGGATACCCTCACTTTACAAATGAGAAAAGAGAGGCTCAGAGAGATTAAATGTCTTCTAAAGGTCACACAGCTTGTACATGATGGGAACAAACCTGAGACACCCAGTTCCCTGCCCCACATTCCCCTCAGCCTGAATGTTCTCATATAGAAGTGACATATTGTAAATGCTAAAGGATTTTAGATGAAAATATAAAGATTAACCCAACAGGCTTTCAAATAGGAACAAGGTGGAACAGACATGAGCTAGAATTATAAGCCAATACAGTTAAATTAAAACTTTAAATGAACTACAGCCCATTAACCACAACCTACCATTAGACTCCTATGAATTTTTAAAAGCCATACTTTTACTAGAAAGAACTGGTAATAGAGGTTTAATTAAAAACACAAGCAGAGGCAACCATCAATCTTCTGTAGTTGAAAACAAAGACATTTATTTTTGCCGCAAACTGGACCATGAGAAATGGCCATCAGAATAATCACCGTGGGTCTTACAAGTCCCTGAGTCATGGAAGAAACCTTTAATTATGCTCAGTACACATCACTTATGAGAGATTCAGGTTTTGGAAGATTTTCAACAACAGCGGGCTGTCTGGCTGATGCTGAGTTGGGTGGCCCTGCAGTTCTTTGGAACCTGCACTCCATCTCTGAACTCTGTGGACTCTGCAGGTTTCCAAGACATTCCAACATGGCAGAAGGGCCACTCACCTCTCTCACCACTCACCTGTTGTTATGTTCCCAAAACCCAGAGTGATGAGCCGTTCCTTGTGCTCATTGAGTTGGTGCTTTGACTCATTGAGGACGCCATTGGCCCACAGAAGCAGGTTGGTGAACACCGAGTGGATCACTCCAAACCTGAAAAACACAAGGACTCAGTTCTCAAGCAGCCCTGGGAGAGCCTCAGGCACCATGGGGTGAGACAGACGTGTGCACACAAATACATGGCTCCTTCTCAGCCATGATTCTGGTTTCACCTGGCAGTTCAGGCTCTGGGTGGGCCCCCTGCCTGGCTGGGTGGGGCAGATCCATAGAACCTTCCAAAACCACAGAATCTTGGCATTCAGCCGTAGTCTTGAACTTGCCAGTACTCAACTCAATGCCTATAGGACATCAAAGAAGCTGGGTCTTGGAAGCAGAGCTAGAGGGATGAAAATTTACTAAAAGCAGACAACCCACCCCACCACACCCCAAATCTTTTTCCCAGAAAGGAAGAGGAGAGGAGAGAACAATGAGGGAAAGATGAAAGAGTACCACTGGAAATCTGGAGAGCAGGTCCACCCTTACTGCTGATTGGCCAACCCCAACCATCATCCACACCCTCTGCCATGCCACCTACTTCTAAGGACACTGAAACAAGCCAGAGACTACTTGGCAGCTAGGCATGGCCATTCTGGCCAGTGAGATATGAGCTTTAGTCTAATGGGCACTACAGAAATGCTTTTGCTTTCCTGACAAAAGAAACAAGAATAAGAAAAGTCTGCTATGGTCCCTTTCTCCTTTTTATCTAGCCTTGAATGTGGACATGAAGGCTGGAGTTGTGGTGGCCATCTTATGACCATGAGACAGCCAGCTTGGGCTACAGCTGCAGCCCACTGAGGATGGCAGAGTGGAAATCTAGAAAAAGCCTGCTCGGTAATGACATTGTTGAGCTGCGGGAGATCCAGATAGACTCAAGAATGAGCCCATGGTCATATATGGAGTAAGCAGCCACATGGGGGTTTGCAGAGTCGGTAAGGAGCAGAGGTCTTCCAGTCTGACTCCAGAGCCCTGCCCTTGGCTCTTTGCCATGCTGCCTCCTAAGGCAGAAGATAGAAAAGAGAACTAAGTGGAAGGTCGACACTGGACTCTGGGTAGCAGGCGAGAGATCCATGGGGAATGCGGTCCCCATAGGGTCACTGATTTCTTCAAATACTCCAAAGTCTTCCTACACCTGCAGGCTTAAGATGTATTCACATTGGTAGCTTTCAGGGTACTTAGCAATGTGCCTCACAGGTAGCACGTGCAGCAAACACTGGTGATTTGAGAGAGGTATTCTTTAAAACTTTCTATGGAATTGATCACTCCTAAATTGGAGAGCAGAGGCCCACAGGAAGCATGATTCTGGTTTCACCTGGCAGCTCAGGCTTTGGGTGGGTCCCCTGCCTGGCTGGGTGGGGCAGATCCATGGAACCTTCCAAAACCACAGAATCTTGGCATTCAGCCGTAGTCTTGAACTTGCCAGTACTCAACTCAATACCTATAGGACATCAAAGAAGCTGGGTCTTGGAAGCAGAGCTAGAGGGATGAAAATTTATTAAAAGCAGACAACCAGAGAACCCTCGTCCATGATCTGCCCACGGGGAAAATGGTGCAACCGCATCCTCAACCTTGACCCTGCCTCTCCTCTCGGTTTTAACCTCAGCTGATCTCTCTGGGTCTCTCTCGGGAAACTGCAGGCAAAACCTTGCCTCATTTGAATCCTGGCTTCCTTTGGCATAATGTCCAAGCACAATTGGAGAAGGAAACAGAATCCCAGGGTGTCTGAGTCAGGTGTTTGCCCATCTGTTTGCCCCTTGTGCTTGCCCAGTTGCTGTAGATCATGGCCAGCCTTCCCCGAGGTGCCTGGGAAGCATTATATAGAGCCTTTGACAAACGCAGACAATGCCGTTTGCCTCATACTGGCTGGCTTTTCTTTTACTCATAATGCACACAGCTCCCCTTTCTTCTCTCATTTTTCCTGGTCCAAATGGCACTGTCCAGTCCCAGGCCCACTGAACTCAAGGAGGTAGCACTGTTGCCACGCATGACTCTAAACTGTTCTGCCACGCAAGCTCCCTGCAAGCTGGCAGCCTCCTGTTGGCTTGATGTGGAAATGGTCCACAAACCAAGGGCAGACGTCATTTTCTCATGCCAGGCTGCCTTTCTCATCACTGGATTTGACAATCCCAGACTACAATAAAGGGAAGGCTCTCATGAGCCATTTCTAATCTCAGTGTATGTTTCCTTCATCTGTGTGTGTGTGTGTGTGTGTGTGTGTGTGTGTGTGTGCGTGTGCATGGTGCTTTCTTTCTTCTTTTTTTTCTTTTTGAGATGGAATCTCGCTCTGTTGCCCACGCTGGAGTGCAGTGGCGTGATCTCGGCTCACTGCAACCTCTGCCTCCCAGGTTCAAGGATTCTTCTGCCTGAGCCTCCGGAGTAGCTGGGACTACAGGCGCCCACCACCACACACAGCTAATTTTTTTTGTATTTTTAGTAGAGACGGGGTTTCACCACATTGGCCAGGCTGGTCTCAAACTCCTGACTTCGTGATCCGCCCACCTGGGCCTCCCAAAGTGCTGGGATTACAGGCGTGAGCCACCGCGCCCAGTCCTACATGGTGCTTTCTTACACGGTAACAACACCTTGCAGTTAGGAGATTCACTCCATTACCCTGTCGATTCTTTCCTTCCATCCTCACCATCCCCTGGGAGGGTGGTGGGTGGACCTAGTAACAGATCCTACACTTGCTGAGTGCCTGTTACACGGTGCTTTACATCAATTCCTTCCTTCAGTCCTTGAGGCAGGCTATGTTATTTTCTCTGAAAGAAACAAATAGATTCTTCTCTACAATACTGAAGATTATCAAGCGGCAGAAGGTTAAAAATGCAGGGGACATTGCCTCTCCCTGCGCCTGCCTGAAGGCAGGATGGCGATTCACAAAAACAAAAGATCTTGCTACCTCCCCTTCCTTTCCTGCATACAGAAAGAGATGTGAGTTTTGTTCTTACTGGGGACAGCTCTGGGCTCTTACCAGCTCAGAAAGGAGGCCAGCAGAGATAAGAAAATCTGGGAGCAAACTTAGCTTTGTTTTGTCTTTATAGGATTTATGGCTCTTTGTTAAAATACTGTCGAAGCAAGGCCCCTAAACCACTGCCTTAAGAGAAATATGTTAGAACTTAAGTCCCTCCCACATCATGGGCACACAGCAAGTGTCAATAAACTCCTGCTAGTTTTTCTCTTGTTAATCTGACCTTTGTTTTCAGGACAGCACCTCAACTGAGAACTTATGACGGTTAAAAAAAGAAATTACATTTTCTTCCCTTCATCTCCATTTTATAGATGAGGCAACTGAGGGTCATAACAGAAAAGTGTCTAAGATGCAGATTCGGCTTCAAAATTCAAGCCCACCCCATGCTACTTCTGGACCTGTCCCATGGAGAAGCCAAAAGCAGTGACCCTCTTCTCTCAGCCACAAGTGAGAGCTTAGCTTTCAGGACTGAGGGGAGAGTTGGTCTGTTTTTATAACCAAAGCAAGATGGCAGTGATGAGTTTTGAAAATTCTAAATGAATGCCAAATTCAACATATAAAGCAATTACCCACAATTTTTACCTTTCCAGTGTTTTGAAAGACTGGATAATATCCTTTGCATGCCCCCAAAGAAAATATACCTAGATGGAAATAAAGAAAGAAAAGAAAAATCGGTGAGACACTCATCTTTACACTTGCAAACTTGAGAAGCTATAAAACTCAAAGAAAATGTATGAGAAAATGCTGGGACATCAGTGACCTCCTACTCCATCTTAGGTGGCAGTGCCACTCCTCAATGGGGACAATGATCCAGGAGTACTGTGCAGAAAAATAAAGTGAGGCCTCTTGGTTCAGGAAGAAATGGTGCTGCAATTGATTAAGGATGTCTTCTGTGATATGGGGGTGATTGATTGAGGATGTCTGCTGTGGGACAGGGTATGGAAGTAGTAGCCTGCTTGACATTAATCCTATAACTGGTTTATATCACATGTTAGTTTTCATCTAAGAAATATTCACTGTACAGTTACTCCATGCCAGTGGCCAGAAAGGAAATGTTGAGAGCTTTAAATAAATAATGAAATTGATTTGGGCTGGTCTTTTGTTTCACTCTATTACATATGCTAGGCAGTCCCCTGGTTATGCAGTCACTAGCAGCATACGGGGAAGGGACTGAAATCATGGGTGCTATATAGTATCAGACCTGTGAAAATCCTGACTTCCTCACTGAATAGCCCATGGCCTTGGGCAAGTCAGGGAACCTTGCTGAATCTGTTTTCCCACAGGAACTTACCCTAGAGGATGTTGTGAGCAATTAAATGAAATGATCCATGTCAATCACTTAGACTAGCACCTGAAGAAGCGTGTATGTTTTCAATAAATATTCTCCACTGTTAACTCACTAATTTACTGAAATTGTCTGAGCTCCTCCTATATACCAGGCATTATTTGGGCTTCTAAAATGTTTTGGGCTTCATTTTAGAGATAAACACATATTGAGCACCTATAGCATGCCAAACACTGGTAGGCATTTTATAAATTTGTCTCATTTAATCTTTATTCTCTAGTTATAAAAATAAAATCAGAGAGTAAAAAATAAAATACACTTACACATATCACCTCTTTCACATTCTTTTACCTAAGATTTACTGTCTTACTCAGGAATACACATTCAGGGCATTAACTGTCTTGAAACAACCAATAATAAAAACAGACAGCAGTCAGTGACTCCTTGTTAAAGCATTCAGCCCAATAATAGGGAAACAGTTAACTAAATTAGCAATTATCAGTGATTTGAAATTAGACAGCCATTTAATTGATGCTTTTTATAAAAACTACCTACCAACATTGAAAACTTTTTTTAGTGAAAAACTTGTAATAGAAAATTCTACACCCACACACTTTGAGAAGACTGTACACTTTAAGTACAAGGAATGGAGGAAATACATAAAAACAATAGCAAATGCTGGTTTCAGTTGATTTCCTTACAGGTGCATTTTTATTATCTTTCCCATTTTTTCTCAGTAATGTTACATTATATTTTTTAAATAAATGCTTTTTGCTTTTTTTTTTAGAATTACCATACGGTCCAGCAATACCACTTCTGGGTATATATATATATATATATCCAAAAGAAGTGAAAGCAAGTTCTCACAAAGATATTTGTCCACCCATGTTCATAGCAGCATTATTCACAATAGCCAAGAGGTAGAAGCAACTGAAGTGCCCACTGATGGATGAGTGGATGATCAAAATGTAATATAAACCAAAAAGTACCTGATACAGGTCTCAATCAATTTAGAAGTTTATTTTGCCAAGATTAAGGACACGCATCTGGGAGACAGGTCTGTGCCTTTCATTACAGATGATTTTGAGGGCTTCAATATTTTAAAGAGAAAGGGCAAATACTGGGAAACAAGGAAGAAATTTTTTTATAAAGGTATGGGTAGATAAGAGGCAAATGGTTGCATTCTTTTGAGTCTTTGATCAGCGGTTCACATGTGAGAGGGGGTAGAGGAATAGTTGCTTATGCATCCGTCTAGCTCAGCGAACCTGCATTCCTACTAAGATAAAAAAACGTCGGGCACAGGAAGACATCAGGTATGCATTTGTCTCAGGTGCGCAGAGGGATGACTTTGAGCTCTGTCCTTTATCCTGTACCTGTGAGGATCAGCTATCCATTTACATTGTGAGGGTGAAATTCAACACAGCTATTTTAGGGTAAAGATCTTGGAGCCCACAAGGAATTTCCTAGTGGACAAATTGTGAGGGAGGTTTGTAGCTTTTTAAAATCTTTAAAATCTTTGTAGCAATCTTTTTTAGGAATAGAATGGGAGGCAGGTTTGCCTGACGCAGTTCCCAGCTTGACTTTTCCCTTTGGCTTAGTGATTTTGGGGCCCCAAGATTTATTTTCCTTTCACAGTGGTATAGACATACAATGGAATTTTACTCAACCTTAAAAAGGAAGAAAATTCTGATACATGCTACATCATGGATGACCCTTGAGAACGTTATGCTGTGAGAAATAAGCCAGACACAAGAAGACCAATACTGTATGATTCAATTTGTATGAGGCATCTAGAATATTCAAACTCATAAAGACAGAAAGTAGAACAGAGTTTGCCAAAAGCCGGAGGAGGAGGAAATAGAGAGTTGTTTAGTGGGCTCAGAGTTTCAGTTTTGCAAGATGAAAAAGGTCCTCAGATTGGTTGTACAACAAGTGAATGTACTTAACATTACTGAAACGTACGCTTAAAATAACTAAGATGGTAAGTGTTATGTGATTGTCAAACTAAAAAAAAAAAAAGACACTAGAAAAAATTATTGCTAAATATGTTGGATTTACTTGGAAATAGAAATAAGAATTACAATCCAGAACGCATGGAATGGCAGGCCACCAGCGCATTCGGTGAGGGAAGGGTAAGGAGGAGCTGTTATTAGAAAAGAGAAATTTACATAATCCACTGAGAAAAAGAGTTCATCGTTTCTAGAGGCTCAAAGCCAGAGTTGTCATCAGTTCATTGGTGGAGATGCCAGTGCTGGGCAAGTGTACTTCCAAGAGCATCTTACCTGCTTTACTGCAGTCCTAAAGAATGTCTAGTAATGTCTAGCCTCATCAAAGCAGGAGATGCATGAAGGGTTTTTAGAAAGTCCTTGGAAACACTTTGTATCTCAGACACGTAGGCAGGAGTCCCCTCTCCTTGGTGCTTTCCCAGGCCTATTTTGCCTGGGTCTGACAAAAGCAATTTCATCCTGATATCTACAGGTTTGGCAGTATTTGCCACAATTTTAAAATAAATACTCTGTTTTTTAGAACAGTGCCTAATTGTTATATATATATACACATATATATACTTTTTTCCATTCTCCAGTCATCTAATGTAGCAAAAGCACATGGTAAGTGTCCAACAGGTATAGAATGATTAATTCATTGACTTGCCTGGCCAATAAAATGCCTTAAATTAGAAAGCTAGGATCTCCAACCCACCAACTAAGAGGGATATTTTGAAAATTCACATCTGTCCCAGTCATTCTTCTGCCTAAAGCCTTCAGTGGCTCCCCACTGCCCTCGAGGTGAAGCCCAAGCCCCTAGGTGGTGGTCAGCCTTGACCAAGAATTTGCTGCACACCTAGCCCTCTGCCAAGTGCTTTTCATACATCTGTGCCTTTAATCTCTACAATGAGCCTATGAAATAGGTACTGTGATTGTCCCCACCTTGCAAGTAAGACCCACACGGCCCAGAGAAGTTAAGTAATTTGCCTGAAGTCACACAGCTGTGGTTGGAGCCAGAGTCATGCAATCTGACCAGAGTGCAAGCTTACAAGCCGTACACCAAACAGGGATCCAGCCTGTGCCCACACATCGCCCCCCTACCCTACCCCACTGTGAAGAAAGACTGCACATCCCAAAGACACCCTCTTCCAGTGGTCTCTGACCCACTACACCTGTGCTCCTCCCTCTCTCACAAACGGTTCTTGGACCTTCCCTGGCAGAAATCGACCCTCACCCCAAGCTGCCGAAATGCCCTCCTTTGTGCTGCCTCATTGCTCTGGGACACTCTGGTCAAAGCACTGAGCCCAGCGTTGTCACTGTTTTGGGGACTGTCTCTCACCTAACTGACACCCCTATGGTGTGTGCCATAGATTTTGCAGCCTTGTATTCCCCATGCTGAGAACAATATTCGTCCAGTATTTAAAGATGAACTGCAAGAAAAATGAATGAATGAACGAACGCAGTTCGTTCTGCCCTCATTAAAGCTTTCCACATTGTCGCTGTATCACTATAAGGCTCTGTCTTCATGGGATTTGGCTCCCCTGGAATGAGCAGCCAGTTATCTTTGATCAGCTTGGGCTGCCGTAACAAAGGACCACAGACCATCAGCTTCAATCACAGGAATTTCTCTTCTCAGCGTCCTGAGGCTAGAAATCCAAGATCAAGGTGTTGGTTCCTTTTGAGGCCTCTCTCTTTGGCTTGTAGATGGTCAATTTCCTCCAGTGTCTTTACATGGCTGTCTCTCTGTGTGTGTCTGTGTCCTTCTCTCCTCTTCTTATAAAGACACCAGGGCCAGACGCGGTGCCTCAGGCCTGTAATCCCAATACTTTGGGAGGCCGAGGCAGGTGGATTGCCTGAGGTCAGGAGTTCGAGACCAGCCTGGCCAACATGGTGAAACCTCATCTTTACTAAAAATACAAAAATTAGCTGGGCATGGTGGCAGGTGTCTGTCATCGGAGCTACTTGGGAGACTGAGGCAGGAGAATTGCTTCAACCCAGGAGACGGAAGTTGCAGTGAGCCAAGATTACGCCATTGCACTGCAGCCTGGGCGACAAGCAAAATTCTGTCTCAAAAAAATAAAAAACAAAGACACCAGGCATATTGAATTTGGGCCACCCTAACGATCTTATTTAACCTCAATTTCCTCTAAACGACCCCATCTCCAAATACAGTCACATGCTCAGGTACTGAGAATGAGGGTTTCGGCAAATGAATTTCACAGGGGATACAACTCAGTCCATAACAGCTTTCAAGTGCAAGGCAGCCCCTCCAAATGAGCCCCTCAGCAAGCTCCCCAGTGATCCCATCAAGCCACCATGGAGCTAAACTGTTTCCAGGCTCACTGGGCATGTTCTGTCTGTTAGCTTCACTGTTTGAGAATGTGTTTGATCTAGAGAAACACTCTAAGGTCATCCAGTGCTGTCTGCTAAGTCAGCTGGGGGTACAAGCTGAAGGTCACTTTGGATAAAAGATGAAGTTTTAAAAATGTCATCCCTGGTTTTCTAGAGGTAGAAAACTTTCCAAAGAACCTTCTCAAACTGGAAATCCAAAAATATTTCCAGCAATGGCAGTATCACTAGAACAAGTTCATGGTCTTCCAGGTGACTTGTCAGGAAGAAAATAATCATTGTGTCTCCGCAGTGACTCTGAGCAAGTCACTTGTCTTCTCTGAGCTCCAACTTCTTCGTTAGAAAAAAATGAGGGCAGAGCCTGCCATTTGCAACAACATGGGCAAATCTGGAGGACATTGTGCTCAGTGGAATAAGGCAGACACAGAAAGAAAAATACTGCATAATCTCACTTATATGTGGTATTTAGAAAAACGTTTCTAATCGAATGCACAAAAACAGACAGTAGAAGCTGGGCATGGTGATGTGGGCCTGTAGTCCTACCTGCTAGGGAGACTGAGGCAGGTGGATCACTTGAGCTGAATTCAAGGCTGCAGTGATCTGTGATGGCACCACTGCACTCCACCCTGGGCAACAGAGCAAGACCCTGTCTCTAAAATTAAATTAAATTAATAAATAAAAACAAAATAACCTAAAGAGTAGAATGGTGGTTGGAGAGGAAAAATTAGAAGATTTTGGTCAAAGGGTACAAAGTTGCAAATACGCAAGACGAATAATTCTAGAGACGTAATGGACAACGTGAAGACTATAGTTAATAATATTGTATTGTATACTGGAAATCTGCTAAGAGAATGGATTTTAGGTGCCTTACCATACCCAAAAAAAGAAAGGCAACTATGTGAGATGACAGACATAAATATGCTTGACTGTAGTAATCACTTCACTATGGATAGGAATATCAAAGAATCATGTTGTATATCTTAAACATATACATAAAAAAGAAAAAAAATGAGGCTGACAATTCAATAGTTCAGATCCTGACTCTGATAACATTACCATGGATTTCTGCCAAAGGCGAACACTACCCTGAAGACCCATCTAACATTCTTTTCAACCATGAGATTTTTCTGACCCTAAGCTGTGTATTTAAATTATATTTATCAAATCCTTACTTCTGAGCCACACCAAGTTTACCAGTGCTGTGGGAAACAATCCTCATACATTTCTAAAAGATTTTAATCCCCAAACGAGAAAACAAAAGTGTTTCCATGACCCAGAGGAGGCACTGCAATGGCACAAGGTTTCTATGAAGGAAGAATATTAAATTTTTTAGAAAAATAAAATTGATTTTGGCAACTGTTGCATAACTCTATGAACAGACTAAACCACTGAATTGCACACGTTAAATGGGTGAATTATACGCCACGTGAATTCTCTCAATAAACCTGTCACATACCCAGAAAATAAAATTCCCTCAAGCCTTTACTGTAGACTCTGGCTTGGCAGAATTTCCTGACTCTTCATCATTAGAAGTTCTGCCTCATAGGATCCCTGCAAAAATGGCCATGGGGACACAGAGTTTTATTTTGCAATGGAGGCAGCTGAAGAACTAAGCCTCAAAGACAGATTTCAGTTCACTGCAGTTCACAGCTGTGCACACTGTCTCCACCTGCCACACGTCTTGATGTTACAAGTTTCTACACAACCTGGGATACACTTCATAGGAATGAGACAATATAAATAAACATCAGTGGTTTACCTGCAACAAAGTATGCACTGAATGGGTGACTGGGAAAACTCCTTCAGTGGCTGATAAACATTCTGAAAATCCAATGAAGTATCCAATTTTAAGGCATCCCAGGATGACGGTAATGACTGCAAACAATGTGATACTACCTAAATGTGGGATGAAGGGGGAAGTGGAAACACACACATTGCATTAACATACATTGATGTCATTTCAAAATAAATTATATTGTGTATTAAACCCTTATGTATATGGTCAAATGATTTTTCACAAGGGTGCCGAGACCATTCAATGGGAAAAGGGCAGTCTTTTCAACAAATGTGGTGGGAAAACTGGATGTCCACATGCAAACGAATGAATTTGGACCCTCACCTTACACCATATACAAAAATTAACTCAAAACAGATAAAAGATCTAAATATAAAAGTATAAACCTTGTAAAAGAAGACATGGGAGAAAGCTTCATGACATTGGCTTTGGCAATAATTTCTTGGCTATGACACCAAAAATGCAAGCAACAAAAATTAAATAAGATGAACTACATGAAAATGAAAAATTTTTGCACATCACAGGACACTACCAACGAAGCGGAAAGACAGCCCACAGAACTGGAGAAAACATTAGCAAATTATATATCTAATAAGTCATTAATATCCACAATATACAGATTTGTTTACATTAAATACCTCATATAATGAAATCGTACAGTACTGTCCTTTGGTGGTTGAGTTTATTTTACTTCGCATAATGTCGTCATGGCTCATCCATACTGTATCGTGTGTCAGAATTTCCTTCCTTTTTAAGCCGAATAATATTTTGTTGTATGTCTATACCTCATTGTATTTATCCATCTATCTGTTGATGGATGCTGGGTCGCTTCCACCTTTTGGATACTGAAAATAATGCTGCTATGAGAGAATTTGTAGAGAATTCTTATATATTAACAACAATGGGTTGGGCACAGTGGCTCATACCTGTAATCCCAGCACTTTGGGAGGCCGAGGAGTGTGAATAACTTGAGGTCAGAAGTTGGAGACCAGCCCAGCCAACGTGGTGAAACCCGTCTCTACTAATAATACAAAAATTAGCCTTGGTATGGTGGTGCATGCCTATAATCCCAGCTACTTGGGATGCTGAGGCAGGAGAATCCCTTGAACCAGGGAGGCAGAGGTTGCAGTGAGCTGAGATCATGCCATTGCACTCCAGCCTGGGCAACAAGAGTGAAACTCTGTCTCCAAAAATCAATCAATCAACAATGACAAAAGCCAATTGAAAAATTGGCAAAGGACATGAATAAACATATCTCCAAAGAAGACATAAAGATGGCCAGCAAGTACATGAAAAGATGCTCACCATCACTAATTACTAGAGAGGTGCAAATCAAAACTACAAAATACCATCACACTATCAGGATGGCTACTATCAAAAAAAAAGAAAGAAAATAATAGAAAATAGCAAGCATTGGTGAGGATATAGAGAAATAGTGCTCTGTTGGTAGGAATGTAAAATGGTACAGCTACTATTGAAAACAGTAGGGAGGGCCTTCAAAAAATTCAAAATACTATTATGGCATGATCTGGCATTTTCACTTCTGAGTATATACCCAAAAGAATTGAAAGCAGGGACCCTAGGGGATATCTGTATTCTCCTGTTCATAGCAGCATTATTTTCAGTATCCAAAAGGTGGAAGCAACCCAGCATCCATCAACAGATGGATAGGTAAACACAATGAGGTATAGACATACAACAAAATATTATTCAGTTTAAAAAGGAAAGAAATTCTGACACACGATACAGTATGGATGAGCCATGAGGACATTATGCTAAGTAAAATAAACTCAACCACCAAAGGACAATACTGTAGGATTTCATTATATGAGGTATCAAATGTAAGCAAATTCATAGACAGAAGTAGAATGGTGGTTGCCAGGTGCTAGAGGGAGGAAAGAATGAGGAGTTAGTGTTTAATGAGGACAGAGTTTCAGTTTTGCAAGACGAAAAAGTTCTGGAGGTTGGTTGCACAAAAGTGTATATGTTCTTAACACCACTGAGCTGTACACTTAAAAACTGGTAAGTTGGTAAATTTTATGTATATAAGTGCATGTTTTACCACAATTAAAAATATATTAATAAAATAAATTCTAGCCCAGGCATGGTGGCTCATGCCTGTAATCCCAGCACTTTGGGAGTCCAAGGTGGGAGGATCACTTGAGGCCAAGAGCCTAAGCAACCCCATCTCTACCCAAAAATAACATAATAATTATTTCTAAATAAATAAATGAATTCTACTGTTGAGCTGCGAAGGTAAAACTAGAAGGCAGGTGCTGTGTCCTGTTCATCATTGTACTCACCCCATAGCCCAGAGTCTGACAAATGATACACAATCAACAAAGCCTGGTCCAATCAACAGAAGGCTTCTAGAAGCTTTTTCAAAAAGGAGCAATTTAAGAATGTCACTGCTCTACTCAAAAATCTCAGTTCTCTAATCCTAAAATCCTGTTCTCTAAAGAATAAGAGTGCAGCTGGCTGGGTGCAGTGGCTCACACCTGTAATCCCAGCACTTTGGGATGCTGAGGCGGGTGGATCACCTGAGGTTGGGAGTTCGAGAGCAGCCTGACCAATGTGGAGAAACCCCATCTCTACTAAAAAATACAAAATTAGCGGGTGTGGTGGTACATGCCTGTAATCCTGCTACATGGGAGGCTGAGGCAGGAGAATCACTTGAACCCAGGAAGTGGAGGTTGCAGTGAGCCGAGATCGCATGATTGCACTCCAGCCAGGGCAACAAGAGTGAAACTCTGTCTCAAAAAATATATATATTAATATGAAATATAAGAAATAAGAGTGCAGAGTGTGCAGGTCATACAGATATACAGGAATTCTCTGAACTGTCTTTGCAACTTTTCCATAAATCTAAAGCTTTTCTAAAATAGAAAGTTTATTTATTTATTTATTTGAGACAGGGTCTTGTTCTGTCACCCAGGCTGGAGTGCAGTGGCACGATCTTGGCTCACTGCAACTTCCACCTCCTGGGTTCAAGTGATTCTTGTGCCTCAACCTCAATCCCAAGTACCTGGGATTACAGGCGTGCACCACCATGCCCAGCTAATTTTTTGTATTTTTAGTAGAGATAGGTTTTTGCTATGCTGGCCAGGCTGGTCTTAAACTCCTGGCCTCAAGTGGTCCGCCTGCCTCAGCTTCCCAAAGTGCTGGGATTACAGGCATGAGTCACTGAGCCCGGCTGAAAGTATATTTAAAAAAAAAATAGATGGGTAAGGGCTCTATAGTAGTAGCTGAGGAAGGGCCTGTGCTAGGTGTACTGAAGAAAGGAAGCAATCTTTGATAATATAATGAGCATGGTTTTGCCCAAAATATAAAAACAAACTAATAAAAAATTTGCATATAAAAAAGACTGGAAAGGAATATACAAAATACATTAAAAAGACACTTGGTGACAAATGAAGAAATTAGTGAGAAAAAGGCAGTGATCACGAGGACTTGGTCAAGTCAGAGTTCCTCCTCTCTCTCCTGGGCTAGCATTGACCGCCATTTATACATTTGCTCCTACCGACAGGAGGAAACTGGATCGTGTATGACGTGCATTAAGGCACTGAGCAGAGAGGAGGGCATGAGCCATAACATTGGGCTATAACGTTACATCTCCAGCCTCAGAAGCCTCCTCTGAAAAGTAATGCAATCGCCTGGCGCTTTTCCACTGCTCAAAGCCTTATAGAAACAACTCTAACTCACATTTATTTTTTAATCCTGGAAACACCCCAATGAAATCAGAAACTTTGTAAGAGTGGAGATTCGATCCCAGTGCTTTGAAATGTTCTGACAAATACGTGGTTGGTTTTAATTACAAAAAAACATAGCAAGATGAGGCGAGGCAGCGTGGTTGAGTGGCAAGAGCACAGGCATGAAACTGTAGAGACCTGGACACTCACAGAATACATGAGTCACTTCCTGCTCCCAGCCTCAGGATTCCCATACAGAAAATGCGGATGGTCCACAGCAGTGGTTCTCAAACTGGAGACTGCATCAGAATCAGCTGCAGTGCTTGTTAAAACACAAATTCCTGGGCTCCGCCTCCAGAGTTTCTGATTCAGCAGGTGTGGACGGGGCCCCAAAATTTGCATCTCTAACAAATTTTCAAGTGGGGCTGCCACTGTTGATCTAGGCCCCACCTTGAAAACTACTGGTCTAGACCATCTCTGTGGTTGACTTGTCAAGGGTTCAGGAATAAATACTTTACATATTTTCTTATACTCTTTAAGTTCTCCCTTTCTTCCTGTGTTCATCCATTCATCCAGGGATTCATTCACCCGGTTATTTATACAACAAATATCTTGGGGACTCCTACTATGCATGAGGCATTGTGTCAAGGGCTCAAAGACAGACATAGGAGATTGCTGTAGAAACAAAAATATACAAGTATAATATTGCATAAATTGAGGTGTGCACAAAATATCAGAGAGATGAGCTGGCAACAGACTTTTTCTGTGCGGCCTGGGAAACCAGAAGACAGTGGAGGAATGTGCTGCAAGGAAAGGACTGCACCTCAAAAACCTTACTCCCAGCTAAGATGTCGCCCGCGTGTCAGGGCAAAAGGCAGAATGATGTTTGAAGATACACAAAATGTAATTTTTTCAACAACTATTTATTGAGCAGAAACCATGGGCCAGGCATTGTCCCAGGCATTGAAGATATAAAGGTCAATAAAATAGAGTATCTGCCCTTGAGGAGTTTCACATCTAGTGGGGAAGGCAAAAAATAAACCAGTAAATAGTAAACATATAAAGAATGTCAGGAAGTGCTAAGTGCATGAAGAAAAGTAAAGCAGAAAAGGGAACTGAGGTTGAAGGTACATGGGCAGGAAAGGAGGTGATTGTTGAACAGAGAACAGAGGGTGAGAGAAAACTGTCATCCACATAACTTGTCTGACAAAGGACTTTAATCAAGCAGCTTGTGAACTGGAAGAGAGTCCCCAAAAGAGGGGAAGATGAAAAGGAGAGCAAATTATAGTGACCAATCAACTTTGTGGAAAGCTGGAGGAGGGTGGAGGTATAATGGATGGAGAGACAGATGGAGATAGATAATTAGATTAATAGGAGAGAAAAGAAGAAAAGAACTTAAATTCAAATGGATAAACTGCCTGAGATGTGTAATTTACATGCCCTATAAAGACTTGTCATACAGAATAGACATTTTGAGGCGAAATTCTATTAACTATCTCTACAAAACCCCTAAGTTTGGCCAAGCACAGTGGCTCATACCTGTAATCCCAGTGCTTTGGGAGGCCGAGGCAGATGGATCACCTTAAGTCAGGAGTTCGAGACGAGCCTGGCCAACATGGTGAAACCCCGTCTTTACTAAAAATACAAAAATTAGTCAGGTGTGGTGGCAAGCACCTGTAGTCCCAGCTACTTGGGAGGCTGAGGCAGGAGAATGGTGTGAACCCGGGAGGCAGAGGTTGCAGTGAACCGAGATTGCGCCATTGCACTCCAGCATGGGTGACAGAGCGAGACTCCAACTCAAAAAAAAAAAAAACCTAAGTTGGAAAAGGACTGGATAGGGAACAAAGAAAAACCTTTGAAAGCCCTCATGGTAAATAAATGGAAAAGGAGAGGGAAGAAGGGAAAGGAATAGGGAGGCAAACGTACCCTAAAGGTCTCATCCCATTAGGTAGAGAGGAAGTGGAAGCAGCAAACATCTTGGAGTGGGACACAGTGTGGCTCACTGAGGGAAATGTTCAATATTTTGTTTTCAAATAAGAATGCAGTAATAGGCAGCTGAGCACGGTGACTCACACCTATAATCCTGGCACTTTGGGAGGCCAAGATGGGTGGAACACTTGAGGTCAGGAGTTCGAGACCAGCCGGGCCAACATGGTGAAACCCCGTCTCTACCAAAAACACAAAACATTTGCCCAGTGTGGTGATGGGCACCTGTAGTCCCAGCTACTTAGGAGGCTGAGGCAGGAGAATCGCTTGAACCTGGGAGGCAGAGATTGCAGTGAGCCAAGATCATGCCACTGCACTCCAGCCTGGGTAACAAAGCGAGACTCCGTCTCAAAAAAAAAAGAATGAAGTAATATG
This sequence comes from Homo sapiens, assembly GCF_000001405.40. Classification (NCBI taxonomy): domain Eukaryota; kingdom Metazoa; phylum Chordata; class Mammalia; order Primates; family Hominidae; genus Homo; species Homo sapiens. The sequence goes on from NC_000004.12 coordinate 4,218,954, forward strand.
CATCTGATTATGAGAGTGAGGGAAGAAAAAAATGGCCATTAATGGAATAAAAAAATCACAATAAATTTTTCAAATGCTCAAAAAAGGCAAACATGTGGAAAAGGAAAAGGAGGAAATAGGAACGTAAAATGTATCATCATAAACATCGTAAAGAAAAATGGAAACAAAAAAGCCAACTGTATAAATTATTACTATAAATTAGAATGATGTAAATCCTCCCACTAAGTAGTAAGCAAGAATAGGAAGACTGAATTAAAAACAAAACCTAGTTACATGATCTTTACACAAATTGCACTTTTAACAAAGTAATAAAGGTTTAAAATAAAGTAGTGAACAAAGAGGAATGCAACAAAAAGAAAGTCAGAATGGCAATATTAATATCAGACCGTATGGGATTTAAAGTTAATGTAATAAGTAGGATAAAGAATCCTTCCTCCTTTATCGCTACATATGATAAAAGACAGATTGCCGGGCGCGGTGGCTCACGCCTGTAATCCCAGCACTTTGGGAGGCCGAGGCGGGCGGATCAGGATGTCGGGAGATCGAGACCATCCTGGCCAACACGGTGAAACCCCGTCTCTACTAAAAATACAAAAAAATTAGCCGGGCGTGGTGGCGGGTGCCTCCATGCTACTCGGTAGGCTGAAGCAGGAAAATGGCGTGAATCCAGGAGGCAGAGCTTACAGTGAGCCAAGATCGTGCCACTGCACTCCAGCCTGGGCGACAGAGCGAGACTCTGTCTCAAAAAAAAAAAAAGACATACTGTATGAGGAAGATATAACAGCCACATGTGTGCCCAAATAAAACAGTTTTTGCTTTATATATATGCACATATATATGTATAAATATATATACGTGTATATATGTATACATATGTGTATACATATATATACACATATACATGTATATATGTATACATATATGTATATATACACATATATGTATACACATATATGTGTGTATATACGTATACATGTATACATATATACACATATATACGTATACATGTATACATATATACACATATATACGTATATAGGTGTATATACATATATATGTATATACATGTATATACGTATATATGTATACATATATACATATACGTGTATATACATATATATGTATACATATATATATATATATATATATATATTTTTTTTTTTTTTGAGATGGAGTTTCACTCTTGTCGGCCAGGCTGGAGTGCAATGGCGCAAGCTCTGCCCACTGTGACCTCCACCTTCCAGATTCAAGGGATTCTCCTGCCTCAGCCTCCCTGCTTTATATATTTAACTGCTGGTAATAAAAAAACAGAACGGAAAATTTCAGAACTAGATAGATCAAGTAGACAAAATATAAGACATAGAAGAATTGAATCATACAATCAATGAACTTGCTTTGATATGTATATAAAATCTTCCATACCTCAAAACAGAGTATACAATGTTGGATGTCTGTGGAATATTGACAAAAAATATGCTCTAAAAGACAGTAGAACATAGAGTGGCAGAGGCCAGCTGCCCATTTCCTACCACTTATTAGTTGATGACCTTGGGCAATTACTTAACTTACCTTTGCCTCAGTTTCCCCATCTCTAAGATGTAATGACAGTAATAACACCTATCTCATAGGGGTGCTGAGGAGATTGAGTGAGTCATTACATGGAAGTCACCTAGAACAGTGTTCCTTACCTAGAAAGTTCTATAAGAGGGATGTTATTATCATCACTCAATCGCCAAGAAAAAGTTGATGCATTAGAACCAATTAGAAAGTTTACCAGCTACAATACTTGAGAATAATCCAAAGACTACCTAGGGTACCCATCCAGTGATGGCAGAGGGAACCCCCTCCTCTTTGTTAGGCACCCAAATCCCTCCTAGGAGTCTAGAATCTTGAACCCCCCTCTTAGAGGTGGAAAGTCCCACAGAATTAGTCTACATTCTATCCCATGCAAGAATGCTTTCCAATGCATCATGACCGGCAGCCATCTGACCTCTACTTGGACAAGCTCAGGGCTAGGAGGCTCAATATCTCTCAAAGCGTACCCTACCATCACCAGCTGGTACTTACTTTATTTATATATTATTTTATTCTATTTTATTTTATTTTATTTTATTTTATTTTATTTTATTTTATTTTATTTTATTGAGATGGAGTCTCACTCTGTTGTCCAGGCTGGAGTGCAGTGGCATGATCTTGGCTCACTGCAAACCCTGCCTCCTGGGTTCAAGCAATTCTCCTGCCTCAGCCTCCTGAGTAGCTGGGATTACAGGCACTCCACATAGCGAGACCCCTGTCTCTACAAAAATCAATTTTAAGAAAATGAGCCAGGCGTAGTAGCACACACCTGTAGTCCCAGCTATTCGGGTGGCTGAGGTGGGAGGAGCTCTTGAGCCCCAGAATTTGAGGCTGTAGTGAGCTATAATCACACCACTTCATTCCAGCCTGGGAGACATAGGGAGACCCTGTCCTTATTTAAAAATAAAAATAAAATAAAGAAAGAAAGAAGACTGTGCAGGTGTTGCCTCCTCCCTGAACCTCTCAGCCTTCCTGCAGACCTGGGCTCCTCCCAGGCCCCTGGTTGCAGCCCTGCTCAAGGATGCTGTACTGATTACTCTGTCCCCACCCCCAGGCTCCTAGAAGTTGAGGGCTAAGTCTCACAGGTCATGCTCCCCAGCTTCCCAGTGAGGGCTCATTAGTTGTTTGTTTATTGCTGTTTCTCTGCCTGAACATCAGCTCCACCTGAGCAGAGCCTTTCATAGCTGAAACCCCAGTGCCCAAAACAGAGAGCAGCAAATGATTCATAATTTGCTGTGTCCCACCACACCCAGCTTTTTGTATTTTTAGTAGAGACGGGGTTTCACCATGTTGGCCAGGCTGGTCTCAAACTCCTGACCCCAGGTGATCTGCCCTCCTCAGCCTCCCAAAGTGCTGGGACTACAGGTGTGAGCCACCACGCCTGGCCTGGTGCTTACTTTAGAATGCTTTTCTTTATATTGAAGTGCAGTTGACTTCCCAGAACCATCATCTTCTTCCCTGGAGCTTCTATCTTCACTTGTTCATCCACCCATCTAGTCATCCATCCATCCATCCAATCATTCAATCATTCAATTATTTAGTAGACACGAATTGGCATTTACTACATGTTAGGCACTGTGCCAGGAGCTCAGGATACAACGGTAAGCACAGACAGGGTCTCTGCCTTTAGGGGCTCAGTCTGGCTACCCCAACAGTCACTGAATAATACAATCTCCTGCTTGATTAGTGCTAGAAAGAAAATGAAGAGTGCTATGAGACCATACAACCTGGGGGCTGCCCCTGGTCTGAAACTATCGGGAGAGGCTTCCCAGAGGAAATGACTCTTGCTTGCTGAAAGACAGAGGATGGCCTGGAGCTGACAGGTGCAAGGCAGCAGCACTTTCTACCCTGTGACCTCCGCATCCTTCTCTCTTCTGGACTGACCCTCCTTTTGCTCCTCCTGCCGCCACTCTTTCCAGTGGCCTGTGAAATGCTCAAGGAGGATGAGACCCTCCACACACAGTCTGATTTCCTTTCCAATGAAAGCCAAGCCCGCATCTGATTTTTTGGCAGCCACATTCGCTTGTTTGTGTTGAAATCATGACACTATGTCTATATTTTCCACTGGACCAGAAATATCATCTAAGAAAACAAATATGTAAGAAAATGCATGGAGTTAAGCAAGACCCTCATAGTGGCCCCAGAATGGATCTTGGGGATCACTGCTCTTTTTCCTGAGGGACTTGCCCTCTGCCTATTGATCTAAGATTGTCACGAACACCAGGGCAGAGCTGAGTTCCTGAGTCAAACCTGTCTTTCTAGCTAGAATTCCAGAGGAAACCCCAGTCCCTGTTGGGGCTGAAGGTGCTTCCTTTTGGCACCAGGGCCTCCCAACACTAATAATTAGCTTCTTGCTTCTTTGAGGAACCCACAGGAATGGCCAGGGCTTTGCAAACTGCTTCTCTCAACATCCCCCAGCTCCTCCCAGAGAGGCAGCTGGGATTCTTATCTTACTGATGAGGAAAGCAGGACTCAGAAAGGTGACGGTGATAGAGCTGAGACCTCAAGCCAAACCTTCCAGAGCCAACACCATTTCCATGATACACACACCTCATTTGAATTACATTATTATGGGGCAACTCACTGAATGTCTAAACAGCTGTCATCTACTGAACACCTATCACGTGCTCTCTCTACCTTGCCCATTTATTCCCTCTCTACTTAGTGTCCCAAAGACACCTCAAACATAGCATGTCCATAGGAGAAATGTAACATGTCATTGGTTTTGTGTCCCCACCCTGCTCTTCCCTTTGGCTTCCCAATCTTGGGAAATGGTGCAACCATTCACCCATAGACTCAGGTGCCAATGCTCGGAGTCAACCTGAAAGGAGGCAGAGAGAGAGGAAGAACAAAAAAACATGGATGGATGGATGGACGGACAGATGGATGGATGGATGGATGGATGGATGGATGGATGATGAATAAGTGAATGATGATAGAAGCTCTGGGGAAGAGGATGATGGTTCTAGGAAGTTAACTGCACTTCAACATAAGGAAGAGCATTTCTTGGATAAGCACAGACTGAGTAGAAAAAAAGAAGAAGGAGGAGCAGAAGGAGAAGGAGAAGGAGGAACATTCTAAATGCACCAGGCCGGGCGTGGTGGCCCATGCCTGTAATCTCAGCACTTTGGGAGGCAAAGGCAGGCAGATAACCTGAGCTCAGGAGTTTGAGACCAACCTGGCCAACATGGTGAAACACTGTCTCTACTAAAAAATACAAAAATTAGCTGGGTGTGGTGGCATGTGCACCTGTAGTCCCAGCTACTCAGGAGGCTGAGGCAGGAGAATCACTTGAACCCAGGAAGTGGAGGTCGCAGTGACCCATGACTCCAGCCTTGGCAACAGAGTGAGATTCCATCTCAAAAACAAAAACAAAAACAAAAACAGCAGGGGAGAGAGGAAGAGAGGAAGGAAGAGAAAGAGAGGAGAGAGAGAGGGAAGAGGGACAGTGGAGAGAAGGATGGAGGAAGGAAGAGAGGAAGGAAAGATGAAGGAGGAGAAGAGAGAAAGAAAATGAGGAAAAAAATAAGGAAAGGGAGGCCAGGCATGGTGGCTCACACCTGTAATCCCAGCACTTTGGGAGGCTGAGGCAGGCAGATCACGAGGTCAGGAGTTTGAGACCAGTCTGGCCAACATGATGAAACCCCGTCTCTACTAAAGATACAAAAAATAGCTGGGCATAGTTGCAGGCGCCTATAATCCCAGCTACTTGGGAGGCTGAGGCAGGAGAATCGTTTGAACCCGGGAGGTGGAGGTTGCAGTGAGCCGAGATCGCACCATTGCACTCCAGCCTGGGCGACAGGGCAAGACTCCATCTCAAAAAAAAAAAATAAAGAAGGAAAGGCAGAGAGGAGGGAAGGCGAGGGAATAGGGAGGGAGGGAGGAGGAAGAAAGGAAAGGAGAAGGAGGGAAGGAAGAAGGGAGAAAAAAGGATGGAGGAGAGAAAGAAGGAACAAAAAAGGGGCTTTGACTATAGGAAAACACAGGTAAAGGCTCATGTGTATAATACTTTTTAGCCTGTGTAAGTCAATATCCTAAAATAACACTTTGTGCCTTGTTTTAAATAGCACCAGATTCACTGTCATTCACAGAGTCACAAAACCATTAACTTCCCTAAAACAACCATTTTCAGAACAGGAATTTGGGCCACGCTGCAATGGTGTCAAATTTCCCCAAAAGCAAGATGAACTAGATCCAGTCCCTGAGCCTAAGAAGTCTAAAATCTCTTCTGGATGGTAAGGCTAATATCCAACAGTCATAATACAAGGCAGAAACGGACAAGGACCAAAAGAGCTTTACAGAAAGGGGGCCATGGTGGCCCATAGAAGTGAGGAGTAATTCCTGCCAGGCATTTGTGAAGAAGGTGGCATCTGGCCAGGACCTTTGAAAGAAATGTGGAAAGGAGGCCTAGTGTGTGCTGGGCAGCCACCTCATCAGTCACTGGATCTTATCCAGTTTGAGATCCCCATTCTACAGATGCTGAAACCAGGGTTCAGGGTAAGGAAGGCAATCAGGTAACTTGCCCAAGGTCATGCATGCAAGGAACACGGAAGCCCCACTCTAATGGAGATTTAAATTCAGGTCTAATATGAGAGTCCAAGTGGCAATGTGTGATGTGCCTGGACCACGTGGTGTGAAATGCACTTGGCCTCTCCTGGGAAGGTTACTCAGACAGAAGCTTTCTTCACAAGCATGCTCCCCATGGCCTCCTCCCTTTCACCTGCACCATGTCTGTCTCCCATTCAAGACTGGCAGCCCCAGCCAGGCACAGTGGTTCATGCCTGTGATCCCAGCATTTTGGGAGGCCAAGGCAGGAGGATCCCTGGAGGCCAGGAGTTTGAGAAAAGGAGACAACACAACGAGGCCCTATCTGTACAAAATATAACAAAACTTAGCTGGGCAAGGCCATGTGTGTCTATAGTTCCAGCTATTCAGGAGGCTGAAGTGGGAGGATTGCTTGAGCCCAGGAGGAAGAGGCTGTAGTGAGCTGTGATTGTGCCACTGCACTCCAGCCTGGGAGATAGAGCAACATTGTCTCAAAAAAAAAAAAAAAAATGTGGCAGCCCCTTGAGGAAGAAAGAGCTCCTATCTTGACAATTTCAGCCAATGCCTGTGAGTACCAGCAGGAGCCTCTATCCCTCTTTGCCCCACCCTGCATCCACGCATTCATTATTTCATTCATACCCCCTCATTTTCTCAACACCCACTTCGTGCCAGGCCCTGAGGTGGCTCTAGGACCGAGAGACAGGGATCACAGAGCTCCCCAGTGGAGTGGAGGGTACAGACATGTTGACAAGAACACTGGAGCCCAGTGCGGGCTGGGGGCATGTGGTCAGACCTGCAAAGCCGGGAGGAGAAGGGGGTCGGAGAAGCTTCGCGGGGAGAATGGGGTGAGGCCTGAGCCCTGTCTCGGAAAGCAGAGGGGCAGGTGGGAAAGTGGAAAAGACATTCCTGGAGGAGAGAACCGAAGGTGCCGAATGTGCAGAGGCAGAGGTCCTGCGATGGGCGAGAAAGTTCGCGAGAATGACCCCAGCACAGGATGAGAACAAAGGAGGGGATCAAAGGAAACGGGCCCTCGGGGGCCGAGTGCTAGAAGGCTCTGAGTGTCAGGAGAGGGAGCGTGGCCTCCATCATGGGGTCAGTAGGGCCACTGCATGGCTTTAAGTCAGGGAAGGACAAGAGAGGTTTCTGTAACTGTGGCTGTAATGATGGAAGCGTCTGGAGGCGGAGAGGAGGCTCCTGCGGCGACCCAAGCTTCAGAGAGAGAGAGAGGAAAGGAAGGGCAGACAGGAAAGCTAGGAAAGATGCACAGAGAGACCAAGGCAGAAAAGGCTGAAGGGAAGACGGCAGCGGTAGGAAGGGCGCAGAGCAGCCTCAGGATGCAGCCAGCGGGCGAGGAGGCGGAGACCCGCTCGCCCGGCGCCTGGACTCACCGCGCAGCCAGCCGGCACCCGCGTGCGTGTCCTTGAGGCGGAAGAGGCGGCGGTGCGCGGAGCTGCGGCCCACGTACCACAGCATCCACAGCAGCTGCAGCAGCATGAGCGCCGTCAGGAAGCACAGCAGGTCGCTCTTGCTCACGCCCGCGGCGTGCACGGCCCAGGCCAGCAGCAGCAGCAGCCCCGCCACGAACACGATCAGCCCATACTGGCTGCTCAGCATCTCGGCCAGTTTCTGTGGGACGCTGGCGCGCACACCGCCCCGCCGGGGGGCCGGGGATTCCGGGGACCTCGGGGCCGAGGACGAGGGAGGCGAGCAGGCCGCTGGCCCCGACGACCCTGCGACCGAGGCGCTTGCAGCTGCCCGGGGCGAGGCGGGCGACCCCAGGCCCTCGAGCATCTTCGAGACACCCGCGCCAAGTCTGGTCCCGGGGGTGGCTGCCGTCGGGCCCCGCCTGCGCTCCTGGCTCCTGTCCTTGCCCCGACGCCTCTGCCAACCAGCACCTCCCTTTTCAACTCCCTTCCGATTCCTACCCCACGCCCCTGCCAACCTGCCCCCTCTCCTGTCACCTCCCGACGCCCGCCCTCCCCTCTTCTGCCCCTTCGTCCTCCGTCAAGGTACCACCCTGTCCACTTACCCAGCGCCCCACCCTGCTGACCTGGGATTCTACGAGCTCCCTTGCCCGCTGCCCCTCACTGGGCAACGCCCGGGGCAGCCATCTGCCCCCTCCGGGACCCACGCGGACAGCTCCCCGCTCCTGATCCCTGGGACACTGGCCAGCCCTGCCGCGACACTAGCGCGTCCTCCCGCACCTCCGCCCGCGCGCCCGGCCCCCGCCCGCCGTCTGCAGCCCTCACCCCTGAGCCGACGCCCGCCCACCCAGCCCCTGTCCGGGCGCCCCGGAAACGCTGGGTGACAAGAAGTGCCTGCCGGGGTCCCGGGGTTGCGGGACTGGGGAGAGGGGGTCTCCCGGAGCCAGCCCGAGGGGGGTGTGCGCGGGGGGCGTGGCTGCTGCCAAGCGGGGCGTCCGGGGCTCCACAGGGGCTTGCGATGCTCCGGGCCTTCCCCGAGGGTCTCCGTTGGGGAACCCAGAGGTCCAGGGGATCCTGCCTGCGTCCGTGTCCGAGCGTCCGACGGTCTGTACTCGTCCCTGCGTATTTCTGTATTGTCTTCTCTGTGCGGGTCACTCTGTGTCTGGCCGTCTGTTATCGGGTGTGTCTGGTTAGGGGTGGAGGAGCGCCCGTCACTGGCTCTCTGAATTGGGGGAGGGGCCGCCTTCTGTGGGTTTTTCTGTTTGTCCGTCTGGTGTGCCTGTGTGTCGGCTGCGAGATGCCCAGGCGCAGAATAAGACCTGAGCCACTTTCTAAGAAAAGAGACCATCCCGCACCCTCCCCCAAAGGAGCGGCAGCCGTTCTGGACCCAGAGGAGCTGGAATGAGGGACGCCCCGGGGTCTGCCCTGTTGCTACCGGCGCCCAAGCGTCTTCACTAGCCCCTTCCAAAGCCCCGGTGCCCGCCTGGCACCCGCCTGCTCCCGGAAGGGGACTGAGTCTGCCAGGGAGCCCCGCTCGGGTGCCGCTAAGTGGAGGTCTGGGAAGTTTCAGCTGAAGAGCGTTCTACGGGTCTGGCGTGGCTGACAGGAGGCGCCGGACCCCAGCCCCCCAGCCGCAGGTTGGAGAGGGGAGTTGGGAGCGAGCCTGGGGCAAGCCCACATCCCACCGTGCAGCAGCCCGGGGCTGGGCCCGGAAGACACCCTCTCGCTCTTGGTTTAAGGTTCTTGCCGTCTTGAAATTCTTAATTTTTGAACAAGAGGGCCCATGTTTTTGTTTTGCGCTAAGCGCAGCAAATTGCAATAGCAGGTCCTGACTAGTAAAGGAGGGGTGGGGAGTCCTGGGCTAGCAAGGAGTCAACCTGGGGGACCTTACCTTGCCACCATCATTCTTCCAATTCACGCATTCATGCATTTGATCAACACATATGTATGTGTTGACCTATGAATCATTTGCTGCTCTCTGTTCTAGCAGCTGGGTTTTCAGCTATGAAAGGCTCTGCTCAGGTGGAGCTGATGTTCAGGTAGAGAAACAGCAATAAACAAACAGCTAATGAGCCCTCACTGGGAAGCTGGGGATCATGACCTGTGAGACTTAGCCCTCAACTTCTAAGAGCTTGGGAGTGGGGACAGAGTAAGCAGCACAACACCCTTGAGCAGGGCTACAACCAGGGGCCTGGGAGGAGTCCAGGTCTGCAGGAAGGCTGAGAGGTTCAGGGAGGAGGCAACACCTGCACAGTCTTCTTTCTTTCTTTCTTTCTCTTATTTTTATCTTTTAATAAGGACAGGGTCTCCCTGTGTCTCCCAGGCTGGAATGAAGTGGTGTGATTATGGCTCACTACAGCCTCGAATTCTGGGGCTCAAGTGCTCCTCCCGCCTCAGCCTCCCGAATAGCTGGGACTACAGGTGTGTGCTACCACGCCTGGCTCATTTTTTTTAAATTGTTTTTTTGTAGAGACGGGTCTCACTATGTTGCTCAGGTTGATCTCAAACTCCTGGGCTCAAGCCATCCTCCTACCTCAGCCTCCCAAAGCACTGGGATCACAGGCTCCAGCTACCACGTCCAGCCTCCTGCACATTCTTTAGGCTTAGGAGTGGATGGTCAGGCGGAAGGGAGCAGGGGTCTGGAAAGGCAATCCAGAGAGAAGATCCAGCAAACCTACTAGGGACCCTCCACCTTCTCCCCTCCTCTTCCTACCAACAGCCAGAGCAACCTGGGAGCCTGAGCTGAAGATGGAAGAGCCTGTCTGCGTGTCTCCCCAGTGACTAGTGAGGCGGCTTTTCCTCCCGAAGCTGGACCTTACATCAGTGAGAAATAAACTTCCATTGTGCTAAGCCACCAAAGTCTGAAATGTTACAGCAGCTAGCAGTACCTTAACCCGTTGAGTACAAAGATAAATAAAGCTCAGTCACCATCTGAAAATCAAGTGGAATGCCTGTCTCTGGGCTACCTGCACTTTTTTGTTTGTTTGTTTGGTTGGTTGGTTGGTTTTTTGAGATGGAGTCTCACTCTGTTACCCAAGCTGGAGTGCAGTGGCACAATCATCTCAGCTCACTGCAACCTCTGCCTCCTGAGTTCAAGCGATTCTCCTGCCTCAGCCTCCCGAGTAGCTGGGATTACAGGCGCCTGCCACCATGCCCGGCTAATTTCTGTATTTTTAGTAGAGGTGCGGTTTCCCCATGCTGGCTAGCCTGGTCTTAACTCCTGACCTCGTGATCCACCCCTTGGCCTCCCAAAGTGCTGGAATTACCAGCATGAGCCACCCCACCTGGCCTGCATTTTTTTAAGAAGCAATGAAATGAAAGTTTCTGGAGGCTAAAGTCAGCCCCCTTTATTGTAATCTCAAGACAATGTTAAAACTCACTGAGAGCCTGTAATCCCAGCACTTTGGGAGGTCGAGGCAGATCACTTGAGGTCAGGAGTTCGAGACTAGCCTGGCCAACATGGTGAAACACCGTCTCTACTAAAAATACAAAAATTAGCCAGCGTGGTGGTGCGCACCTGTAATCCCAGCTACTTGAGAGGCTGAGGCAGGAGAATCTCTTGAACCCAGGAGGCAGAGGCAGAGGCAGAGGTTGCAGTGAGCCAAGATTGTGCCACTGGACTCCAGCCTGGATGACAGAGTGAGACTCCATCTCAATAAATACATAAAATAAAACTGAGAGATTTACCCACACTGTGTTCTATCTTCCACCGGTGAGATTTTTTTCAAAAGTCTGAGCTACACGGGGCCCCCAGTTTCTTACGACTGACCCCTGCTCCGTGGTGGGCAGATACAAGGGGTCAGAAACGATGCTCTGGTGGCATCCAGGCCTGCTGTTTTCACCACATTTGGCGCATCTTACCCCTGCCCACACTGTGTCCTGAGAGCTGTGTGGCATGGCTCAATCAGTGTAAAAGCTGGAAATGTCCTGACCAGGCAGCTGCCTCCCAGTGATGATTCAGTACCACGCAGATGGATGGGGAGGCATGCTGCCCTCGGACACAGGCTCCCTTCCTTTTTTTCTTTTTTTTTTTTTAATACTTTAAGTTCTAGGGTACATGTGCACAACGTGCAGATTTGTTACATATGTATACATGTGCCATGTTGGTGTGCTGCACCCATTAACTCGTCATCTACATTAGGTATTTCTCCTAATGCTATCCCTCCCCACCCCACCCCACAAGAGGCCCCAGTGTGTGATGTTCCCCTTCTTGTGTCCAAGTATTCTCATTGTTCAATTCCCACCTATGAGTGAGAACATGCGGTGTTTGGTTTTTTGTCCTTGCGATAGTTTGCTCAGAATGATGGTTTCCAGCTTCATCCATGTCCCTACAAAGGACATGAACTCATCCTTTTTATGGCTGCATAGTATTCCATGGAGTATATGTGCCATATTTTCTTTATCTAGTCTATCATTGATGGACATTTGGGTTGGTTCCAAGTCTTTGCTATTGTGAATAGTGCTGCAATAATCATACATGTGCAGGTGTCTTTATAGTAGCATGATTTATAATCCTTTGGGTATACCCAGTAATGAAACCACCAGGTCAAATGGTATTTCTAGTTCTAGATGTTTGAGGAATCGCCACACTGTCTTCCACAATGGTTGAACTAGTTTACGCTCCCACCAACAGGGTAAAAGTGTTCCTATTTCTCCACATCCTCTCCAGCGCCTGTTGTTTCCTTTTTAATGATCGCATGGGCTCCCTTCTTCCAGTGAAGATAATGGGATTTCACAGGGCCAGAGGCCCACTGGCACACTCAACTACCGGAGACAATAGAAGGTCCCAAGGGACAATTAGAACATTTTGCTCCCAGTCACCTTTGGTGGTAGCTATGTAATCCCAGTATTTTTAAGAACAAAAGAGTTAGTGTATTCGTTTCTGTTCTTTTCCTTTTTTGAGACAGAGTCTCAATCTATCGCCTAGGCTGGAATGCAGTGGCCTGATCTTGGCTCACTGCAACCTTTGCCTCGTGGGTTCAAGTGATTCTCCTGACTCAGCCTCCCGAGTAGCTGGGATTACAGGTGCACACCAGCATGCCTGGCTAATTTTTTGTATTTTTAGTAGAGATGGGGTTTCACCATGCTGGCCAGGCTGGTCTCGAACTCCTGACCTTGTGATCCACCCACCTCAGCCTCCCAAAGTGCTGGGATTACAGGTGTGAGCCACTGTGCACAGCCAAGTGTATTCATTTCTTAGGATGGGTGTAACAAAGTGCCACTAACTGGGTGGCTTTAAAACAATGAAAATTTATTCTGTCACAGTTTGGGAGGCCAGAAGTCCAAAATCTAGATGTCCGAAAAGCCAAGTTCCCTCTGAAGGCTCCAACGGGGGGTCCTCACCAGCCTCTTCCAGTTTCTGCTTGTTGCTGGCAACCCTTAGCATTCCTTGGCTTGTGGCTATATCACTCCAATCTTTGCCTCTGTTGTCACTTGACCATCTTTCCTCTGCATCTGTGCCTCTTTTCCTCTTCTTATAAAGACACCAGTCATAATGGGTTAAGGGCCCAACCTACTCCAGTATGACTTCACTATAATTTACATCTTAATTAAATCTACAAACACTGCATTTCCAAATAGGGCCACAATCAGAGGTACCAGGGGTTAGGATTTCAACAGATCTTCTGGTGAGCAAAAATTAAATCCATAACACACAAATGATAGTCAAGATATGGAATTAACCTATGCATCCATCAATGGATGAATGGACAAAGAAAATGTGTGTATGTATACACATTGTATACATACACAGCAGAATACTATTCAGCCTTAAAAAGAAGGAAATGGCCAGGCACAATGGCTCATGCTTGTAAACCCAACACTTTGGGAGGCCACGGTGGGTGGACCGCTTGGGCCCAGGAGTTCAAGACTAGCTGGGCAACATGGCAAAACCTCAACTCTACAAAAAAAAAAAAAAAAAAAAAAATGCTGAGTGCGGCGGCTCAAGCCTGTAATCCCAGCACTGTGGGAGGCTGAGGCGGGTGGATCACCTGAGGTCGGGAGTTTGAGACCAGCCTGACCAACATGCAGAAACCCCGTCTCTATTAAAAATGCCTGTAATCCCAACTACTCAGGAGGCTGAGGCAGGATAATCACTTGAACCCGGGAGGCAGAGGTTGTGGGTGAGCCAAGATCGCGCCATTGCACTCCAGCCTGGGCAACAAGAGTGAAACTCTGTCTCCAAAAAAAAAAAAAAAAAAAAAAAAATTAGCCAGACCCAGTGGGGCGCACCTGTAGTCCCAGCTACTTGGGAGGCTGAGGTAGGAGGATCATTTGAGCCTGGGAGGTCCAGGTTTCAGCGAGCTGAGATTGTGCCACTGCACTCCAGCCTCGGTGACTGAGCCAGACCCTGTCTCAAAAAAGAAAAAAAAAAGAAATCCTGACATTTGCAAAAATATGGATATGAACCTGGAAGATACTATGTTAAGTGACATAAGCCAAGCACAGAAAGACAAATGCCACATGATCTCATTTACATGTAGATCTAAAAAAGCTGAGGTCATATAGGTAGAGAGTAGAATAGTGGCTGCCAGGAGCTGGGCAGCAGGGGGAATTGGGGGTTTGGGAGATGTTGGTCAAAGGGTACAAAATTTCAGTTAAGTAAGAAGGGTATGTTCAAGAGATCTATTGTACAGCACAGTAACTATAGTTAATAACAATTTATAGCATTTTGAAAATTGTGAAGAATAGATTTTAAGAAATCTCACCACAAAAAATAAGTATGCAAAGTAATGCATTGATTAATGAACTCAATCTAGCCATTCCACATGTACCCTTGGACTTCAAAACTTGGAAAAAATGAATGGAAAATATACACTTTATGTCTCAACATAAGCTCCATCAAGTTCAAGACACTTCTATAAGTCAGGCTACAGCCATTTAGCCCACCCCTAAGGAACTGAAGGTCCTGAGAATTTCACCATACCAATGCAGTCTTTTACACATTAACTGAAGATAAAAGGGTACCCTCTACAGATTTTTTAAGATTAGGAAACAAAAAGAAGTTAGGAGGAGCCAAATCAGGACTGTAATGATTTCCCATCAAAATTCTCCCAAAATTGCCCTTGATGAGAGGAATAAGCAGAAGCACTGTCATGGTGGAGGAGGACTCTCCTGAAGCTTTCCCAAGAATTTTTTGCTAAAGCTTTGGCTTCCTCAAAACCCTCTCATAATAAGCAGATGTTACCATTCTTTGGTCCTCCTGAAAGTCAACAAGCAAAGTGCCTTGAGCCCCAAAATACTGTTGCCATGACCTGTGCTCTTGACTGGTCTCCTTTTGCTTTGACTGACCCGCTTCCACTTCTTGGTAGCCATTACTTTGATTGTGCTTTGTCTTCAGGATAGTACTAGGAAATCCATGTTTCATATCCTGTTGCAACTTTTTGAACAAATGCTTCAGGATCTTGATCCCACTTGTTTAAATTTCCATTGAAAGCTCTGCTGTTGTTTGCAACTGATCTGGGCACAACAGTTTTGGCGCCCATCAAGTGGAAAGTTTGCTTTCAGTCAGAATTGTGTAACCTGAACCAATTGAGACGTCTCTGACACTGTCTATTGTTTCTGCTATTGCTAACTGCTGTTAATCATCAGTCCTCTTTGATTAGGGCATAAACAAGATTAATTTTTTCCTCAAAGATTCATGTGTAGGGTCTCTCACTGAGGGCTTCCTCTTCAACATCATCTCATACCTTCTCAAAACAAGTTATTCATTTGTAAGCTGTTGATTTCTTTGGGGCATTGTTCCTATAAACTTTTCATGAAGCATTAGTGATTTCACCATTTTTTCACCCAAGCCTCACAATAAATTGATGTTTGTGCTTGCTTCGATTTTAGCAGAATTCATGTTGCACTGATGTGGTCTCTTCTCAAACTGATGTCTTATCCTTCTTAGTGTCTCAAACTAGATCCTGTTCAGACATGTTATGACAAGTTAAAGACTCTGTCTCAAAGTCTTTTTTTAAGTAATAGGATAATCTTCATACCATCCTAATTGGCCAGTTATTAGCTCTTGGGAAACTGGGTTTTAACTAATTGTTTTAAACACATCCCAGCCTTAGATTTCTATCCATGTTGTAAACATACTCTTCAAGAAAAAAAAAAAAAAAGATATAAAATGTGTGAAGGCTGACACTGGGGCACTCTCCACCCAAGCTCCCTCCAGGGAGTCTGATCCAAATGCCCTACCTTCCAGGGCTGCAGCCTCAGTTGTACCAGACCCTCACATCACTGCCTGATTAATCACTGCCTGACTAGGCTGCCTGATTGTGGCCTTTGCCTGGCCTTGCTCCCTATTTTAAATGACACTCTCGCCACACCTTCACATACCCATGACCACAAACTGGGTTTGCTTCTGTCTACTCATCATGCCTTTCCCCTTTGCAGACATCATGACCGGATGTGATATTCCTGATCCTAGATCCTGCTTTCCCTTTCTTTCCCTCTCCATTACCATTTATTGAGTGGACACCTACTGTGTCAGGCACTGTAATTGGTGTTTTACAAACATTATTACTATTACGCACAACCCTACAAGACAGATATCGTTCCCACTTCACAGCTGAAAAAAGATTACAGTCTGACTACCCCTTCTCTGAAATGCTTGGGACCAGAAGTGTTTTGGATTTTGGAATATTTGCATTATATTCCAAAACCCAAAATGCTCCAATGAGCATTTCCTTTGAGTGTCACGTCAGTCATCAAAAAGTTTCAGATTTTGAAATTAGGGATACTAAACCTGTACTACTGAAGGTCTTGCAGCTAGTAAATGGCAGGGTATGATCTGAACCAGACACAAGTGGTGATTAAGTCAGGTCATTATTAGAAGTCACCTTACAGAGAAAACAATCAACATGAGATACATTCTGTCACAATGCTTATGCTGCTTAGATTTAATGTAGACATATTGGCATTTGAAAGTGCAAATACTGTCTTTATAAGGTCTTTGAAGAACAGAGTTAGCCCTTGTTATTGCTACAGTTAATTCAAAGTGCTAATAGCTAAAAACCAGAAGTTATTCCAAAGTTCGCATGAACAAAACTCACAAGAAAGTTATAAAAATATTTTATTTAAATGATACAGAAAAAAATGTATACTTAAAAGTGATTAAAACTTCACATTAGGAAATGCTAAAAACCCAGTAATGTACATAATGATAAAATCTAAAGTGATGAGAAAACATAAAATATTTTCATTTGGTCCTGTCACCTAACAAAACTATCATAAATATGAGATTATAGTAATTACTAAAGCTGGTTAAAGGCACATGACAACATAATTCCTTTATACACATCCAGTCATTTTATACAAGGAACTGCTATCCCTTAAATGGAAGAGTGAACTACTTGTTTAAAATATTAACAGTGCACTATGTACCTACAATGAAACCACTTTCTCCAAAGACTCAAACAGATTAACATTGCAAAATAGTACTTCTGTATCACTGACTTCTGAAAATTTTAATAATTTATGCATATGCAAGTGAAATATAATTTATTCTGGTTTCAACAACAGTTATACAAAGTCACAATTTTCCCCAGGAAACCATTCACTTCATAGCTGCAAAAACACACTGTAGCTTTTCTGTTAGGGTCTGCCATGCTTTCAGCTAGCTGGATGTTTAACCATTCACTTCAAATTTACATGTCCAGCCAGGCACGGTGGCGTGGGCCTGTAGTCCCAACTACTTCGAAGGCTGAGGCAGGAGGATCACTTGATCCCAGGAGTTCAAAGACAGCCTGGGCAACATAGAAGACCCTGTCTCTTAAAAAAAAAAAAAAAAAAAAGTGTATGTCCTTAAATCTGAAAGAAAACCAGCATTTATGTACCAAGTAAAACATTGTATCTCAAGCTATTGCATTTAACACTAAAAAGCATAGTTCACTCTGTAATCTACAACATTGTCTGAGTCTCCATTACCAATTATAACTTCATGTCAGAGTAAGAGCTCCCAAACATCTGTAAAAACTCAAAATTCAAGAGTCAAAGAAGGGGCTGAGAACACGAGAAGGGGAGATGGGTGACAGGGTCAGGTGAGGAAGTGTTCTGAGATGTGTAGGATTCCTCCGGGCCCAAAGCCGCTTGTGGCACCACAGGTGTACAGGAATGAAGGGCCTCCTGTGAGGGTTCCCAGTGGTCCCAAGACACAGCAAGGTGCCTGAAGGAGGCTGGAGACATTGGCGTGGGCATGGAGGTGCTAGCAACTATTTTCAGACTGCTAACAATGAGAGTATGTCCATTTCTTCTTTACACAGTTACCACTGACCTTCCTTTAAAATCCCACAGGGAGAACATGCTGTTTTTAGCAGAAATGTCAGTTTTCATTAACTCCTTGAAAATTTAGCGTATTAACTTTTATTTCCATGAGCTTCAGTTTCCACACCTGTCAACTGCTGTATAAAGCAGGTTTCCTGCAAGTTCTGATGTAAGTGACCTGACAGGAGGCACTATCTTTGTCCTTCTCACCATGCCCCTAAGCATCTGGAGTGAGTATTCTCAATATACACTTATTTAATAACAGAGTTATCCGACACTCAGAAAACAGCCTCCACTGTGTAAGGCAGCAGATCTCAGGATGGGGTGATCTGTAGGGAGGCAGAAATTCTATAAATAACACCAAACGAAAGCTGATTGTGTCATCCAACACATTTTTATGAGGAAGTCAGAATAATTAGAAGATGGCAGAATTTTTTTTCCCAATTAGGTAAAATTGTTCATTCTTCCTGTATTCCCATTTCTTAAGAATGATCCAGCCAACAGTCACTGAATATAAGCTGACACAAATTAATATAATTTCAACATAAAATGGTCTAATGTGTGAATTCAACTATATTGGAAGGTACAAATCCTGTCTTTATGAGGTCTTTGAAAGGCAGGGTACCTTCTCTAAAAAGTAGTCACTTAGAACCAACTTTTACAAAAGAAAGAGTCTCAGCCCCCAACCCCCGCCAGCCTGGGCAACATAAGGAGACTCTGTTTCTACAAAAAAATTTTTAAAAATTAGCCAAGCATGGTAGCACATGCTTATAATACCAGCTACTTGGGAAACTGAGGTGGGAGGATTGCTTGAGCCCCCAAGTGGTCAAGGCTGCAGTGAGCTGTGATCATGCCACCGTACTCCAGCCTGGACAACAGAGTGAGAAGCTGTCTCAAAACAAAAAGGAGTCTATCTCAGAGTTCAATGAATGGATAATTCTAGTGTGGACAACTCTGGTGTAAACATGACTGAAAATAATTCACAAATAGTCTGTTACAGCTCCATCCACTGAAAATTGTCATAAAAGACATTTTTCAAACGAGTTCATTTTTAGAAAAACCACTCCAGATATCTTACCTTCGGAAATCATCCAAGGAGTGTGATAAACATGACAACCCCCATAAACTGGGTAAACAACAACAATGGAGTGAAAAACGACCACACATGCCATAAAGCAATGTTGAAGCTGAAAAGAACAAGACATAAACAGTTGACAACTCCAATATGCATCAATATATTTTATTCTAGAATCCAGATTTAAAGTATTCAATGTAGAAAAGTTCATCCAGTCAGCAACTTTCTCTATGTATCATATTTCTCAAGTATGTGACTTAGCCAATGCTGGAAAGGAAAACTCTAGATATACTTAAACAAGTATCACAATTTCTTCAAGAAGGCCCTGGAACTGGAACCACTAAAGGTCTCCTAATAGGGGTTGACATGGCTTAATAGAAACTGAAGTCTCTTAGTTTCTGACTTCAACAATAATTTAAATGGCTACAGCCCATTTTTATGACATCACACACTAAACTATCATGGTAAAAAAGACCAAAATATTGTCTCTTAAAAACAGAATGAAAACAGTTATCACTTATAAGCTGCTATTATATCTTTCATTGAGAAAAACACTATTCCTGTCATCAAAGTAAAATTAAAACACTAAGTATAAAGATTTTTAATGACTGAAATTTCTAAGAACAGAATAGGGAAAACTATATTCAAATAAGTTCAGATGGTTATTGGTTTTAATATATAATAGTTTGATAAGTATGAGTATTAAATAACTATAATCACAAATCACACTGTCTAAAAAATTAACATTTCTGGACATGATCTTACCCTCATGGGAAAAAGTAAAACAACGTATCTGCATGCCCCCACATACAGGTTAACAATAACCACATCACACTGTCAAACAACCTTGAACTTCAACTACAGAAAATAAGTCATAGAAAGAATATGTATAAAGGTATATGGTTCTTCCAAAATAAAAATTCAATTAGGCCGGGGGTGGTGGCGCACGCCTGTAATCCAGCACTTTGGGAGGCCAACACAAGCAGATGGCTTGAGGCCAGGAGTTTGAGACCTGCCTGAGCAGCACAGCGAAACCCCATCTCTACAAAAAATACAAAAAATAGCCAGATGTGGTGACACATGCCTGTGGTCCCAACTACTCGGGAGGCTGAGTGAGGCAGGAGGATCACTTAAGCCTGGGAAGTCGAGGCTGCAGTGAGCTGTGATCATGCCACTGCACTCCGGCCTGGGTGACACAGTGAGACCCTATCTCCAAAAAGAAAAAAAAATCCAATTGATATAAAGAAAGAAAAAACTAGAGAGCTGCACACAACATAGGAAAAGTAGTTTTCTTTCTGGTTGAATCATAGGATATATTTCCTTTGTGTTTTCATGTAATTTACAGATTTTTTTTCCTCAGTGAGCAAGTATTACTTTTATAAACCCAAAAAACCCTGTATTTTTCATTGAGTATTTAATTAACTTATGAAGAAGGTTATTCATTGTGGCATTGTTTGGGTATAAATATAACGAAGTCCAACAACAGAAGACAGGTTAAATAAATCATGTTATGTCCATGCTGTGAAAACTATGCAACTGTTTAAAAAAATGAGACACATCTATATGTACCATTATGGAAGAATCCCAAACTATAAGGATCCACTGAAAAACAAAAGGAGAAAAGGACAAACAACCACTTTGGAAAGCAGTTTGGCATGATTTACTGAAGTCAAAGGTACGTACATCCAACAATTTTACCCCTTGGGGTACATATATATACATATATACATACATCTCTACACCCAACAGAAATGTGTTCACTGTGCTACAAGAGCCATGTACAAGAATGCTCTTTATAGCATCCTTCATAGTAACCCCAAACTGAAAAAAATCTAAACACAATCAACAAGGGAAAAGAAAACTGGGATTCAATTAAACAATGGAATGCTAAAGAGCAATGAAGATGAGTCACTGTTCCCGGCGACAATATGAAAGAACTGCACACAATGCTGCACACAGCCAGCTCAATGTGAAGGAATACACCCTGTACAAATCCATTTCTATAAAGTTCAAAAGCGTAGCTGAAACAAAAATAGAATATCTAATGGAAGCAAAGCAAGTAGTTACCATGAAGGTCAGGGCAGTATTTACCTGTGGCAGGAGGGAAGGTGTAGTAACTGGGAGGGAGAATGAAGGGGGTTCCCAGTGTGCTGGCTCAGTTTACACCAATGCTCACTTCATGAGAATTCATTCACTAATTCATTCATCTCAGTTTTTTTCACTTTTCTATATGTACTGTATGTCATAATAAAATAGATTTAAAAAGCAAAATGCAGAATATGTACAGAATGTCACCATCTGTGCTTTAAATAACTAGATCCATAAATAGAAGGAGAAAGAGATACTAATCAAAAGGGAACCAGAGAGCATGAATGACCAGGAGACTATTTTTCTGTTTTAACTTTTTTTCTTTCGAAGTTTGGACCAAGCATATCACTATCTGATCAAAAAAAAAATTTGTTGTTCATTCCTGTTAGTCATTTCAAAGTTAACTTACCAAATTCCTGCTGCAATAAAGGAGGCAGTGGTAATGGGTATCAAGGCTGGATACTTGACATCATATTCTCCAATTCCACAATACCATTCCAGGTAGACTATGCAGTAAAATGCAATTGATAAACTGACAAGCAACAAGGCACTGCCACAGAGAAACCAGCTGTGGAGATAAAAACAGTAAGAGGTCTGACAGCACTTAATGAATCGTCACATATCTTAAAAGTTTTTACTAATAGCTTAAAAATCTGCTTCTAAGAATATCAAGTGTTGCAGAGGGAGCCATACTTAAACAATCCATGCTTTCAGAAAGTCTCAATCTATGGGAGATGGGGGTGAGAAAAAGAGATACACAACTCAGGAAAGAATGAAAAGTAAGACTTGAAATACATGCATTTATATATACACTCTCATCAGCCAACCAACCAAGGGAAAATTCTGGTCATGACAATGCATTTTCTTTAAAAATACAAGGAAGAGGCCGGGCGCAGTGGCTCATGCCTATAATCCCAACACTTTGGAAGGCCGAGGCAGGTGGATCACCTGAGGTCAGGAGTTCGAGACCAGCCTGACCAACACGGAGAAATCCTGTCTCTACTAAAAATACAAAATTAGCCAGGCGTGGTGGCGCAAGCCTGTAATCCAATCTTCTTGGGAGGATGAGGCAGGAGAATCGCCTGAACCCAGGAGGCAGAGATTGCAATGAGCTGAGATGGCGCCATTGCACTCCAGCCTGGAGTGCCTGGGCAACAAGAGTGAAACTCTGTCTCAAAAAATAAAATAAATAAAAACAAAAATACAAGGAAGATAGTGGCTTTCTGGTTGTTTCTGAAGTTTTGAGTGTGACAGGATTAAAGAAGTTTATCAGTGGGAAACTTCATTCCTCCAAGTTAAGTGGACTTTCTTGGAATACTGAAAGACAATTAGGAAGATCAATAATTCAAATTTTCTCTCATAAAAGATTTCTAAATGAAATCCTCCCATTTTCAAAATATCTTCTACTCACCACCTCACCCTCAATGCCAATGCCTTTTTACTCCCTTCCAATTCCACCTGTGACCTGATTCAGCAAGAGTGAGGCAACCTGGACAACCCCTTCCCTCCACCCCAGCTGGACTTGGGGACTGAAATGCCTTTCCCATTCTCCCAACTCAATCCAATATCCCATCATCATCTGCTTCTCTATGGGAAAAGCCTGACAATCCATGTGGAAGAGAGAGGGAGAACAGATGGCTACAACAGATAAGTTACAAAGGCACAAAGTGAACTTCCAATAATGGCAAGGTTCCGGATTCCATGAAGGCTTTTTACGATGATGCAATTCTGAGATTCGGAGTCATGAGAGGCTGTAGAGGGAAGGGGTTAAGAGCACAGCCTCTGAAATCTGTCTGTATGGGTTTGAATCTTAACTTGAGCAAGACTAGTTTTGTGACTCTAGGCAAATTACCTAACCTCCGTGTGTTTCAGAAATATTGACAGTACTTAACTCAGAATAGCTGTGAGAATTAAATCAAGTGGTCAGCAAAGTGCTCCTCACAGCTGACTCTCAATCATAATCATTATTATTCCACTCAAGTTATTTTTATTTTCATTCATTTATTTCTGAGCCGGAGTCTTGCTCTGTTGCCCAGGCTGGAGTGCAGTGCTGCAATCTCAGCTCACTGCAACCTCCGCCTCCCAGGTTCACCAATTCTCCTGCCTCAGCCTCCCAAGTAGCTGGAATTACAGGCACTGGCCACCACGCCCAGCTAATTTTTGTATTTTTAGTAGAGATGGGGTTTCACCATGTCCATATTGGCCAGGCTGGTCTCGAATTCCTGACCTCAAGTGATCCACCTGTCTCAGCCTTCCAAAGTGCTGGGATTATAGGGGTCAGCCACCATGCCCAGCCATCACTCAAGTTATATCTATGAGGAAAAAATGTCCATGTTCATCTTTAGGAGTCTTCAAAGACCTCTCTTCTGCTAGAGCATGCAATCTCACTGGGGGGAGTATCGCCCCCAAAGTGAAGAAAAAAATATGGCTCTAATTGTATGTATAAAGCATAGATATGCATGCAGTATATAAATGATATAGTTTATCTAATTCCACATTCCACAGGAATGATTAGGAAAAAAATGTCTAAAAAGGCCTTTTATCATTACCCCTAAGGAGTCTTTTTAGACATTTTTTTCCTTTGCCAACATGTGGATATGAGAAAAAAAAAATTTTTTTTTTTTGAGACGGAGTCTCGCTGTTGTTGCCCAGGCTGGAGTGCAATGGCACGATCTCGGCTCACTGCAACCTCCACTTCCCAGGTTCAAGCTATCCTCCTGCCTCAGCCTCCTGAGCAGCTGATATTACAGGTGCCCAACACCACACCCAGCTAATTTTTGTATTTTTAGTAGAGATGGGGTCTCACCATGTTGGCCAGGATGGTCTTGAACTCCTGACCTCAGGTGATCCATCCACCTTGGCCTCCCAAAGTGCTCGGATTACAGGCATGAGCCACCATGCCCGGCCTAAGAAAATTTTTTAAACTGCCTGAACAAAATATAATACTATCAGTCAGTGGTCCTCGGCCCTGGCTTTATATCACAGTCACCTTGCACCTTTCTAAGAGAAACTACCTAGTCCCCAGTTTCCAAAATTCTGGGCCTGAGCATCTAGGATTTTAATTTTACTTTCTGTCTTTAACTCCACTGTTGATTTTGATGCACACAAGCCGAGTATTTTAAACTGTGATTTCTAAAGCATCACAGTGTTGTTTTGTTATTATTTATTTACTTATTTAATTTTTTTAAGACGGAGTCTCGCTCTGTCGCCCAGGCTGGAGTGCAGTGGCGCGATCTCGGCTCACTGCAATCTCCACCTGCTGGGTTCACGCCATTCTTCTGCCTCAGCCTCCCAAGTAGCTGGGACTACAGGCGCCCGCCACCATGCCCAGCTAATTGTTTTTTGTATTTTTAGTAGAGACGGGGTTTCACCGCGTTAGCCAGGATGGTCTCGATCTCCTGACCTCGTGATCCGCCCGCCTCGGCCTCCCAAAGCGCTGGGATTACAGGCGTGAGCCACCGCGCCTGGCCTGTTTTGTTTTTAATATGGACCTGCTCTCCCATCTTTGAACAATATAAAGAACCTTAAGGCCTCAAGCTTCTAAACTTAGGCTAGAGCCAGAGGAAAAAGAAATCACCTCAGGCGTCAGAAGAACGAGCCATTTTAGCCATTTTCCAAAAGCAGAACTCAGCCGGCACTGTCTTTTGTGCAGCCCTCTCATTTCATGGCTGTTCAATACCCCCCAACTCCCCTTAATGAGTCCTTCCCAAGAAAACAATGCGACTCAAAATCCTCAGCCTTTGAGAATGCATTTCTGCCTTTTTCTCTCTAAGATGACACCTTGTTGAGGACAGATCTATGACTTCTACTTTCTTTCCAACCCCCACAGCCCTGGTCCCAGTGTCTGCGTCCCGGCTTTGCCACACAGCAGTTATGTGGTCCTGGGCACTCCACTTCACTGCAGTTGCCCCCAAATATCTTATGTGTGATCATTTCTTACTCTGCCATTTCTCTAAACTACTAAAAATACCCAATATAAGGACACAAATACAGAAGTTCTCTCACATCTCCTAAAACCTCAAAAAGGTCTCAGTCCTGAGGCTGACCTGGACTAGATATCCCTCCTAGATGCTCCCATGATACCCTGCGCCTACACTTACAAAGCACATACCATGCGGCCTGGTAACTTGTCTGCTGCAGCCTAGAATGAGCTGTTGGAGAGCTAGAAATGCACCTTCCACGTGTTTGGCACTGACAGCCAAACACATCTCAGCCTCCATAAAGTATCTGATGAAGGAAAGAGCAGCTGCTATTGGTGGTGGTTAAAGTACCCATCCCCTCCAGCCAGGTGCAGTGGCTCACACCTGTAATCGCAGTACTTTAGGAAGTCAAGGTGGGAGGATCACTGGAGCCCACAAGTTTGAGACCAGCCTGGGCAACATGAAGAGACCTCGTCTCTACAAAAAATAAACCAAATTAGCCAGGCATGGTGGTGTGCGCCTATAGTCCTAGCTACTTGGGAGGCTGAGGTGGGAGGATCACTTGAGCCTGGGAAGTCAAGGCAGCAAGCCATGATCGCACCACTACACTCCAGCCTGGGTGACAGAGTGCAGCGAGACCCTGTCTCAAAATAAAAATAAAAATAAAGTATCCATCCCTCTTTTCCCAGCCCAAGTTCTAAGAGAGATGACTGAGTCAAGCTGATGAAGATTAAATGTCTGTTATACTGATGCAGCCGTGGGAAGAATATGGCTTTGGTGAGTGATGACAAAGCACTTCCTAATACTGGGTCTCTGACACCCAGAAACAGCCTTACCCACTGGGTTCCAGGTCAAAATGAAAACCTAGAGACCTTTTCCTGTGGGGACTGCCCCTGTGGAATGACACCATGGGAAGGCAGACCAGACTCTGCGCTTCCTATGGGCAGCCGACTTGCAGCAGAAGAAGGTGCTGAGCTACCTTTGTCCAGTTCTTCATCACACACTCAATCAGTCACGCCACCTCCCACAAAGGAGTGAGTGACATGGAGGGGCAGAAGATGGGAGTGTTTAGGGAAAGTTTCTCCCCTAGAAAGTAGAGGACAGTTTAAATAAACTCCCCTCTGCCTACTTTCCCCTGTGGGCTTTTTCCTTGTGGCTCGACAGTCTCCTCCGCCAGAAGTCACTGCTCCTCCTGAAGGCCCTTGAGGAGAAATCATGTGTCCTGCCATGATACGAGGGGACCACAGTCCTGTCTGCATCTTCCTACCCCCACTGGTACTTCCAAATTATTACTCTTGACCCTAAGCACACCAGCCCTCCCAATGCCATGATGCTCACCAACATACCTCTCCCTTCCATTTCTTATCCAAGGGTCTCCACATCACTCTCCAATGTGCAGTAAGGACCCTAGGATATGATTCCAACCCTCTCCTCCATGTCAACTCTGGAGACTATACTGAAAGGATCTCAGTCCCTGTGAATGAGGAACTACTGGACATCTGGTCTGGCCACAAAGCTGTCACTCCTCCCACTGTGGACCTTCACCTCCACTCTAACACAGTTACACCCTGTAGTTACCTTGTCAGCTGTAACCACCCTCTGAAACCAACCCTGAGACCCAATTCCCACTGGCCACAGTTCTCGGCTCTTCCTCCCAGTACTCTTGTACTTGGTCTTTGAAGACCTTCAGTCAGTCTTTCTCCCTCTTTTCCCCAAATGGATTAGGTTCTTCTTAAATTTACTACCTTCCTCATCCTACAACACATTTATTTGCACACAAATAATTTCCAGTTCTATTCCACTCTACTGTATGTGCCCAGAGCACACACCCTCTCATTGGTTTTATTTTTTCCAGCTTTATTGAAGTACAATTGACAAATTAAAATTTTATATATTCAAGGTATACAGTGTGATGACTTGATATATATATACACACACACATGAATATATACATATATACATATATATGAATATATATATACGTGTATACATATACACACACACACATTGTGAAATTATTACCACAATCAAGTTAATTATCACACTCATCACCTCACATAGTTACCACTGGTGGGGTAACAGGGGGAGGACACAAGACCTACTCTTAGAAAATTTCAAGTATACAATACAGCCTTATTAACTATAGTCACTATACTGTATGTACATTAGATCTCCAGACCTTATTCATCTTATAACTAAAAATATGTACCCTTTGACCCCCATCTCATATTCATCTTCGTATCACCACACCTCCAACACAGGGCCTGGCAGAGAGTAGTAGGTGCTTACTGTTTGAAGAATTCAACTAACAAAATATAACACGAAAAATCAGACTTGGGTTTAATTTACAAAGCAATAAAATTTTCTTACCTGCTAGTGTGGAAGTTTTCTTTAAGGGTTTTAAAGAAGTCAACATAATAGGTCACAACAATGGATGCCAAAATCCAGAATCCAGAATGGATATTAAGTCTTGGAAGAGGTTTCTCCTTTTTCTCAACAGCTGTGGAGGTTTCTGCAAATAAGGGAGATTTCAACTTATTAAGTTACCACAATTTTGCGAGGAAAAATTACACTTAAGCCAAATAAAATCATTTCCTAGAGCTAAGAAACAGTCTCTCCCATGATAACAAATCCTTCTGTAAAACCCTTGAGATAGGTTTATATTTACAAAAAATAAGAGCCCACTATAAAATATGGTCAATACAGTCAATTTATTTCCTCTAAATACATTGTGAAATCAAATTTACACTTTCATCGTCTTTCGGAAATAACAATGTCACCTGGAAATGTAAGAATTTTAATATTATGTTTCACATTTCTTCTAGGAAAGTAATTAGTCTTGTTAATTAGGAAAAATGCCAAAGGCAAACATTAGCGCATGAACTGGACTTGTGGTCTTCCAAGAACACTTTTATAACTAAATTTTTTTTTTTTGAGTCGGAGTCTTCCTCTGTCGCCCGGGTTGGAGTGGAATGGTTTGATCTCGGCTCACTGCAACCACCGCCTCCCGGGTTCAAGCAATTCTCCTGCCTCAGCCTCCCGAGTACCTGGGATTACAGGCGCCTGCCACCACGCCGGGCTAATTTTTGTATTTTTAGTAGAGACGGGGTTTCACCATCTTGGCCAGGCTGCTCTATTTGGCCAGGTTGGTCTCGAACTCCTGACCTCGTGATCAGCCCGCCTCAGCCTCTCAAAGTGCTGGGATTACAGGCGTGAGCTACCCTGCCCAGCCTATAACTAAATATTTTAGTTACTTTAAACACAGCTCAAAAGTGGAAACGGCACACCAGAGCTCTAGTTCCAGCACAGCACTGTCTAGACAGGTGATGGACAAGACATTTTTCCTGTCTGGAACGCAATCTGAAAGAATGGGTGGATGGGGGTTGGGTCAGATGGATGATTTCTATTAAGTTTTCCGGGGATTCTGACATGCCCTCTAGGTTCACGTGAGAATCAATGGTCCACATCTGAGGTTTTGGGCCTTTAGATGACCATCGGAAACCCTGGGAAGCATGTTCGTAATATTCTGGGATATCCTCAAAATGTATACATCATCATGCCTGGGCATGAGGTTATTCGTGTTTTTAATTTTAAAAGGTAATAAATGGACGTGGTTTTAAAACATATGAGATAAAAAATATCCAAAATGAAGTATCTGTCTCCCATCCTTAACCTCAGATCTAATCCCCAGAAGCAACCACCACTTACAATTTCTACTGAATTCTTCCATATTCTATGCATTCACAGGTGAACATACATCACAAGTTACCTGTTTTGTACCCAAATGGCGGCATACCATAGTGTTCCACACTTCCCTTTGAAAATCATCCCCATTGGTACATACGAGTCGACCTGATGTGTCAGGTATACATATACCCAAATTTACTTAAACAGCTTTCTGCTGACGGGCAAGGCAGATATTTCCAGTAATTCGCTATTACAAGCAATCCTGAAGTGAAACACTGCGCACATCATTGTACACTGCGGTACACGCATGTTTCTGGTAAATCCTTAAGACTTAAAACTGGTGGGTATTTTTAATTTTAATCGCTATTTCCAAATAGGTGTCAAATCAGCTCTCCAGAGAATTCTGAAGCGCAGCTGAAATGACGATGCACAGCACTCCGCGATTCTAAGGATCTTCCCTGACATTAAATATTCGACTTGCAAAGCCGAAACTCAGTCCTTCCAGACTGGGCCAGGGCTGCCGGAGGCCGGCCGTTTTCCGACGCCTCGCCTCTGAGAACCTCGGGGCGGCTTGGTGCGCGCCTCACCCGGCCCGGCGTCACCCTCGCGGTCCAGCTGGGCCTCGGCGTCCGGCAGGAGGAGGAATCGCCGCCGGAGCTGCTGCCGGGCCCGCGAGGAGTCCATCTTGGTACCGCCCCGAAATGCGACGGAAGTGACGTCAGACACAGCGCTTCCGGCGTCCGCTCCGGGTCTGGACCTCCTGGCGTTTGGATTGGAGACTGTGTTCTCTTCGCTGTTTAGTTAGCGAGCAGCTAGGGTGGAGTCGGCCTCAAAGGTTCCGCTCTCATGTCGGCAAGTGTGATTTGAATTTTAAAACACTGAGCTTTGCCGGTGGAAGAGTTCCCAAGTTTATTCCGACCTACGGAAGCCCAGGAGGACCAGGATTACCGCTGCCGCTGGATGCGTCCAGGGCCGGGATGCGCGACCGTGAGACGCTGCGCTTCCGAAGCCCTCGCAGGCTTCCGGGTGCCAGAGCAGGAGACATACCCTCTGTCCAGCCTTCCACTCTCAGCCCCCAGTTTTTTTCCTACTTTTGCTTTTCAGGAGTCGTCCAGCAAGACTTGAAAGGAGGAGAAAGGCCTGCTGGACAGGATGCTAGAGCCTGGCAGTGACCACTTGGGGGCCCTGGGCATTAAATAAACTTCTTGGGGCCCGTTTCGTTATTACACTTGGCTCTAGATTTGTTGTGCGTTTCAGTGAGAAGTACCTGTATGTGGTTCATGTGAGCCTCCTCCTCGCCACTTGTGAAAAATCCTCCCAGCCTGAACCGAGGGAACTAAATTGCTTTCCCAGCAAACTGCGGTTTTCCACACTGCTCACGCCCACAAACTGTGTGTTACGAGTTCACAACTTTTTCTTCGTCAATAATCCCGCGTATTACTCTCCCAGCCGTTTCCCAGCGTGTCATGTGCTGAGAAATGGTGGGCTTAGCCACGCAAACGTTTACTGAGCATCTACTATTTGGTAGGAGCTGTTAGGCACCATGCTAGCAGTGGAGATAAAGATGAGTAAGACATGGCCTTGCACGTGAGGAGCTCCTTGTCCAAAGAAAACCACAGAGGTATATTACAAGAAAACTCTATTTGTAAATGTATGAAAGCATTTCATCAATGCAGCCAACATTTTCTGAGCAGCTGCATGTGATAAAATGGTGAGGACAGAAGAATCTAGTAGAGGAAGCAGCTTCAATACAGTGCCATAATAAAAACACTGTACATGGGGCATAATAGAAACACTGTACATATAAAGGGCAGTTTATTCTGCTGCAGTGTGGGAGAGCAGGGAGAGTGGTTTCAGGTGAGTTGAATACAGGGGTGGAGAGCCAGCTACATAGGAAGTAAAATTTGAATTAGTAGGCACTGTTTAATATCTTCGATGTGTTGGGGTGTTTGTAAAAGGAATGTAATAAGAAATACTCAAGAAAAGAGTGCCAGCCGCGCGCGGTGGCTCACGCCTGTAATCCCAACACTTTGCGAGGCCGAGGCGGGCGGATCACAAGGTCAGGCGTTTGAGACCAGCCTGGCCAACATGGCGAAACCCCGTCTCTACTAAAAATACAAAAGTTAGCCGGGAATGGTGGCCGGCACCTGTAATCCCAGCTACTCTGGAGGCTGAGGCAGGACAATCACTTGAACCTGGGAGAAGGAGGCTGCAGTGATCCTGCCACTGCACTCCAGCTTGGGCAACAGAGTGAGATTCCCTCTCAAAAATAAAAATAAAAAAAATTAAAAAAAAGAGAGAAATACCAAATCCCTACTGATTTATCATTTCTTCAGCCTTTCTTCCCCCTTCGGAGCACAGGATTTAACAGCTGGGTGGATCATATGGCCTTTCTAAACAATACCTCCTTTATCCTGTTTTTTTTTTTCTGTTTTTTTTTTCTTTCAAGACTCCTAAAGAACTGGATTCATTTATTCAAAGTCAACTGAAGTCTTTGCCCTCTCTTCTCTCTCGTACGGGGTTAGAAGCCTTGTTAACAGGAAGTGAATTTGTCCCATCAAATACAATCTTCTGTTGATTGTCTCCTCGAAAAAGGGTCAGTGCAGGGCCTCCGTGGTAACTGAATACTCCCAAGAGCATCGCCGCTATCCCAGGTTCCCATACATGGTATGTTCAGGTCAGATCAGGTTTCTCCTTTTGTGGTTTCGGGGCCTTTGAATTTGGATCTGAAATCCTTCCAGAGTTTTTTTCTCTGCAATTTTAAATGGCACTACTTGCACAGCATATTGATGATACTTAAAAGGAGGTTGGAAAAATTCCAGTATTTAATGACCACATCTTCATTTCTGAGGTCCATTAAAGAAGCCCTTTGGGCAGGTGCAGTGGCTCATGCCTGTAATCCCAGCACTTTGGGAGGCTGAGGCAGGTGGCACCTCAGCTCAAGAGTTTGAGACCAGCCTGGCCAACATGGTGAAACCCCGTCTCTACTAAAAATACAAAAAAAAAAAAAAAAATTAGCTGGGCATGGTAGCAAGCGCCTATAATCCCAGCTGCCTGGGAGGCTGAGGCAGGAGAATGGCTTGAACCCAGGAAGTGGAGGTTGCAGTAAGCCAAGACCACCCATTGCACTCCAGCCTGGGCAGCAAGAGTGAAACTCTGTCTCAAAAAAAAAAGAAAGAAAAGAAAAGAAACCCTTCAATGTGTGTACTGTGGCACCCTAATTATAGATAGATATGTGATACCAGATTTGCTACCAATTAAGAAATTTTCATTTTCAATGTGGATTACTTGTGGGGAACAAATGAATTTCATTGTGACCTTTACTGGCCCCCCCTTAGCAACATAGTTAAATCCAAGGTGTGTATAGACTGTCAAATCCTGCCTCCATCACTGTGGGTCTTTGGGCAAGTTATTTTATTGTTCTAAGTATCAGTTTGCTCATCTGTGAAACATCGGGTATTGGAGTGAAGATACATGTATACAGATTGTTTAGCTTAGTGCCTGGCATACATAGTTTGCCTCCAAACAGCAGTAGTTACTATTCTTAGTAATTTGGCTTGCCAGGCCTTCAAGATCCGGCACCTGTTCGCCCCTTGATCAGTGTTCCCTTGTCCCTGGGTTCCAGTGACTCTATTCATGTCTCTCTTCCAAGAATTACCAAGCTTTATTGTTATTTTCCTTTTGCCCTGTGTTTCCCCCAGTTGATTGGGAGAAACAACCATGTCTTGGTATCCCCCAGTACCTTGCAAACACCGAGCACACGGCAGGAACTCCATTAGCTGTGCTTACTTTGGTCCTTGAGCACAGCTAACTTGTCTTCAATATGGATATACATGTGTCTGCCTACCTCTGAGAAACCACTGCTGCTTTCTATAGTGGTCCTGCTCAGATCCCAGAGACTGACCCCGTCCTAGGGGAGGGCACAAGACCCAAAACAGACCTCTCATCCTCCACGTCTTAGGCTGGGAAGATGTTCACGGTTGCTTTGATATGGTGAGCTCTGAGGTCAGTTTGGGCTTGGGGCTGCTGTTCTGGAAATGGGAGCCCACGTGGGAAGGAAGCACTGAGAGGCAAGCTAAGAGGTCTTGGTAGCATTGCGCCGCCTCCCAGATCTAGCCAAGCCTTAGTTAATCCTGTTAAGGAACTGAGCTCTGGAGCTAGCTGCCTGCCTGGCTGTCATTGCCGGTCCTGTCATTACTGACTCTTTGAACCTTGAGAAAGCATCTTATCCACTCTTTGCCTTAGTTTCCTCACTTGCAAAATGGGGTTAAGAATAATACCCACCTCACAGGATTGGGTAAAGATTAAAAGTATTAATACATGCGAAGTCTTTAGAGCAGCCCATAGAAAACTCTCAGTAAATCTTAGCTGTTATTATCCATTGCTGAGACTTTACAGATGGTTAAATTTTCCCTTTTTTAAATTAATTTTAATTTCAGTTGTTTTCTGTTACTTGAAACTCTGAGGCCAGACCAGTACCACCCTGTTCTCTCACTGTGCTGTGTAGCTGCCCCATTGGTCCCCAGGTATTCTGTGAGCGCCTCCAGGAATGAGAATACAGGTAAAGCTCTTAGAAAAGTACCTGGCATATGGAAAGTGCTCAGTGAATGTTAATATCTATCATTTAGGATACTGTTCTTCATTCCAAGAAGAAAGCTAGTTTTAAAAAGTTCTTCCATTGATTGTATAAAAACACAATAAAATGTGTGCCTATTTCTACACAGCTGTGATTATTCCCCTGGTAAAAGCTATAGCATTGGAATCCCTAGATCAAAAGATACAAACGTTTTAAAGACTTTTTTTTTTTTTTTTTTAGATGGAGTCTTGCTCTGTCACCAGGCTGGAGTGCAGTGGCATGATCTCAGCTCACTGCAACCTCTGTCTCCTGGGTTCAAGCAATTCTCCTACCTCAGCCTGCCGAGTAGCTGGGACTACAGGCGCATGCCACCATGCCCGGCTAATTTCGGCTAATTTTTGTATTTTTAGTAGAGACGGGATTTTTTTTTTTTTTTTTTTTTTTTGTGAGACGGAGTCTCGCTCTGTTGCCCAGGCTGGAGTGCAGTGGCGCGATCTCTGCTCACTGCAAGCTCCGCCTCCCGAGTTCACGCCATTCTCCTGCCTCAGCCTCCTGAGTAGCTGGGACTACAGGCGCCCGCCACCACACCAGGCTAATTTTTTACATTTTTAGTAGAGACGGGGTTTCACTATGTTAGCCAGGATGATCTCGATCTCCTGACCTTGTGATCCGCCCGCCTCGGCCTCCCAAAGTGCTGGGATTACAGGAGTGAACCACGGCGCCTGGCCATTTTAAAGACTTTTGATTGATATTTTCAAAGAAGGTCCAGAAAGGACTTACCATACTACTGTAGTTTAAATTCCCACCAGCAGAGGGCAGGAGAGGCCATCTTCAATGTTTGCACCAACAGCGGGCTTTATCATTTTGATAAATTTTTCCCAAGTGATAGTTGTTGGCCGGGGCGAACTGCCATTTTAATTTGCTTTTCTTTGCTAACAGATTTTTTTATGTTAATCGACTATGCATATGTCTTTTTCCTTTTGGAATTTTCATTTTTGCATATTTTGATAGATCAAGGCTGTCTGTCTTTGAACCTCAAATATGTGGCAAGTCTACTTTTTTTCCAATTTGTTTACCTTTTAAGTTTGATCATATTCAATATACGTTCATACCTATGTTTTGTTTCTTACTTCTCATACCATGTGATGAAGAGAGTTGGAATGGGCTTGCCCTGTAGGGTCTAAATGGAAAAGCATGTTTCATGGAAAGTGTTCAGTCGATGTTAGTGTCTTTCACTTAGGGGACATACTATGTGGTAAAAATCACTTGAATCATCTTCAAGTGAGCCTAGTTATTCCTCACCCATTCATTACTCAAACTAGCTGTACTGTGAGAGGTTCTACCCACGACAGAAACCAACTTTAACCAGCCTGTGATGGTTAATACCGAGTGTCAACTTGATGGGATTGAAGGATGCAAAGCATTGATCCTGGGTGTGTCTGCGAGGGTGTGGCCAAAGGAGATTAACATTTGAGCCAGTGGGCTGGGAAAGGCAGACCCACCCTCAATCTGGGTGGGCACCATCTAATCAGCTGCCAGCACAGCTAGAATATAAAGCAGGCAGACAAATGTGAAAAGGCTAGACTGGCTTAGCATCCCAGCCTACATCTTTCCCCTGTGCAGGATGCTTCCTGCCCTTGAACATCGGACTCCAATTCTTTAGTTTTGGGACTCGGACTGGCTCTCCTTGCTCCTCAGCCTGCAGATGGCCTATTGTGTAACGTTGTGATCGTCTGAATTAATAATAAACTCTCCTTTATTTGTATATATGTGTGTGTGTATATATATATATATATATATATATATATATGTCCTGTTAGTTCTGTCCCTCTAGAGAACTCTAATACACAGCCTAAGCAAAATAGTAACAGTAATGACAACAGTAATAATGGGCTGTGCACAGTGGCTCACACCTGTAATACCAACACTTCAGGAGGCTGAGGCGGGAGGATCGCTTGAGCCCAGGAGTTGGACACCAGCCTGGGCAATATAATAAGACCTTGTCTCTATCTATAATAATAATGACAGTAATAATCATTATCATCATAAAATACACGTACAGTTTTTTAGAAAGAAACCTATTAGAATTCCTCTGAACTGTTTCATAAGATTGAAAGAAAAATAGGATTTCCATCAAGCCTGAGTGAGCGTGAAGCCCAGGAAGCTCATGATGCAGCTTTGAGGACACTGTGCGTCTGTCACATATGGTGTGCCCGCCGTCATCCCTGTGGAACTCACCACTTCAGTGCCTGCCAGCCCTACTTCTGACTCTCAGCACCTGCGCCGCTTTGCCTGGGGTTTTCTCTGGATGCATTCTATTTAAGCAGCGAGATGGAGGGGTTTCTCACAGAAGCGAAGTCAACGTGAGCACAACAGCTGTCTGCTGCACTGGCAGAAAAGGGCCGCGAGTGAGCCTCTAAGGACAGACAGTGTGTTGTTTTCTGAAATAGGATGTTGGGGAGAAGAACAGAGAATAGAGATGCTGGTCTCAACCAAAATATCAGGAACAGGGAAAAGGACAGTTCCTATAACCAGAAAGAAGAGGGGAGAGGTAGGAGGGAGCTGGCCTTGATTGAGAGGCCAGGTGGGCAGGACCCTTGACTATGTAAGTGTCCCCAAGCACTCCTGAAATTTCTGGCTGTGCGGCAACATTTGGGTTCCAGTTCTGTGGGAGGACAATTTCTTTTATTAAATTGCTGCCATTCAGGTTGAGGGCCACTACCAGGCTGGCAAACCTAGAGGACAATGGAGGCGGGTCCTGGCCGACTGCCCTTCCCAGGCGAACCCTGCAGCCTTGTCAGTCTTGTCACTGGCTGATTGTTCGGTGCCTGGAACTTGGTCTGTTACTGCTTTGCAGATGATCAAATAAAGCAGACTCATTTTTTTCTCTTTCAAAAAAAACCCTATATATTTGAATGATGGCCGTGCCTGATATTACCATCCATAAAACCATGATAAAGGCTTTCTGATCACATGGCCCATCACGGAACCCGCTTAGAAAACCCTGTTGTTTTTAATTAAAACCCTACTTGCAAGATCTTTTTAATAGTGATCTAATCAGTACTGAGAAAGGGAAGGGGGAAACAAGAAGGGGGTCCTGACCAATGGAAAATGCTGGCCAGGAGAATACAAAGAAATCAAGGAGACACCTGTTGTGCCAAAACCCTATTGACTCCAATGTAGATACCGCCAGGTTCAACAAGCTAAAGAAGAGACCCAGAGCCAGAGCAAACGAGACATGGAGTGTTACATACAAGAGAGAGTCTGCTGGTGCAGGGCTGGCCTGGATAACTGCACCTGCTTTCGAAAGGCATGCAGCTTATATAGCATCTTCTTTTGACACCCACCCCTAACAACCTCCACGCTATCCCTAGCAACCTTCATGCAACCCAAAACTCAGGGCTTCAATATCCCCTGTACAGCTCGTGTTTCACAGGACAGGACAGGACAGGGGCTCAGATGACAAGGAAAGAATCTCTGGTTGGCCAGTCCCGGATTCCCTAATCTGGAACACACATTCAGGTGCATCTGCCATAAAGGTCATTCCCAGGGTCTGCTTAAGTTATTGCTATCAGATGCATTTACCATACAGCACCTGAGTTCAAATCAGTCCTGATTCTGCTACTTACCATGTGGCCTGGGACAAGTCACGTAAGCTCTCGGCACCTGCTCATCTATGAAGGGGGAGCAATAACGCCTCCCTCCTAGAGATTTTGAAAAGCTTAATGATACATGTAAAGGGCTTATTACTATGCCTGGCATATAGGAAGTACCCATGAAAGGGAACAATTCATATTAAAGTGGAATCCAGGCAGTGGGGAAAGGCTGCCCACGAAGGCCTCATGGTCACTCCCAGGGGAGCAGCAGCAGGTCATTGCAACGCGGCCTTGAAGGGGTGAGGCTGGTGGCCATGCCAGGAGAAAGAGGGCAGGAAGCAGTGGAAGAAAGGATGACTGTGGTGCAAACTGGCCATCATTTACCATGCCCCTCACGTGTTAACTACGCCATCCTCACAGCAGCTGGATGAGGCAGTTACTGTTATAATTCCTATTTCATACATGAGAAAATGGAGGCACCAGCCTTTTTTGTTATGAGATTCAAAGGAGCTTCTTTCAAGTATTCCTTTGCTATGAATGATTAAACTCTCCGTTTGGTAGTTTAATTACAATTACTGAGAAAATACCTACTTTGTCGGAGTTCAAAAGTCAGCCATCCCTCAGGTCTTTGCTCCGTAGGCTCAAAGCTAGGAAAGTGGGGGAGCTAGGATACTAACCCAAGCTTTCGGCTGCCAGGCTAAACTGCGTCTCATGACTCAAAGCACCTCAGGACATAAGCTATTTGTCAGTGTCAGAAGCCGGGTGTGGTGGCTCACACCTGTTATCATGGCACTTTGGGAGGCCGAGGTGGGCAGATCACCTGAGGTCAGGAGTTTGAGACCAGCCTGGCCAACATGGTGAAACCCCATCTCTACTAAAAATACAAAAATTAGCCAGGTGTGCTGGTGCACACCTGTAGTCCCAGCTACTCTGGAGGCTGAGGCAGGAGAATCGCTTGAACCTGGGAAGCGGAGGTTGCAGTGAGCCGAGATCGTACCACTGCACTCCAGCCTGGGCAACAGAGCTAGACTCCACCTCACAGAAAAGAAAGAAAGTCAGTGTCAGCTTCCAACCCAAGCTGGGGTCCGAGGGGAGTAGGTGGACCGGTGGCGGGTAGCTGAAAGAACACTCGAGGGATCTTATACAGGTGGGATATGGCTTTATTCTCTGTGTCAGCCTTTGTCTTGGCTGCCTGCTCAGCAGCCCCACTCAGTGCCAGCTCCACAGTCTGCAGCTGCACTCCCCAGTGTGCTCACCATTTCCTGGCTCCACCCACCCACCCCCACCTGCAAGGCAGCCAACTCCATTATGCATGCCTTCTCACAGTGTTCGTGATACATTTGTGCGCTTCACAGACAATAGCGGCTCAGAGCCAGGGGATGAGCCCACCCATAACATGGTTACATAACTGATTATATGCTGCACGGGATTGTGCACCTGCACTCCAATCCCACTGCGTCATGCTGCACCGGATATTTACCTCGGCCCACTCTTGATGGCAGCGCAGCCATTTCCTTTTCCCTTCCCTGGGGCCATTCTTGCTGAATGCTGGCTCCATGGTGCTGGCCATCTCCATAGATGAGAAGCCAGGAGGGAAGATGTGGCAACCTGGGTGCCCCTTTCCACCCAGACCCGTGGCAGATGTTGCTGATCAAATGCAGCATTTATTTCCCTTTGACAGCCAGGTGGAAGCCTCAAAATCCTGAAGAGCACCGGAAAATCACTGCCAGTTGACTAGAGTTAGTTGTAGTGTCAGATAGAATCTATTTGCCATCCCTTGCTTGAGGGCTTAGGACATGCCCAATAATAGTACAGAAATTCAATAAGGTATTCGCCAACTGAGGGTCACTTTTATGCCAGTAAGAATCTGCATGTCATCCCCTTGAGAGACTCCACACCTCCTCATCAAGAAGTAGTGAAAATGACATCCGGGTGTGATTTCTCACAAAAGAGAAAGGAACGAAAGAAATTTTTTTTAATGTAAAAAGGAAAATCATACCATTTGACCCAGCAATCCCATTACTGGGTATATACTCAGGAATATAAATCATTGTATTATAAAGATACATGCACACATATGTTCATTGCAGCATTATTCAAAATAGCAAAGACTTGGAACCAACCCAAATGCCCATCAATGATAGACTGGAAAAAGAAAATGTGGTACATATACACCATGGAATACTATGCAGCCATCAAAAGGAACAAGAGAATATCCTCTGCAGGGACATGGATGAAGCTGAAAGCCATTATCCTCAGCAAACTAATGCAGAAACAGAAAACCAAACACCACATGTTCTCACTTACAAGTGGAAGCCGAACAATGAGAACACACGGACACAGAGAGGGGAACAACACACACTGGGGCCTACTGGAGGGCAGCGGTGGGGTTGGGGAGAACATTAGGGAAAGGAGCTAATGCATGCTGGGCTTCATACTTAGGTGATGGGATGATCTGTGCAGCAAACCACATGGCACATGTTTACCTATGCAACAAACGTACACATCCTGCACATGTACCCCAGAACGTATAAAAATAATTAAAAAAAAGAAAATCACAAACGTCAATGTGCAAACACATGTTTGAACACAGCGTATGAGGAAATCCCTCTGCCAACCTTAGAAAAATCAAAGTGTTGCCAGGAGCAGTGGCTCACGCCTGTAATCCCAGCACTTTGGGAGGCCAAGGCAGGTGGATCACCTGAGGTCAGGAGTTCGAGACCAGCCTGAACAACATGGAGAACCCCATCTCTACTAAAAATACAAAATTAGCCGGGCATGGTGGTGCATGCCGGTAATCCCAGCTACTCAGGAGCCTGAGGCAGAAGAACTGCTTGAACCCGGGAGGCAGGGGTTGTGGCTAGCCGAGACCGCGCCATTGCACTCCAGCCTCGGCAACAAGAGCAAAACTCTTTCTCAAAAAAAAAAGAAAGAAAGAAAGAAAGAAAGAAAGAAAAGAATAGACAAAGGAGAGAAACTGTCAGCCTTTCAAGACTGGCAACCGTGAGCAGAATGCCCAGCTGTGAGGGAAAGGACAACCATATTAGAATCCCAGCCTGGGTGCTGTGATGCGGCAAGAAGCAGACCTGACATTCAGGAACCGACACAGCACCTGGCACAAAGAGCCCCCAAGATACAGTAGCTAGGCCGGGCGCGGTGGCTCACGCCTGTAATCCCAGCAATTTGGGAGGCCGACGCGGGCAGATCACCTGAGGTCAGGAGTTCAAGACCAGCCTGGCCAACATGGCAAAACCCCGTCTCTACAAAACATACAAAAATTAGCCGGGCGTGGTGATGTGCCCTTGTAGTCCCAGCTACTCGGGAGTCTGAGTTACAAGAATCACTTGAACCTGGGAGGCAGAGGTTGCAGTGAGCTGATATCATGCCACTGTACTCCAGCCTGGGTGACAGTGAGACTCTGTCTCAAAAAAAAAAAAAAAAAAAAAAAAAAAAAAGATACAGTAG
Organism: Homo sapiens; assembly: GCF_000001405.40. Taxonomy (NCBI): domain Eukaryota; kingdom Metazoa; phylum Chordata; class Mammalia; order Primates; family Hominidae; genus Homo; species Homo sapiens. Next base: position 4,259,156 of record NC_000004.12, read on the forward strand.
CTGCCATCATTACAATTGTCTTGAAGTTACTGCCTATCCCTATAGACCCACAACTCTCAAACTCATTCACACAGTAGAGTGCCAGGCACACTTTTGTAGAACATCATGAAATCTGGATAAATTAAGCAAAAAATAGCCAAGTGCTATAAATGTTTATGCCAGCTCTCCTAGCATCTAAATTAGAATCTCATGGCCACAGATGCCAAAAGGCTTAAGAGGTGTTACGCAGGGACACTAAAACTGAGAAATTCTATGACCTTAACTTTTTTCTGAAACCTGCAAGAGAGACTACCGTTTCAAGTTCAGCTGTATAATACCTCCCTGTTCAGTATAAAATCAGTCTGAGCGGGGCTATCCTATGACATTACTACTATAGTATCCTGATTCAAATTTGCTGCCAAATCCCCAAAGCCATGCTGTTAGCAACTGCTCAGTGGAACCGAATCTTTCCCTACCTTTGATCTACAATGGACAGAAGTCGGCCTGAGGTCACCGGGAAGGGAGGAGGGCAGCAAAGGTGGTATTTCAACAGCTCACAATACCCGCTCTGTGGCCAAACAAAGGCCTGACCTCCTGAGCGATGTGTGACCTTTAAACTCTGACAAACATATGTATTTACTCAGCAATTACAATTTAAACTACCCAAGGGGCAGTTTAATCACTTGTATCAGAGGGAATAAATTAAAGCTTCCCTAGATCCCATAACAGCAACAAGAAATGAAAGTAGCATTTGCACTCAAAAGAAAACAAAGAAACTTCTCTTTTCACCAGTACATACCATTTTTCTTTTTCTCAGAAATCGTCTGTGTTGTAATCGAGACAGACAGTGAGAAGCAGGGTCCAACCCCAAATTACAGAAGCTGTTAAATCTAATGATAAGTGAGCCGAGAGCAAGATCTCAAGTTTCTTAAATATGAAAAGGACAGGGGAAGGCAGATGCTATTCTTTAAGCTGGAAGAAATTACTGTTCCGTTTTATTTTTAACATCATCCAAGACTGAAATCCGCTGGGAAAATGGAGTCACCATTTTCCACAGTTTTATCATCCAGTGGTACCCGGTGACTTTGGTTGACAGCATCCAATAAGAGAGCTATTTTGAAAAGATAAACACAGAGATGGAAATGGGAGTAATACTAAATTTCGGTGCATTTTTTGGCAAAATAAATGCATATACCCTCAAATACTGAGGGTGGCAGTATAAACTGCTAAAAAGCCCTCTCAAAACTGGCTACATCTGTTAAAGCTGAAATATACCCTATGACTTAGTACTGCCACCTGTGGGCATATACTCAGTAGCAATGAGAAAGTGTATGTACACACTAGGAGATGAGGAGAAGATGTCATCGATTTCATGAGAAACCTAGCCACCCTGAAACAGCTGAACATTTTATTGATTGATTGATTGATTGATTGAGACAGAGTCTTGCTCTGTTGCCCAGGCTGGAGTACAGTGGCGTAATCTCTGCTCACTGCAACCTCTGCCTCCCTGATTCAAGCGATTCTCCAGCCTCAGCCTCCCAAGTAGCTGGGATTACAGGTGCGTGCCACCACACCCAGCTAATTTTTGTAATTTTAGTAGAGATGGGGTTTCATTATGTTGGCCAGGCTGGTCTTGAATTCCTGACCTCAAGTGATCCACCCGCCTCGGCCTCCCAGAGTGCTGGGATTACAGGCGTGAGCCACCGAGCCCTGCCTTTATTTTTATTTTTTGAGACAGGGTCTCACTCTCTCATTTAGGCTGGAATGCAGTGACATGATTAATGCTCACTGCAACCTCCAACTCCTGGGCTGAAACAATCCTCCCGCCTCAGCCTCTGGAGTTGCTGGGACTACAGGTGCTTATAGGCATGTGCCACCACACCTGGCTAATTTTTTTATTTTTTATTTTTTGTAGAGATGGGGTCTCGCTATGTTGCCCAGATTGCTTTTGAACTCCCGGGCTCAAGTGATTCTCCCGCCTCTGCCTCCCATAGCACTGGGATTACAGGCATGGGCCACCACACCAGTCTGTAAAATCCAACATTTCATCAAGAGATGAATCTCATGGAATGTTGGGTGAAAGAAGCAAGACACAAACAGATACATGCTGTGTGGTTTCATTTACATCAAGTTCAAAACCAGGCAAAACCAACCCATGCAGACAGAAGTAAGGTGGGCCGAATAGTCTGTTTCTTGATTTAGGTGTGGGCACTCTGTGAAACTCATGAAGCAGTACATTTACATTTTACATATGTATACTTCAATAGAAACCTGCATTAAAATATTAACTCATATAGGTTTGGCAGTCGTAGGATTGTGTCTTTGTTCAGAAAAATAGTTACACAGTAACTGTAAACTAGAGTGCTACTTCAAAAATTGAAGTGGATTTCTTCATTTAAATGCTGTATGGTTTGGCCTCGCTGATTCTTCTTTGCTGCAGTCCAGTCACTTAGAGAGCTTTGTGCATGAAAAAGTAAGGCGTCAGATCCTGTCTGTTGGGCCAGTGCCTCGGACAACCAATGGTAGACACTGCTCGGTCTGTGTACTTCCTGTACTTTAAGAGGAGATATTTTCAGACACCTACTATGTGCTACTTTGTGTACAGTATATCAATTTCACTCTATCTACCATAGAAAGTTGGTGTAAGAGAAAAACCCCTGAGGTTTAGAGATGCTAAGTAACCTGCCCACGCAGGGACCTTTGGCGAGTGAGATACAAAGCTCAGATTCAACCTTGAGTCTCATTCTGGCACATGGACCCTGTTTAGAACATGTCACCTCATACAGCCTGGGTGAAAATAGAGTGGCAGGAATATGGAAAGTGTCTTAAAACATCAAGCAGTTAATAGATAACAATTTAAATTCCAAGAATCAATCCGGGGGCCTTTAATAACCTTGTGCCCTCCATCCCCACCCAGGCAAAATTAAGCAGTCCTTCTCAGGCCCACGTTCTAACCAGCACACCTCATAACACTCCTTGTGTTGGCCTCAGTATTGTCTCTTCCTTCCTGAAGACCTCAGTGCCCGAGTACCCAGCCTAGATCTCAGCCCGGGTGGGCAATCTGGAATGATTTTATTAGTCCTTGTGACTTAGAATGGGTTCGATGATACAAGGGCTTGGTACAGAATTGCAGGCACAAAGGGCACTAGAGGACTGAGATCTCAACAAGTTTGTGAGGGAAGCAAAACTCAAGACACGTAAGACAATTTCCCAACACTATTCTTTATTTTATTTATTATTTATTTATTTATTTATTTTATTTTTTTGAGACAGAGTCTCACTCTGCTGCCCAGGCTGGAGTGCAGTGGCATGATCTTGGGTCACTGCAGCCTCTGCCTCCCAGGCTCAAGTGATCCTCCCAAGTAGCTGGGAGGACTACAGGCGTGAGCCACCACACCAGGCAGATTTTTGTATATTTTTGTAGAGTCGGCGTCTTGCTACATTGCCCAGGCTAGTCTTGAACTCCTGGGCTCAAGCGATCCACCCGCCTCAGCCTTCCAAAGTGTTGAGATTATAGTAATAGGTGTGAGCCACTGCCAGCCTACCATGTGAAATCCCACCACATGCTTATGACCAGTACTTCCTCTTACAAAATGGAAAAGGCCGGGCGGGCGCGGTGGCTCATGCCTGTAATCCCGGCACTTTGGAAGGCCGAGGCAGGTGGATCACGAGGTCAGGAGATCGAGACCATCCTGGCTAACACAGTGAAACCCCGTCTCTACTAAAAATACAAAAAAATTAGCCGGGCATGGTGCCGAGCACCTGTAGTCTCAGCTACTCGGGAGGCTGAGGCAGGAGAACGGCGTGAACCCGGGAGGCAGAGCTTGCAGTGAGCTGAGATCGCGCCACTGCACTCCAGCCTGGGTGACAGAGCGAGACTCTGTCTCAAAAACAAACAAACAAACAAAAAGAAAGAAAGAAATTGAAAAGGGCGAGCTTTCTCCTACCTTCCAACTCTTTTGCTAAAATCCAGTTTACTGGAATGAGAACAAGGATTAACTACACAAACAACCTCCCGCCCACATGTAATTCAGGAATCACTATAAGGTAACACTTTCTGTACTTAGTAAATGAGAAACATAATACGCTCCCTGAGTGAAAAAGAAATTTAGAAGGCCTATTTTAGCCATTTCTTGAAAGCTTAATTTGGAGAAGGGATAAAGGCTGAATATATTCTGAGATCAACCACAAAGAACAGGTAAATATATAGGATATGCCTTTCTCTTATCTTGGATGATGATAATAATTGATCTCCAATTTTCTTCAACAAGGGAAGGAGTTACAAGCTTGAGCGCTATGGTGTCCTGGTTCTAAATCCAGGCAAATTCAACAACATACAATTATCTGCTTTATGCTGGAGTCCCGGTTCGTCATTGAGCCAAAAAAAGAATAACACCCGCTAGGAGGATCAGTTTTCAATGGTGGAGTAAAGAACTATGATATACTCTCAATAGCTTTCACTAATGGAGATGAATTGGATAAAACTACTTGATCTCTTAAAACTTTCTTTATTCGACTGCAAAAGTGCTATCTAAAAGACAGCAATCTATACCAAAGACTGCCTTTTTAAAACAATGTTTTATTCCTAGAAATCTCTTTTTGGACAAGAGAGGCAATTCAAGGGTAGTGAGATTACCAAAGTATATTGTTTAAGAGGACCTGGTCAGCTCAAGTTTTAACTTTCTTTCTTTCTTTCTTTCTTTCGAGACAGAGTTTCGCTCTGGTTGCCCAGGCTGGAGTGCAGTGGTGCGATCTTGGCTCAGCACAACCTCTGCCTCCCGGGTTCAAGAGATACTTCTACCTCAGCCTCCCGAGTAGCTGGGATTACAGGCATGCACCACCAAGCCCAGCTAATTTTGTATTTTTAGTAGAGATGGGGTTTCCCCATGTTGGTCAGGCTGGTTCTCGAACTCCCGACCTCCGGTGATCCGCCCACCTCAGCCTCCCAAAGTGTTGGGATTACAGGCGTGAGCCACCACACCCAGCCCAAGTTTTAACTTTCAAAGAAAATTTAGATGCTTAGAAGGATAATGTGAGAGCTTTTCACAGATATTCACAAAAACCTACAGAACTGTAAAAAATGCTGTTGATTAATCTTGACTTTTATTTTTTCATTTTTCTCCTAACCACCCTGAGGGGGTTTTAAACAGAGAACTAGAAATGGGATTCTGGAAAAGCCTTAGTTCCTCAGAGCAGAGGGGTCATCTTACTTCACCAAGGGAAAACTTGAGTGATTTTACAATTTTTAAGCCTTCGTATAAATGCTTCTCTGCCATCAACCCATTTTTTTTCTTTCTTTTTTTTTTTTTTTTTGACAGAGTCTCACTCTGTCACCCAGGCTGAAGTGCAGTGGTGCAATCTCGCTCACTGCAACCTCCGCCTCCTGGGCTCAAGTGATTCTCTTGCCTCAGCCTCCCGAGTAGCTGGGATTACAGGCATGCACCTCCATGCATGGCTAATGTTTGTATTTTTAATAGAGATGGGGTTTCACCATGTTGGCCAGGCTGGTCGCAAACTCCTGACTTCAAGTGATCCAACCTCCTCAATCTCCCAGAGTGCTGGGATTACAGGTGTGAGCCACCGCACCCAGCCTCATTTGCGTTCTTTTGACTTCTTCTGCATCAGTCTGGGTCTAGCTGCCTCGTCCAGGTGCAAAAAGAAGGGAAACCTTGGTTCACTTCCTGGCTTCCCACTCGTTCTGAGCCTGTTTCCTTGCTGGAGTGCTAAGCACCTACTGTGTCCCAAATTAAGGGCATGCAACAGTCCCACATTTTAAGTTTTGGGAGGTTGACAGAGTCCATCTTCTCCCAAATCCTGCTTGTTCAGCATCATCACAGGAAATGGCCGGTACACACAGTTGACAAACACCAGGAATCCCCAGAAAATAGAACATCAAGGTAAGACAACCACAGTATGTCAAAATGCATGGCTGTCAGGGTTGGAGATACCCAAGTGTCAGGCTCATCAGACCAGGCTGAGGACAGGCAGAACATGGTAGAATTCAACCATATACCCAACTTAGACAAAATGAAGCTGAAAAGCCTTACAGGAATATCATCAGATCACTTTCTAAAGTCTCTAGGAACTTCAATATCATGTGTGTTTTGAGTCCAAGTCAGGCAGGCAGCTAGCTGCCCAAACTGAAACGGGTGGTCTCTGCAAGGACATTGGGAATGACCCCTGGACCATGCTTTGCAGCCAGACCCCTGGAGCAACTGCACTTACAGCTAGTCCTTCCTGCCACTGACTGCAGACCCTTCCATGACACGGACCATCAGAGTCACCATCATTAGCTTTGCTTTTTTGTCCTTGTAGAGTTGAGGGAGCTAAAGCCACCTCCAGCCCCTGTGGGATGGATGCTCTGCTGAAATTCCTGAGCAGCACAGCCAGCCCCAGAAGTTCTAACTCTCGAGAACCTGGGGTAATGGATGGCAAGGACAGAAATGAAGACTCTGCTGCAGTGCTAAGGACACCTTTTAACTGTGTCACATTTGCCAAACTTTGCCTTAAATGTATCACGGTAACTGATAGTTTTGACGGAAAAATAAAGATCCCTGATATGGCTTGGCTGTGTCCCCACCCAAATCTCATCTTAAATTGTAGCTCCCACAATTCCCATGTGTTGTGGGAGGTACCCGGTGGGAGGTAATTGAATCATGGGTACGGGTCTTTCCTGTGCTGTTCTTGTAATAGTGAATAGGTCTCACGAGACCTGATGGTTTCATAAAGAGTTTTCCTGCACAAATTCTCTCTCGTCTCTCGTCTGCCGCCATGGAAGACATGCCTTTTGCCTTCCGCCATGATTGTGAGGCCTCCCCAGCCACGTGGAACTGTGAGTCCATTAAACTTCTTCTTCTTTATAAATTACCCCATCTCAGGTATATCTTTATCAGCAGAGTGAAAACAAACTAATACAATCACAAACTGAAATTCCATGGCGCTTGTAGAACATCATGTGACTCTCACGGGGTGGCCCTGCATCTCCCCTGTGCCCGGGTGATAACTGCAGAGCACACCTCCCTCTGCTCCCTGGAGTGCTGGCATAGGAAGACTTCGGGACTGGACTGCGGAGTCACAGCTCTGTTCTGCTTTTGTCCCTAATTAGGTATGTGGTCTGGGTTGTTTCACTTTCTCAGTTTTCTTTTGCTTTCCAGAATGTCTAAAGCTTCTCATGGCCCAAAAATTGTTACTGGTAACGGTAAGAGTAGTGACAGCACCCACTGAGGGGATCTATTGTGTCTAATAAGGGAACATGCTGTGTCCTTTACGTGAATTAGTTCATTCACTCACAACCTTTACTATCCCCATTGTCCAGCTGAGAAAAGTGAGGTTCAGAGGTTAGCCAATAAGGGACAGAGTCAGGACCTGACTCTGGGCCTGATTCTGAAGCCTGAGTCCTACTCATTCTGACAGTGCCACTCAATGCCGTCACTACACTTATATGTGGCACATCGCCTAATAAGCACTGAACTCAAGATGCTGCTTGGCTTGGCTGGCAAGTCCCAGAGTGAAGCTGCTCCGTGGGCTTCTGGGCACTCAGAGGCTCAGACAGGGCCTCTGTCCTCCCTCTCATCCCTCCTCTCCGTCCTAACCCTTTAAACTACTTGTTCCATGTCCCAGACTTGCTTTTGTGGGGAATTGATGAGATATTAATGAAACTGGCTAAGGGGTGATCTGTACCAGAGGACCAGCTTTTAAGGGTCTTGTGGGCAAAACCTACTGAACCATCCAAGAGGTGGCAAAAAGGCTGTCCTACAGCACAATCAACCAGGACTTCAAACACTGTTTCTGAAAGCATTCAGTCCAATCAGAGCACTGGAGCAGCCACACAGCTGCACAAGAGATTCAGTCTCCAATGAGCTATTTCCCTGTGCCTCTCGCTTCCAGTCACAGGCCATGCTCCTGAATCCAGCCACTGACAAACTCGTCTCTTTGGCTGAAGGTAGATGGGGCCAGTGTGGATGGGTGAACCTGTTACAGAGAAGCCTCCTCTATAGCACCATACTTCTGGCTACAGAAGGATTAACACATACAAGACTCTTGTCATGACCATTCCCGCAGTTCACATACACATTCCAACAACACAAAAAACAAACGCACAAAACATCTCTAATCAAAAATGTGTAGAAATAGCTGGGCACAGTGGCTCATGCCTGTAATCCCAGAACTTTGGGTGGCCGAGGCAGGCGGATCACTTGAGGTCAGTTTGGGACTAGCCTGGCCAACATGGTGAAACCCTGGCTCTACTAAAAATATAAAAATTAGCCAGGTGTGGTGGCGGATGCCTGTAATCCCAGCTACTCAGGAGGCTGAGGCAGAATTGCTTGAACCTGGGAGATGGAGGTTGCAGTGAGCTGAGATTGTGCCACTGCACTCCAGGCTGGGCGACAGAGACCCTTTCTCAAACAACAATAACAACAAAGTGTAGAAATGATGTGGTTAAAATGAATACTTTTTAGTCTGATCAAAAGAGGAATTACTTTTTTACTTGTTGCTGCACTACATTGAAAAAAATTTTTTCACACAAAACTATTTTGTAAAGTTCAGTAATTTTTGCCACAACAAATTTAGAAGTTTGGACCAGAATATATTTTATTTTTCTCATAAAAGTTATACCAAAAATATATTTTCTTAACTTAAAAATACAGCTTCAAAAAGCAAAATTTGAGTTGTTAGAATTCATTACACATTTTATAAACAGCAGTGAAAGGAAGAAGTCAGCAGAATGGATTCAATTTTTAAATACACAAATGTTCATTTCACAAGCTTGACTTTGTCCTTTAATAACTTAAAGGTAGGGTTCTTGCTGATTTTCTTGTTAAAGATGACCAGGAGTTCCTCTTCGGATCTGTGATGCTCATCTGTCACTGTGTAGTACTGAGCTAAAACCTTCACAAAGAAAAACATCAAATGAGTGTATTTGACCTGGAAAATTATCTTAAAATGTTCTGTCTTTAACCCAGAAATAGAACAACAGGAAAAAATAAAAGAAACCCAGGAGCAAGCGACACCGGCGTGCTCTCCTTGGAAAACCCAGGCGGCAGCCACGTGCAGGGGTTTGGCCATGTGTGAGTCATCCTGAGAAACAAAGTGAAATAAAGGAGAAGAAACCACTGCTCTGGGATAGGCAAAAGAGAGCAAATATCTAGAAAATAATTTCCAAACAATAAAAATTAAATAAATGGAGCCTCTCTTCAAAGTCTTATAAACAAGCCCAAAATCTAGGCACCACCCTGGCTGAGGCTGTGTGGGGCTTTGGAGCAGCTTGAAAATCACTGAGACACACACACAGATTTTCAGTGTTTTAGGTGAAAAAAGAAAAAAACAAACAATTGTACATTTAGAAATAAGTTCTCCCCAGCTGTTAGACACGTGGGTTTGTTCATATGCCATACCTTTTTCCTTAGCTTTTTGATGGTTATTTCATTGTCTGGGGCCTGTTTCAGAATTGCTTTAATAGTTCCCTTCCAGTTGAATTTACCTACAATATAAATAATAATATTTAAGACATTTCGTTTTGTTGTACTACGAGAAGGGTAAAGAAACAACTTCTGCAACACCTATTTGCTTCCCAGGAAATGAGCTAACCCTCTAATGAACCAGACTCCATAGCACCAAGCATCTGTTCAATTCCAATGTCCTAGAAGCACTCACTACCCTTCAAAGGACTGGCTCTTAAGAGTGAGCAGGTGCCCATGTGCTATTGGCATGACAAACTCCTAGATAGAGTTGTATGTAATGAACTCAACACAGATTTCCTAAGCATCCACTAAGATCATGGGGCTGTCCATGCACAGTAGGGAGGACAAAGATGAGCAAAACAGCTTGACCTGAAATGAGAGAGAGGACAACCACAAACTATTATAGAGGAACTAAAAATACTCATCTAGGGAACTTCTGCTTCTGGGAAGATGGAGTGGACACACTTTCCCCTTCCTCCTGCCCACTACAACTGAGAACCCTGAAACTATATAGGCAAGAAATGTAAGAAGACTCTGAAAGGTAGAGACCAGCTGGGACCTCGGGGCCTGCAGAGCAACACGGGGTGAGCTTCTTGCTGCCTGTACCCCAGATCTGGAGTTGAAGAACCCAGCAACCTGAACACCAACAGCACAGACAAAACAGTCCCAACAGAAGCCTGCTCTCTTGGCAAAGGACCGGGAAACGGCAGCCTAGCAAGACAGAAAACTTTTGTATAATAACAACCCTACTGCAGCCACACATCACAGAAAAAACGGTGGCTCCACCCCCACCCGCACCAGCAAAAGCCGAGTGGCGAGCCTGAGTTCTCTACCCTCGCAAGGCTGTAATGAGGGACGGTGTCACAGAAGGCCAAGCAGGAATTCAGGGGTCTCATCCACACAGGCCGGTCATGAGGCTGCCCCTGCTGTGATGTCAGTGGAACCTGCACCAGGAGCCCTGCCCGGCAGGAGCAAGAAGTGGCCATCCTCAGGTGTGGATGGAGGCTGAGTAGAGAGCCTGGACTTCCGCCCCCACCTGACAGCAACAAGGCCGTGCCCCTCCACAACCACCAAAGTCATGTGAGAGAAAGCCAGTTAAAACAGAAAGCGTAAACAGGATCTCACACCTTACAAAAACAACTAACTCAAAATGGATCATGGACTTCAATAAAAAATGTAAGACTAGGAGGCATTTAACATAGACCTGAAATTTGCTGTGAGGATATATCTTAAGTGTTCTCAACACACACACACGTAAACTATGTGAGGTGATAAATGTGTTAATCAGCTTGATTGTAGTCACTATTTCACAATGTACATGTATAATAAAACATTAAGTTGAGCTGGGCATGGTGGCTCATGCTTGTAATCCAGGCACTTTGGGAGGCTGAGGCAGAAGGATTGCTTGAGCCCAGGAGTTCAAGACAGGCCTGGGCAACACTGCAAGACCTCCGTCACAAAATTTTAAAACTTCGCTGGGTGTGGTGGTGTGTACTCGTAGTCCTAACTACCCAGGAAGATTGCTTGAGCTCAGGAAGTTGAGGCTGCAGTGAGTCATGATCACACCAATGCACTCCACCCTGGGCAACAGTGAGACCCTGTCTCGAAAAATAAAAATAAAATACAGTAACACATTAAATTGTACACCTGAACTACATAAAATGTTGATTTGTAAAAAAAAAAAAAAAAAAAGTTATCCATTAAGATAATTTAGAAAACAAAAAAATCTTTAGGCTCTAGGGCTAGGTAAAGAGTTGTTAGCACAATCCATAAGATAAATTGATAAATTGAACTTTATCAAAATAAAAACCATTTGCCCTAAAAAGACTCTGTTATGATGAAAAAACAAGCAAAAAGACTGAAAAAAAATTCACAAACTGTTATGTCCCACAAAGGAGTACTATTTAGAATAAATTTAAAAACTAAAATCTCAACAGTTAAAAAAAAAAAAAACCCACAAAAACAACAACCAAAAAAACCCCAAACAACTCAAATTAGAAAATAGGGGAAAAAAATTTAAAAAAAGAGAGCAGACATTTCAACAAAAACATATACAGATAGCAAATATGCACAGAAGAAGGTGCTCAACAACATTAGTCATTAGGGCCACACAAATTCAAACCACAATGAGCGGTTACCACACATCTATCAGAATGGCGAAAATACAACACAGTGGCAACGCCTAATATTGACCATGATGTGGAGAAACTAGATCCTTTACACACTGCTACTGGGAATATAAAATGTGTACAGAGACTCCTGAAACAGCTGACAGTTTTTTCCTTTTTAAATTTTTGTGGGTACACAGCAGGTGTATATGGGGCACGTGAGATATTTTGATACAGACATGCAATGTATGATACTTACATCAGAGTAAATGGGGTATCCATCACCTCAAGCATTTATCCTTTTGTGTTACAAACAATCCAATTATACTCTAGTTATTTTAAAATGTACAATTAAATTATTATTGACTACAGCCACCCTGTTGTGTTATGAAATACTAGATCTTATTCATTCTATTTTCTTGATACCCATTAACCATCCCCACCTCTCCCACAGCCTCCCACCACCCTTTCCAGTCTCTGGTAACCATCCTTTTACTCTCTATCTCCATGAGTTGGCAACTGTTTTGATTTTTAGATCCCACAAATAAGTGAAAACATGCTATGCTTGTCTTCCTGTGCTTGGCTTATTTCACTTAGCATAATGACTTCCAGTTCCATCCACGTTGCTGCAAACGACAGGATCTCATTCTTTTTATGGCTGAATAGTACTCCGCTGTGTACATGCACCACATTTTCTTTACCCATTCATCTGCTGCTGGACACATAGGTTGCTCCAATCTTGGTTATTGTAAATAGTGCTGCAACAAACACGGGAGTGCAGGTATCTCTTCAACACAGGGATTTCCTTTCTTCTGAATATATACCCAAACAGTGGGGCTGCTGGATTGGACGGGAGCTCTATTCTTAGGTTTCTGAGGAACCTCCAAGCGGTTCTCCATAGTGGTTGTACTAATTTACATTCCCACCAACAGTGCACCAGCGTTCCTTTTTCTCCACATCCTCGCCAGCATTAGTTATTGAGCTGGTGGTTTCTTAGAAAAGAAAGAATATGCAACTACTGTATGACACAGCATTGAACATTCGCTTCAGAAAAACTGACTTAGTTCACACAGAAACCTGCACATCAATGTTTACTGCAGCTTTATTCATTAATAACCAGAGACTAGAAACCACCCAGGTGTCCCTCCACAGGTGAATGATGAAAGGACTGTGATGCACGCACAGCACGGGATACTCCTCACCAATAAGATGAATATTGGTCAGTTCAGCAACCTGGGTGAATCTCCAGAGAAAAACGCTGAGCGAAGAGTCAGTCTCAAAAGGTTACATACTGTATGATTCCATTCATAGAACATTCGGAGATTCCAGAAATGAAGAACAGATTAGTGATTGCCAGAGGCTAAGGAGGGGGTGGGGGTGAGAGGGAAGTGGCTGTGGCTACAAGAGGGCAGCAGGAGGCAGCCTTGCGCAATGGCGATGGAAATGGAAGCGTATCCATGTCAACATCCCGGCTGAGATGCTGTACTACAGTTGTGTAAAGTGTTATCCTGGGTGGCAACAAGGTAAAGGGTACGCGGATACATAAGGACGCCTGAGTCTCCATTATTTCTTACAACTGCATGTGAGTCTACAAGGATCTCAAAACAAAAAATGTAACAACAACAACAAAAATAACCATTCCAGTTGTCCCCCTTGATCTGCAGGGGACAGTTCCCAGACCCCCAGTGGATGCCTGAAATCACAATGGTACTGAACCCCTATATATACTGTCTTTCCCTAAATATTCATTCATGCCTATGACAATGCTCCACTTATAAATGAGGCACAGTAAAAGATTATCAATAACTAATAATAAAATAGAACAATTTTACAATACACTATAATAAAAGTTATGTGAATGTGGTCTCTCTGTGTCTCTCTAAATATCTTATTGTCCTATCCTCACCCTTCTTGTGGTGAAGAAGGCATACAGCAGGACAGCAAGAGATCTCGCCATGCTGCTCAGAACAGCATGCAATGGAAAACTTATCAATTGTTTATTTCTGGAATTTTCCATCCCACAGATATGGGGACACTACTGTTTACTAAGTTGAGAAGGGGGTTTTAAGCTTAGAGATCTAACCCAATGCTGGCAGTCACTGAACTCTGCTAATAAAGCTGCAGGCCCATTTGAGTCTTTGGACCTGTTCTGAACTGCAGGATCCTGGGGGTTGGGGGAGGTGGCAGAGAGATGACGACTTGCCACCTCCCGACAGGTATGAGTGCTTCAGGCCTGAAGAAGCAGGAGAGAAGCTTTGTGTAAGAGACAGCATTTCAGAGGGCCCGTGAAGGCCAGGGACTGGATTCTGAGGTTGAGGATACAAGCAAGGAGACCCCAGAAACAGGCCCAGAGATGGGCAGGGGCACAGTTCAGGGGACTTCTAAGAGAACAGTGAAAGGCAGGGGCAAGAGAGTTGGGGAGGAGCGAAAGGGAACCGGGTCTCAGAAAGCTATATTGGGCTTATTTAAATTTCAAAGATAACATACATTTCCAAACCAGACTGCTTTACTTTTCTCCTTAAAGACAGTGGGTGAGAGGCACTGTAAGACTGACTCACACACCCTAGAGAACTGATTTTACTTTCAAATTCTTATATATACCTCTGGAGGGTAAGACCCTACTAGAAGTGCCCACATTACACCTTCCTTCCCCAGAAGGGGGCATCTCTCGGCCCCTCTCCCAACCTACAAGGGACCGTGTATTTCTCTCTTTTCTTTTCTCTCTCTCTCGCTTTTTGAAAGTGGTACGCCCATGGCTCACTACAGCCTCACACTCCTGAGCTCAAGTGACCCTCCTGCCCCTGCCTCTGAAGTAGCTGGGACTATCAGCGAGAGCCGCTGTGCCCAGCCGTGCTCCTCAAATGACAGCAGTGATATACCTTTTGCAGGAGCCTCATCGTCTTCTGGTTCTCCGCCCTCAGGATGCTCTGGGAGCTTCATCTTTTTCTTCTTAGAATCTGTTTCAACTAAGTATTTGGAAAGATTTTTTTTAAAGAAGATTTTGCATTTACGCTAGCAGCTACCATTTAATGAGACCTTATGCGAGCTAGGCAAACTCCACGTATCATCTCATTTCTTCTCCAAGCTGCCCAGCCCCGGTTTATAAAACCCCAGGAGGGTTTTATCCTCCTCCATGCTGGAGATGGGATGAAAGGAGTTGAGAAGTGAGGTCATTTGCCTGGGCAGGGCCCACCTCTGCCTGGCCACAAAGCTTATGCTCGTTCCCTTACTTGGTTCAAAACATAAGGTCTAGCTAGGTGCGGTAGCTCATGCCTGTAACCCCAGCACTTTGGGAGGCCGAGGGGGGCGGATCACCAGAGGTCAGGAGTCCGAGACCAGCCAGGCTAACATGGCGAAACCCCATCTCTACTAAAAATACAAAAATTAGCTGGGTCTGGTGACACACGTCTGTAATCTCAGCTACTCAGGAGGCTGAGACAGAAGAATCGCTTGAACCTGGGAGGTGGAGGTTGCAGTGAGCTGAGATCGTGCCACTGCACTCCAGCCTGGGCAACAGAGCAAGACTCCGTCTCAAAAAAAACAAAAAAAAAAAAAACCACACACACACGCACACAAAACGCTAGGTCTAACAGGCTTAAATATCCCAAATTCACAGCTTTCCCGGTTTTCAGATGAATCCCAGAGCGTGAGCTAGCCACTTACCTTCCGAGTGCCTCCGCTTCCTCTTCCCTGCGCCCACGCGTGCCTCTTCCTCACTGGCGCTGTCCTTGCGCTGCTTCTTCTTCTTGCTCCTCTTCCCTGCAGAGCCATTGGCCTCAGGGACTTCCTCCCCACCAGCCTCAAGGTCAGCCTCCTGTCCCTTTTTGCGCTTCTTAGGCTTCTGATTCCTTGAGTTTTCCTGGTGGTTTTCTAACTTTAGTTCTTTCTTTTCTCTTTTCCTTTTCTTCTGCCGTTCTTCCTTTCTTTCTCTTTTATTCTTCTTCACCTCCCCTTGCTGTTCCACGGCGTCTTTCACTTTGGAGGCTGGAACCTTGGTGGAGATTTCTGCATGTGGATTTGCCACTGGGTGGAGTGGCCGTTGATCCTGTTCCTTATTGACTGGTTCCTTATCATTAAGCAAAAGCAAGAAACACATATTCATTTTAAATGTGTAAATAGAGTTGTCACGTTATTGCCTGGGCCTACTACATAAACTGTTCAAGAAAAACGGTTGGTTTAATCCCTTATCGTTTTATAACTGTGACCCCCACCAACAGCTAAAATGTAGCAGTAAATATACAAAATGGGAAACCACTTCCCCCAGTCCACACCCCTCTGTCTGCACAGAACAGACATTTTCATTCCACTGGAAAAGTGAAGAATCCTTATGTCGCTGAAGATAAGACCTTTCATTCCAGCTCACTATTCACCTTTTAGATAAGAGAAGAGTACTTAGGGGTGGTAGAAACCACTGGATGTTATGTGTCTGCAGACCTGGGTTCAAGCTCCAGTTCTATTAATTCCTAGTCAGGTGACTAAGGGCAAGTCATTTATCTTTTCCAAACCTATTTCCTCATCTGTAAAATGAAAGGTAGTAATACCTACCTCACACACGGACGGATGAAACGAGGAAAGATCCGTCATGTGCTTATTAGCATAACACATGCCCAATAAACCAGCCCATTGTGTGTGAAGAGTTTTGTAAATTATCAGCCTTAGAAAATGGTACTGTTATTATCATCATTATTCAGACTGGAAAGTTACCATTAGAAGAATGGTCACCATTCTCATCATTCTTTTTTTTTTTTTAATGGGGACAGGGGTCTTGCTTTGTTCTGTTGCACAGGCTGAAATGTAGTGGCACAATCTCAGCTCACTGCAACCTCCAGCTCCCAGACTCAGGCAACACGCCTGCCTCAGACTCCCAAGTAGCTGGGACCACAGGCGCAAGCTATCAAAACCGGAAAATTGTTTATTTTCTGTAGAGACGGGGTCACCATTCTTTACGTATGGAGGTGTCTCTCTAATGGTTACCCCTGTTAAATACATTACCTCATTTATGTATTTTTTTTGGGACAGAGTCTCACTGTCACCCAGGCTGGAGTGCAGTGGTGCAATCTCAGCTCACTGCAACCTCCACCTCCCAGATTCAAGTGATTCTCCTGTCTCAGCCTTCTGAGTAGCTGGGATTACAGGCATGCACCACCACACCTGGCTAATTTTTGTATTTTTAGTAGAGACAGGGTTTCACCATGTTGGCCAGGCTGATCTTGAACTCCCAACCTCAGGTGATCCGCCCGACCTGGCCTCCCAAAGTGGTGGGATTACAGGTGTGTGCCACAGCGCCAGGCCTTGCATTACCTTATTAAAATCAGCACATAGAGCCTACTTTAAACAGTGACATCAGCAAGTTCAGTCCCATTCCTTCCTGAACTCCCTCCCTGAGCCCCTTTCTCAAGAGATGACCTGGAGCAATTCATTGAACTGTTCCATGTTCCCTGATGCCTCTGGAGGGAAAGAGAGTGGCCAGTGGCTGCTTCCAGGTGTGAGAAACCACTGAGCTGATGCACCTGCAGGCGGGGGTTCAAATTCCGTCTCTGTTAGTCTAGCCAAAGGACAGGGTAAGTTACCTACAGTCTTCCTCCTTTGGGAGATTGTGGGTAGCAAGGACTATGTCCTCAAAACTGGACCAAATAAAAAAGGACAAGCTTTCACTAGAGTGCAAGGACTCAGGACTCAGACCTTAAGGCTCGATCCTTGGCTACAAGAGCAGCATTAGAAAATGGATACTGGGGAGGCTGAGGCAGGAGAATCACTTGAACCCGGAAGGTGGAGGTTGCAGTGAGCCAAGATCACGCCACTGCACTCCAGCCTGGGTGACAAGAATGAAACTCTGTCTCAAAAAAAAAAAAAAAGAAAACGGATACTGTAGGCCGGGTGCGGTGGCTCATGCTTGTAATCCCAGCACTTTGGGAGGCCGAGGTAGGGAGATCACCTGAGGTCAGGAGTTTGAGACCAGCCTGGCCAACATGGTGAAACCCTGTCTCTACTAAAAATACAACAATTAGCCAGGCGTGGTGGCAAGCGCCTGTAATCCTAGCTACTCGGGGGGCTGGGACAGGAGAATCACTTGAACCCAGGAGGCAGAGGTTGCTGTGAGCCAAGATCGTGCCACTGTACTCCAGCCTGGGTGACAGAGTGAGACTCCGTCTCAAAAGAAAAGAAAATGGATACTGATGTAACCACCTGGTTTTCTCAGTAGCAGTGGCTTAGCAGCATCAGGTTGTCAAGGCTCATGGGGTAAAGGGCAGAGGAGGATTTCAGAAATAGACTTAGGAAGAAGGGGACAAAGAAACTTCACATCTGTCCTACAATTCTGTCGATATCTTCTAGTAAAATATTATTATCATTATGATTTTTTGAGACTGAGTCTCGCTCTATCACCCAGGCTGGAGTGCAGTGGCACAATATCAGCTCACTGCAACCTCCGCCTCCCAGGTTCAAATGATTCTTGTGCCTCAACCTCCCGAGTAGCTGGGATTCTAGGCGCCTGCCACCACACCCAGCTAATTTTTGTATTTTTAGTAAAGACAGGGTTTCACCATGTTGGTCAGGCTGGTCTCAAACTCCTGACCTCAACTGATCTGCCTGCCTCAGCCTCCCAAAGTGCTGGGATTATAGGCATGAGCCACTGTGCCCGCCATAAAATATTATTTTAACCACTGAGAGCCTGAGACCCTGGCATCCCTTCTACACAATCCAGACCAGATTTTCAGCTGGTGCCTTGCCTCTTTGTCTAAACCAACTCCTCGGCCACAGGGAGAGAGGGAGGGAGGCACACATTTACCCATCTGGTAGCTGCTCAATAAATAGGTGAACCAATTCTTCCCCATCTTCTTTTTACCTCATTACACACTCTCCTCAAATGTGGTCTCCTCTGTGATGCCCTGACTCTTTCCTAATCGAGCACCTCCTTCAGTCCTGGCCTCCCAATGCCTCTGGCTTCTTCCCAGTGCTGATCAGGACCTGACATTACACCATGGACCCGCACGTGGTGCCTATCTCCCCCACTAGAACACAGCTCCAACCAGCCAGGACCTTGGCCTAATTACAGTTGCATCCACAGTGATCAGGTGAACTGTGATGGGGTAGAGGACAGAAAAGCATCCGACCTGACATCTGGCAGAGTTACAGGAGGATAAACAACCAAGGTACGGAGGACAAGGCCTCAGGACCCTCTGCTCTGCACTACAAACACAGGGTATGCTGGGAGGGCCGTGGTGCAAAGGCAGAGGTAAGGGATGACAAGCTGCGTTTCGCAGAGCTCAGGGTTTACCAGGGGCTGTTTACTCCTTATTTTATTTAATGTTTAATATGTTCACACTTCAAAAGGGAAACTGGAAAAAACTTTCTAAAACCCTGCAGTTGAAGCAATTTCAAATCTTTGATTCTTAGTTAAAACAGAAATAACCTTAAAAAATAGATGCCACATAAAGGCCAATCTAATGATCGGTTATACGGTTTCAAAGGGCCAATTTGTACCTTCTGAAAGAGACAAACGCTAGGTGTACTACCGAGATAAATTTTCATCTTGATGCCCACTTGTTGCCGAAAGTATTCTCTCTACATAAGTGAATCAACTCCCGATAATTTGATAAGAATGAAAGACCAGTGGGGTTCTGACCCCACTGTTTTTTGAAACTGATATTTACACAAAAATAAACAATGTAATCAACAATGTGGCTGAAAGATAGCAAACCAAGATTTTCTACATATATAGTCCACATTTAGGGTCTCTATTCAACCATTTTGACTAACAGGTGGCTGATTTAATTACTTGAAGGGAATTCTCCTTCTACCAGAAGGAAGGCGCTTCAAGCACACTGCTCATCTACCTTAACCGTAACCTTCAGAGGCTGCTGTGACCCCCTCACCCCTTATCCAGAGGAACACCTAGTCACTACGTCCTCACCCTGTTTTATTTTCCCTCATGCACCACCACCTGGGATACTTTAGATTTTTTTGTTCAGGTCCTGGCACAGATCAGACACTCAGTTAAGTATTAAATAAATGAATGAATATTACTATCCACATTTTTTTTAGATAAGGAAACTGAGGCTCAGAGGCTAAATAATGTGCCTAAGATCAAACGTCAGGCAAACTGCACAGCAGGGATTTGAACCAGGTCTGTCAGAAATCCAAAGCTCCTGTTCTTTCTTTCCCATGTATCTATCTCCCTGCCTGATTACTAAGCAAATCATTACATACTGGGCTGGCACCAGCATCAAACATTGGGATGAAACATCTTGCTCTTCACAATAAGGAAGTCTCTGCAGTGCATTCAGTTTCTTCCTTTCCATAAATGAAGGCACTAAGAGGTTCTCTAAAAAAGAAGGCTGGGCCAGGTGCGGAGGCTCATGCCTGTAATTCCAGCACTTTGGGAGGCCAACGCAGGCAGGTCACCTGAGGTCAGGAATTCGAGACCAGCCTGCTTAACATGGTGAAACTCTGTCTCTGCTAAAAAAAAAAAATACAAAAAATTAGCTGGGCATGATGGCTCGTGCCTACAGTCCCAGCTACTTGGGAGGCTGAGACACGAGAATTGCTTGAACCCAGAGGCAGAAGTTGCAGTGAGCCACGATCGCACCACTGCACTGCAGCCTGGGCAACAGAGTAAGACTCCATCTCAAAAAAATAAAAATAAAAAAGAAGGCTGCCTTGACTTCCAAAAATAAGAAATTCCCATTTCATTATTACTAATTATTTTTGCCACAATGCAAATCTAAAATCAGATCTGACTTACGCTGTTGGAAGCTTCAGAAAAGATATTCCACACCTGGTCCAGAATGGATTCATTATGAACTTTTAAACTGTTCTTCATCCAATTCTGTAAGAAAGAAAAAGAAAAAGAACTATTGATCCCACTTGGACAGGTACACACAAGCTCAGTCACTGATGGGCCACACGGCCCCCTCCATTCAAGAAAGTCAATTCATACCTGAAATTTTGCCTTTTTCCTGGGAACGTTGTCAAAAGCACTAATTTGCTCTAAAAGTTCTCTCACTTTGGGGCTGACATTGGGTCTCTTTATTAATTCACTAATTTTCTACAAAAAGGGAAGAAAAAAGAAAAACTATTAATAAACAACCAACATGAGTTTCATGAAAGCCAATTGAAAAAGTCCTTGCCATGGCTAAAGCGTTCACGTTTTAAGCCCAGATTCTGTATTTATGTCTATGCTTAAAAATATATAGGTTAACTTCTATTAACATAGTACTGGAGTCCTAGCCAGAGCAGTTAGGCAAGAAAACAAAATAAAAGGCATCCTAACTGCAAAGGATGAAGTAAAATTATCTCTGTTCACAGATGATGTGGTCTTATATGTCAAAAGTCCTAAAGAGTCCACACAAAAATTGTTAGAATAAACAAATCCAGCAAAGTTGCAGGATACAAAATCCACATTCAAAAATCAAGTTGCATTTTATATAACAACCAGAAAGAGAAATTAAGAAAACAATTCCATTTGCAACAGCATCAAAAAGAATAATCAGGAATAAACTTAACTGAAGAGGCAAAAGACTTGTTTACTGAAAACCAAAAAACACTGCTGAAAGAAATTAAAGTAGACACAAATAAATGAAAAACATTCCGTACTCATGGACTGGGAGACTTAAAGTTGTTAAGATGTTAATACTACCCAAGCAATCTACAGATTCAATACAATTCCTATCAAAATCCAATGTGTGTGTATATATACGTTTTTACAGAAACAGAAAAATCCATCCTAAAACTCACAGGGAATCTCAAAAGATACCAAATAGCCAAAACAATCTTGAAAAGAACAACAAAAATGCAGATCTCATATTTTCTGATTTCAAAACTTATTACAAAGCTGTAATAAGTTTCTGTAGTTTGCTGACCCCTGCTTCAGAGGATTTCATCGAGTGTGACAGCAGCAGAGACGGAACTCACAGACCCATGCACCTCAACCTTAGGGTCTAGGAACGTCATCTGGTTTTTAGAGAATTACAGAGAGTGCTCAAAAGTGTGGCTGCTGGTCACCAGTGCAAACAGGATTTCATTAGCTTCTCAATCTGCTCTAGTAAGTCCTTTGTGAACAGAAATACCCTCCCAGTAGTATGCTCATTCAGTAAGCTAGTTAATGTCTGAAAAATTCACGTTCCAACTCTATTATCAAATGGAACGATTACTTTTTATTGGTTTTTAGAAAAACACAGAATTTTCAATAGATGACATCCGTCTTTTCATTATCCCACCTTCCTTTCTGAATCCTTCCTCCTGCTACCTATTCTGTAAATGATCAGTAGCATTCTGAGAGTTATACTTCCCAGTGAATTAGGGAGTCAATGTTTCTGCCATTTCTACTGTGCATGTTTTCATGCTGTTTTAGTTAAGTAGAAAATTCTCTGCATTGACGAAAGTATCTTTATTTTGCCTAATTCTAATGACTGGCAGATGTGACAGATTAACATGGCTTGAGTTATAAAAGCTCCATTATCACTAGAAGCAGGGAGAGATTAGAAGCTTCCATTTAGTTTTACAGCCAAGGGAAAGCTAATGAGAATTCTAAAACTTTTTTTTCAAGAAATTAACAAAACACATGGATTAAAGGTATAATGCACCGCAACTGTTTTAACAGCTAGAAGAATAAAGAACTTTTTTTCTTTCTTTTCTTTTTCTTTTTTTTTGAGACGGAGTCTCACTCTGTCACCCAGTACAACCTCGGCTCACTGCAACCTCTGCCTCCTGGCTTCAAGCGATTCTCCTGCCTCAGCCTCCTGAGTAGCTGGGATTACAGGCACCCGCCACTATGCCCGGCTAATTTTTTGTATTTTTAGTAGAGATGGGGTTTCACCACGTTGTCTAGGCAGGTCTTGAACTCCTGACCTCGTGACTCGCCTGCCTTGGCCTCCCAAAGTGCTGGGATTACAGGCGTGAGCCACCATGCCCAGCCAAAGAATTCTTTTTCAAGAGGTTTTAGTTCAACCTGTCTATCCTAGGACATGAGGTTTCCAGAGCTTGTCTGCAGGGATGACACATTTACTCTTAGTCTCTTGGGCTTCCAAAGAAAGCGGAAGCTGTCAGAGGAAGCTACTCAATGAGTTAGAGAGACGTTACCTGAATCCACGCCTGCTGTTTGATGTCGCCTTTGTGGGTTTTACCTTCATAGCCTTTGCCACCATACTTCTGATCTTCACTTATGCATTTCACGTGGTTTTTATAGTCATCGCCCCTTTAAAGTGATCAAAAGTTCTGCCATTAGACTGATACCCAAGTTGGAGGCGCTAATACCAGCATGCTGCCACTATCTTCTGTGGTCTACACTGTATATTTTCACATGTGTCTATCACACAAGCACCCCATCTATTTCACTTATTATGTTTACAGCCTCCTGGTCAGAACCACATCCCCCTTCCTCCAAAGTCGTCAATATAAAACCCATCACCAAACTTTTCCCCCATTTTTATAAACACCTTAAGCTAAATTGATAGGCAGTATTTTTTTAAGTCATAAGTGTACATATACTGAATAAACAAGAAAATAGTTCTATGCAATAGGGTAGTTTTTTTAAATTATAAAAATCTCAATGTCTAATAGACAGTCAATAATTAGTTGTAGAATAAATCAAAAACAGATATAAAATGGCAGCATGAGGTTACCAACAGTTCTGGATCCCTTAGGGTCCTGAGAAAAAAGAAAACTAAATTCTCTCTCATATAATCTTTGTAAAGCTCTATGGGGTTCTTCAGGGAAATGTTGGGGACAAGGTCCAGGGCAAAGTCCCCTAATGAAAACTCAATTTTAACCTACTTTATATATCAAGCTTCCTCCTAGGATTACGTCTGAACAGAGGTTAGCAGTTTCCAAAAAAAATCACTGCTCCAGAATGAATTAAAAGAGAGTATTAGCCAGTACCATCCGAATGCCTCAGAGGACACTGGGGCAGATGCAGCCAGAAGCCAGCTTCTCGCCTGGACCTTCTGAGGCTGAAGGGGAATCAACATGAAATTCAAGAGGGGAGCCCTCTGCAAACGACCCACCTGAAGAACCGGTGTCTAAGGCAGGATCTGTCCTGTCCCTCCCCGCTAACTCCTCACATTCACAGAGGCCTCCTCAGTGGAAGTGTCTCCTGACACACCCGTGGGGCCAGGAAGAGCCTCACTTCCACCAGCACCTCTGATTTTCTAGGGAGGACATAGTTTCCTCTGCTACCAGTCATCTGCCCCACTGTGAGCTCATAAATTCACTTTCTGGTTCATAAGTCCATCTCTCCACTGTGATGGGCATGTGATACCCATGGTCTAATGAAACTGGCTCTAAACCCCTGGAGCCATCTTCCACGCAGTTAGTTCCCTGGGTCTGTAAACAGTGGCAATGCAATAGCAACCAGTGTCACCAACTGACTGAACACTCTAATCATCATAATTCCCCTTCCCCTAGTCTTTTCTTTAACATATCCTCAAAAAGCAAATTGTTTCGTAAAGCACATTTCTCCCCCCCAAGAAGGGGTTAACTTGCTCTGTTGCCCAGGCTGGAGTGCAGTGGTGAAATCTCGGCTCACCGCAACCTCTGCCTCCTGGGTTCAAGCGATTCTCCTGCCTCAGCCTCCCGAGTAGCTGGGATTACAGGCGCCCACCACCACGCCTGACTAATTTTTGTATTTTTAGTAGAGACAGGGTTTCACTATGTTGGCCAGGCTGGTCTTCAACTCCTGACCTCATGAGCCACCCACCTTGGCCTCCCAAAGTGCTGGGATTACAGGCCTGAGCCACTGCGCCCGGCCTAGTAAAGCACATTTGAAAGAATCACACCAGTTTTAATCAATGGAACATACCAGTTTTTAGTCTTAATTTCATTCTTCAAATTTGCCACTATTTTTCCAAGCTTTGTGGCGCCAAGGCTTCCAAAACTGATCTGGATTTACTATGGATCTACATGAATTCTGTGAAGCTTACCAGAAATCTTTACCGCAGTCAATGCAAGAAAGGCATTCACAGTTTCTGCAAACAGACACATGCTTTTCCACTTGTATTTTCTTCACTGATTCACCACATGCATTGCATGTAAAAAATACCATTTTTAGGTAAATGGCTAAATATTCTCTATCCAAGACAGGTTTTAAGTCTTGTCCTAAGGAAAAAAAGACAATTATAATTATAAACTGAAACTTCTCATTTCAATAAATGGCTCATGCCCCTAACTTTTCAACCATAATTTCACATGAAAATAACAGAGTCAAAGTTGATTAGCAATCTACATAAAATTCCACCATTCATATAAGTAAAACTAACATTAACAATGAGAATGGCTAACATTTATTGTGTCCTTACCACGTGCCAGGCACTATTCTAGAGGCTTTACATTTATTCACTTATTCAATCCCCGCAGTAACCCTATGAGGGAAGGACTATTATTGTTCAAAATTTATATGAGGTAACTGAGACACAGAGATTACATAACTTGCCCAAGGATACACGGTTAACAGAACCAGGATTTAAACCTGGCAGATTGGCTCTCAAGATGAAGAGCTTTGAGGGTGTTAAATCTTACTTTCCATAATACCTTAAACTCTCTCTCTGTATATGAAACTTATAGAAGGCATTGCAATTTAGGTGTACACTACAAACTATTTCAGGTCCTCAAATATACTAAGAACACAGCAAGAGGAAAACTGAGTGAAGTTTAGAAAGTGAAGAAGAGGCAATTCTATGGGCACAATTTCTATGGCACTAAAAGCATTCATATCAATATTACTATATATCTACAAAGGTTAAAATGAGGACATGCGCCTCAGCTGTAATGGACAGGGGCCTTCTTCATGTGGCAGCTTGTCAGACAAGTCAGAAAGAAACGGAACCAAGTCCAGGTGTCCCAACTGCTGGGTGCTGAATTACTGGAGTTCACAAACCCAGGTGTCCCGAGCACTGCCCCAAAAAGAAGTATGTCTGCACACGCACATAAACATCATTGTAAAATTTCACAGAAATGCTACCGTGCTCAGGAAAACACAAATTCGTCTAGAAGTGTTAGAGAAGTCACAGTAATTTTCCATACTTACATAATTTTTAATCACTAGATTTTAAAACAGCATTGTTGTTTTACATTATAAGTTTTACAGCAAAAATACTGAGAACTGTTTAACCCAGAGCTTTCTTCCTCATTAGGAAAATAAAGGTGAGGGTCAAGTAAACCGATGCAATTTACTTCAGGGTAGGACTTCATCCAACAAGCTTTCAGTACAAATGATCTACCCTTGGTTTGCAGAGAATTCCCATGCATGAAATCACCGTTGCTCCTCCACCAGCATGTTTTGGATCACTGCCAGTGAGGCCACACCCAAGCAACGACCAAGGTTATTCATGTCCATTCAGCCTTGAATGGAAATGTACATCCTGGCTGCATCTCCAGGGTTCACAAAGGTCCAGCTGGTCTCTTGTGGAGGCCTCTTGCCCTGTGGGACACTATCAGACATCAGCTCAGCTTCTACGCTACATACAAACCACAGACCCCTGATTCCGCGGTCCCAGGCCCCGCTCCTCAGCTCACTATCAGTGTATGTTAGTAAACGGACAGCATGTGGTCAGCTACAACCTAGCACCAAATCCTCAGGAAGGAAAACATGACTACCCTCGATGTGCTGCAGCAACTGTCATCTTCTCATCTGCTTACTGTAAAGATGTGTGATATTGTCAAGCTCCTGGGAGCTGGAATCACGTTTCCCACAACCCAGCTCCCTCAAAGCTTACCATTCTAAAAAAAGGCAGAGGGATGATCAACATGTCAGGCAACAAGAGCAGCTATCCTGCCTGACAAGGGAGAACAAAGGCTGGAATAAGAGCCAACATCACATTCTCAAAGAGCATGGAGGTGCACTTTGGTGTAAGAGCAGGAATAACTTATTAGTCACCAAGAAATAGATTGTCATCACAGGCACAAGGTGAAAGCAGCCGTGATATGCCAAATTATCTGCTGAAAAACGTTAAAGCACTTTTCTAATAAGATACAACAACAAAAAACAGTCTCTGAAACTTAGATACGGCTTAGAGCTTGCCAACCTCTGTTGCTGAGGACAATTCTATTTCTGGATGGAGTGGGAGATGGGAGGAAGAAAGGTTTCGACAAGGCTTAAGAGTGAATTGAGAGATTCCTGTCCCAGCAGGAATTAAAGGCCTAGGAAGGAAGCTGGAAACAAAATATATTGACTGAAAGAAGCAGTGAAAGCAGTGATGTTGACAAAAAGATACTCAAGAGTAACTGTGCCAAACATTCTATCTCTCTGGAGATCGGCTACACACTACAGTGTAATTAAATATCAATTCAGAAGGTGATTAGAATCTGGTTACATGTCCAGCTAAAAAATAACTCTCACATCATTTTCATTTGGTCTTTACTTGTTTAAGGCCAAATGGGTGGATTGCACAGGAAGTCAGAACTGTCTCTTCCTGCCTTCCTCCGGATTTTTACACTTGCCATGAAATGGGAACAGCTCTGTGTCCACTTGCTTGGCTAATGAGCTAATGTCTGTAAGGAGCTTACCTCTCCTTTATTCAGAGCCTGGAGGACAGTCCAGCACCTTGATTACACCTCAAACCCAACCTAGCCCCAGGCGAAAATACCTGTAATTTATGCCATAAACACTTGCTTGGGCTTCAAAGAAAAGCTCAAAACCATCAGAAGCTTCAAAGTCAGCCTAACTGCACAGCAGACAGGGTGTCCCAGGTCTTAGTGCAGGCTTAATATTCGTAAGCGTAAATGCTACAAACTTACAAAAAGCCGTCAGGTGGAAATTCAGTCCCTCTAATGGAAGACAGCAAACATTGCCTAAAACAAAAATGTAAATACTACAAACTTACAAAAAGCCGTCATGTAGAAATTCAGTCACTCCAATGGAAGACAGCAAACATTGCCTAAAACAAAAAAGTAAAACGGTATTGTTCAAATTCCACAAGACTAGATAAGCATGAAGGAAATTTAATTAAACTTTTTTTTTTTTTTTTTGAGAAAGGAGTCTCGCTTTGTCGCCCAGGCTGGAGTGCAGTGGTGCATTCTTGGCTCACTGCAAGCTCCGCCTCCCGGGTTCATGCCATTCTCTTGCCTCAGCCTCCCGAGTAGCTGGGATTACAGGCATCCGCCACCACGCCCAGCTTATTTTTTGTATTTTTTAGTAGAGATAGATGGGGTTTCACCGTGTTAGCCAGGATGGTCTCAATCTCCTGACCTCGTGATCCGCCTGCCTCGGCCTCCCAAAGTGCTGGGATTACAGGCGTGAGCCACCGCGCCCGGCCTTAATTAAATTTTAAATGATGTTTTGGCAAGTTTGGATCATTTATGCTTCTGAAATTATGAAAGCTTAAAACTGCATTAAGATTTTGAGGACACCCAGTCTGCCGGGCTCAGATGTGACAGATTTCAACATCTAGCCCTAAGTGTAAAAAGACAGCAGTTTTTTCATGGGGCTGGATCTAAATAGAGTCCTCTTTTCCTTCCCTGGCTCCCCAACTCCCTCTGCCCAATGTCCAGTCCCAGCGCAGCCAGAGAGATTCTACATGCTTTCCTTCTGGCCACATGCGCATGTTAAAAGAGAAAGGCAGGCAGAAGGCAGTGTTCTTGGACTGGTTGAGAGCATACTTCGGTTCTTGCTCAGTCACTTTAACTCAATTCGGCAGACATTTCCTGAATGCTGACACTATCCTATCCACCCAGATACACCTGGGGCCCTCACGCAGGTCCTCTGCGTGTGCTCCTGGCTGCGTCTTCGTCTGTCTGTATGGTCAGTTTACTGAGCTCTCATCACATGCCATACCCATGAAAAAGATGACGGGGTCTGCACCATAGAACACATGATCATTAGCTCTCTACAAAGCCGTGTCCCATTTATGAACACAACTGCCCCCAATACCACTAAGACTGCTATGATCATACTACCTCCATCTGGAGAGAAAACCTAAGGCTCAGGAGGGTAAGTGAACTGCCCGAAGTCACAGTAAGTGGCAGAGGTGGCCTGAAAGACCAGGCAGCAAGCCCAGGCTCCCACCCTGCCTCCATCTTGACCTGCCATGTCCTAGCCGTTTGCTTGGTGGTTACTCAGCACCTGGGACCTTGAGGTCCTCATCCAAAGAGAAAAAAAATTAAGGTCTCTATAAGATGACTTTCCATGTATAAATATTAGAACCCTAAGTCTTAATTATAAAACCTCTGTGCAGTGGGCAAGGAGACCACCCATGTCACAGGAGAGGCTGTCAGGGTCTGGACAGCAAAGCTAGCTGAGGGGCAGCAGCCAGTGGTCACTAAGGGGCTGGGAACTTGTTAGTCTTCTCTTAACAAGATGGTTGCCAGCTTTTGTTGGACAGGGCCCTGACTCAGGTGTAGAGGATCTGAGCTGGAGCCTACATCTGCTAATGTCAAAAAAGTCATTAAAAACTAAATGACCTCAAAGCACCTTAACTTCCCAGAATCTGTTTATCTGTAAAATGGATCTAATACCTAACTCAAAGCATTGGGTGGAAAGTTAAATAAGACACCAGATATGAAAGCTTCATCCCTGCCCAATTGTAGAAAGGTTTCTCTGTGACCTACTAATTTGCACATCAATGCTATTATACCCAGCCCCCTCCTAAACCCATGCTCCTTTAAATATGACCATCAACCCACCCATTTATGTTCATAAATTCACTCCAACCTTCTCTGGCTCCTCACCCCATGGCTGCCTACTTTACCAAGTTCCCTGATAACATGCCCTTAGGTTTGGTTCTGAGATTGGAATGATTTTTTTTAAATCTTCTTCCCTCTATATTTTTGTATTACTTATTCAATTTTTTTTCTTTTTTTTTTTTTTTTTGAGACGGAGTCTCATTCTGTTGCCCAGGCTGGAGTACAATGGCGCAATCTCGGCTCACTGCAGCCTTTGCCTCCCAGGTTCAAGTGATTCTCCGGCCTCAGCCTCCCCAGTAGCTGGGATTACAGGCACATGCCACCATGCCCGGCTAATTTTTGTATTTTTAGTAGAGACGGAGTTTCACCATGTTGGCCAGGCTGGTTGTGAACTCTTGACCTCAGGTGATCCACCCTCCTCGGCCTCCCAAAGTGCTCGGATGACAGGCACGGGCCACTGCGCTTGGCCTTGACTATTCTTAAAATATTCTTGCATGCACATGCAGACACTGACCTACACATCATTACCACCACTACCACTCAAACAGCCCACCTGAGGGGCCTAGCTGGCAACCCCAGGATATCCCCCACTGAACACTGTGACCCTGAGCATGCCACTGCCTCTATAAACTTCAAGTTATCTCATCTGTGAAACAAGAAGTCAGGCCAACTTGACAAGACTCAAGCCCCTTCCACGGGTAGCATTCTGAGAAACCATGGGTATGGTGCAAGAGAAGGACAGACAAACATACTCTGTCCACCATCCTGCCTAAACCTTTGTGTATGAGGCTGACAAGGGTTACAATGGGTGACATTCACAAGGAGAGAATCTCTCCCTTGTTCCTTGCAAAAGCCCTGGGAAGTAGGTGCACCTATCTCCACTAAACAGATGAGCAAACTGAGGCACAGAAGCCATTTCTCTCTGCCTCCTACCCCACCCACGGCATCACCAGCACTGTTTTAAACACCATCCCTTCACTCGAGTAACTACCATGTGTCAGGCACTATGCTAGACCCTGGGAGCCTCGGGCACAGTGTGAGTAAGTCCCAAGTGGGCCCTCTCTGCTAGAAATCAGGGTTGCAAATACAGACCCCACCTCATCCTCCTCCCTCTCTCCTCAGAGGTAGGTGCTTCAGAGAATCCTAACATTCATGGAGCACCCAAGCCCTCTCATAGGAGGTTAACACATTTCTACTCATGTAATCCTCATCACAGTTCTCCGAGTTAGATTCTATATGTTATGACAGATGAGGAAAGTGAGGCGCAAAGAGGTTAAAAAACTTACACCAGGTCATCCCACATCCAGGTAGTGGCAACCCAGATTCACACGCAGTAGTTATTCTGATCCTAAGTATGTGCTCTGGACCGCTACATCCTAAGGCCTCCTCTTTAGGGACTGATCTCCCAAGGCTCAGAGAAGAGCCCTGTCTCCAACATGCAGCAAGCCTGAAGCCCAGTCGGGCGGTGACCAATCGTCCTGGTTTGGCCAGGCCCGAGGGAGTTCCCAGGACGCCGGACCTTAAGTTTTAAAACTAAAACGAGTTGGTCACCCTAAGTCCAGGACTCCTGCCACTTCCCCAGAGCAGGAGTGAGATCTGAATGGAACTCCTTCCTCCATGCGTAACCCAGAGGGGCTGACGGTGGAAATCCCGTCCCTCCCCTACTCACTCTCTGAGCCCCAGCCTCCCAGGTCGGACCTCTGGGCCACCACCCCTCACCTCTCAGCCAGCGCCCGCCAACGGTTTCAACCGGCCGCGGGGAGCACGTGGACTCGCCGCCGCCAGCCCAGCGCCGCAGCTACCTGCCTCTCAGGCTTCGCGGTGCAGAATTCGCTTCTGAACCACCCAGCGCGCCTGCGCACCGCGGCCACGCCCCCCCCAGTGGAAGTGACGCCAACGGAAGCAGGAAGGCGGTTCCGGCAAGCCAAGGGGGCGTTGTCGTGATGATTCCGCGGCCAGCGGATCGCTGCGAGTGGCCTTGAAGGCAGCTGCTGCAGGTGAAGAGTAGGCGGCGGGGCAGAGAGCGGCCTCCGAGGGTAAGGTGGCCGGCCTTGCGAAGGCGTGCGGGGCTGGCGCTGGTGGGAATGGCCCGGAAGGGAAGGGAGGCCGGGCGCCCGAAGGTGGCCCAGAAGGGCATGGACCCACCGCTCCTTCCCGTCTCTGGGCACTCGAGGATACCCGGGGGGTTGGCGGCTCCTGCGAGAGTCAGCGAGCATTTGCTCTGTGCCGGGCATCACAGGGGACGCGGACTGAGACCCAGACGGCCAGGTTCCGGGCCTGGGAGCCGGGCCTTCTCCCTGGTGCAGCTTCCTCGGCCTGGAAACCCCACCCGCGCCCTCTCATCTCCAGGCTTTGCCCGCTGGAAGCCAGCCCGGCCCGCCTCCGCTACGCGCTGCCCATCTCTCGGCTTCTGTTTCCTTCCACGCTGTAGTTGAGAGTAGCGCTTAAGACGACAGAGCCCACAGCCTAGCTCAGTTTCATTACGGTGTGGCCTCTTTGTGCCTCAGCCCCGCATCTGTAAAGCGAATGTCATAGCGGCACCTGCGTCCCTGGAACCTTGTCGTATTTCATGAGTTGGTGCATGTAAATCGCTTAGACTAGTGGCTGCCACTTAGTAAGTACTCAATAAACGTTAGCTCTTCTCAGCCCTTAAAACAGGGTCTGGCACACAGTGGTGGTCACTAGGTGTTTGTTGCTTAAATGAATGAATGAAAGTTGAGTGGAGGATGCACAGAGTATTGTGAGAAACCTTCACTCCCAAGGTGTGTGTATATGGGTGATAAGGTTTCACTCTGAAAGTGAGCAGTGTTGGGCCTGGAATAGAAGGTGTATTAGTTTGCTAGGACTGCAAACAAAATACTGGGTGGCTTAAACAACAGAAATTTATTATTTTCTCACAGTTCTGGAGGTTAGAAGTCCAAGATCAAGGTGTCTTCAGGTTTGGTTTCTTCTGAGACATTTCTCCTTGGCTTGCACGTGGCTGCTTTCTTGCTGTGTCCTCGCATGGTCTTTCCTCTGTGTTTTCACATCTCTGGCGTCTCTCTTTGCATCCAGATTTCCTCTTTATGAGAACGTCAGTCAGGTTGTATTAGGGCCCACCTTAATGGCCTCATTTTAACTTAATTACCTTCTTACAAGCCTGATCTCCAAATACAATCACATTCTGGAGTGCTGGGGGAACAGTTTAACCATAACAGAAGGAATTCACA
Source organism: Homo sapiens (assembly GCF_000001405.40). Taxonomy (NCBI): domain Eukaryota; kingdom Metazoa; phylum Chordata; class Mammalia; order Primates; family Hominidae; genus Homo; species Homo sapiens. Next base: position 4,291,526 of record NC_000004.12, read on the forward strand.
GAAATGGACAAGGAGGGAAATACTTTCCAACAGAAGTGACAGAATGGCCAGGAGGCTTAAAAGCAGGGTGCTCAAGATGTTTTTTGTGTTCAGGGCACATATGTGTACTTCAGTCTTGTTTGTGCTCTCGTACTGTTTTTGGGTTTGGTTGTTGTTGTTTGTTTGTTTGTCCTCCTGAATACTCAAAGAAAGTGAGCCCTCTCATTTTTTTAGTCTGGCAAACTTAACTCACATTTCAGCATAGATGTGTCTTCCAGGAAGTTTTCCCTGACCCTCCCTCCCAAATTAATTTCTGCTTCCTCCATTTAATAACTTTGGTACAGGGCTGGGTGCGGTGGCTCACGCCTGTAATCCCAGCGCTTTGGGAGGCCGAGGCAGGCAGCTCCTGAGGTCAAGAGATAGAGACCAGCCTGGCCAACATGGTGAAACCCTGTAAACCCCATCTCTACTAAGAGTACCAAAATTAGGCGGGTGTGGTGGCGCATGCCTGTAATCCCAGCACTTTGGGAGGCTGAGGCGAGTGGATCATTTGAGGTCAGGAGTTTGACACCAGCCTGGCCAACATGGTGAGACCCCCACCCCTCGTCCTTACTAAAAATACAAAAATTAGCTGGGTGTGGTGGTGCATGCCTGTAATCCCAGCTACTCGGGAGGCTGAGGCAGAAGAATCGCTTGAACCCAGGAGGTGGAGGTTGCACTGAGCCGAAAGCACACCACTCCACTCCAGCCTGGTCAACTGAGCAAGACTGCGTCTCGGAAAAAAATAAAAAATAACTCTGGTACAGTGCAACGATACTTGTTTTTCCCACTAGACTGATGCTTCATGAAGACATGGATGACCGTATCTGATGTGTTTGCCATCGTACCTTCAGTGCCTAGCGCATAATGGGCATTGTGTAAAGTTAAGTGAATGATGGAAAACTGAGACACAGAGCCTGTGAAGAGTAGGGAACACATCTGTTCCGTTTGTCAGCATTCCATCCTCGCGACAATCTGTTGCACATGTTAGGCACACAGTATCTGTTTAACCCAATTGGCCTTCCCAGTATGATAAGAGTCAGCATAAAGCTAAGACAAGATTCCAGGTTTGTTGCTTCAAGCCAGTGCTTTTATGAGTAGGGTGGAGGTGAGGAGCTACAAGTAAGCCATTTGGAAAGTATGATGATGGGCAGACTCCTTAGGAGCCCTCTGAGGTAAGCTTGACTTTAAGGTGCGTGAACTGTGGGCCCTTGGAGAAGTAATCTATTAATGGCACTGCTGAAAAAACATCCACAAATTCTATCCAGTAGTATTTGACCTGTTGGTAGAATTGAGGGGCCTTTGCTCTAGGAGTCCTCTCTGCAGGTTGAAATTCCATTCTGGCTGTTGTTTTCTTTAGAAGCATTTCTTCATTCACATTGATCTAAACTTTTTCTTGTTTCTTTTCCCCCCATATTTTCATTTTTTGACGCCATTCATACCATCTTTCCACCATCACATTCCTTGTATAGATTTGTAGCTTTTAGAACTAGGAAAAAACCTCTAAAAGAGATCATCTAGTCCAATAGGGGACCTCTCCATTTTTATAGATGAAAAACTGAGGCCCAGAGTCTCATCCATCCAGAAATATGTATTGAGTGCCTATTATGTCAAAGACACTCTGCTAGGCACCAGAGATACATTGTTCAATAAGACAGATGGAGTCCATGTCTTCACCACAGAAAATTTTTACTGCTTGTCACTAGGTGAGTTAGTCGCAAAGATGGAAGAGAACCTTCTGCTCCTTCTCTCACGCTATAACACCTTGTGTAGCACATCTTAGTCCTGAATTGTGCAGTTCCTTAATGCAAAGCTTGTCTGTGGGATTACCTGGACAATCAGGCATAGGCAGTAGACTGAAGAGGCAGCTGATTCCGATCAAAGGAAACAGTGGTTATGAATGCGGCTTTGGTGTCAGATTCCCTGGCTCTGAATCCCACCTCTGTCCCTTATTACTTACCTATTTTTAGCTGTGTGACCATCTTCTCTGTATATGGTCAGGTTTTCTGTTGCTGTGTAACACTCTACCCCCAAATTTAGTGACTCAAAAACTATTTTATCTCATAATTCTGCAGGTTAGGTATTCAGGCAGGTGTCAGCTGAGAAATTCTTCAATTCTATGTGGTGTCAACTGGGATCACTCAGTGGCATTCAGTTGGAGGAGGGGCCAGCCTGGAGAGGTCAGGATGGCTTTCCTGGGAGCCAGCTGAACCCTTCTCTGTCTCCATGTGTTCTCTCTAGCTGGGCATCTTACAGGTGGCTCAGGCCTTCCATAGCCACTGTTCTGAAAGATGGGAAGTGGAAGCTGTTAGCTCTTTAAAGGCCTGGGCCTGGGAAATGAGCACAGCTTTGTAGCACAGAATCTGATTAAGGCAGAGCCTGTGCAGGAGGGAAGGAGACCTAGACTCCACTACCCCATGGGAGAATCATCGGAGAATTTGTGGCCATCTTAAATCTGACAAATTCCTCATTGTCCTCACCTGTAAAATGTGGATAATAGTAGCACCTATCTTATGGTAAATGAGTTAATAAGTGTAAAGGGCTTAGAATAGTGCCTGGCATCTAGGAAACATAAGTATTTGTCATAATCATTACTATTATTAGGTATAAGATACATTTTTGTTTATAATTGACAGAACACATAAGAAATGTAAGATACAATTTTTTTTCCAGACCTTTTTATAACCTCATTGGGGTTTCCAGACCTTTTAATAACCTTATTGGGGTTTCCAGACCTTTTTATAACCTTACTGGGGAGGTACAGGATTGACATCATGAAGTAATTTAGAGAACTATACAAAATGATATGGAATAATAATAATTATTATTTTGAGATGGAGTCTCGTTCTGTTGCCCAGGCTGGAGTGCAGTGGTGCAATCTCGGCTCACTGGAACCTCGGCCTTCTGGGTTCAAGCGATTCTCCTGCCTCAGCCTCCAGAGTAGCTGGTATTATAGGCATGCGTCACCACGCCTGGCTAATTTTTGTATTTTTAGTGGAGATGGTTTCTTCGTGTTGGCTAGACTGGTCTCGAACTCGTAGCCTTAGGTGATCCGCCTGCCTCGGCCTCCCAAAGTGGTAGAATTACAAGCATGAGCCACCGCACCCAGCCTCTAATTCCTATAGTAAAAGTAAATTGTGTAACAGTTAATAACTGCCTAGCATCATAACTCTGGGGGTCATTCCAAATAACTTTTTCCTTTATCACTTCTATAGAGCTAGAAAATGTCTAATTTTCTAATTAGACATTTACCTAATATACCTAGACATTTACATTTGTATAATTAGACATTTTTACCTAATTTTAACAGGTCTGTGGAGGAGGGTTTCGTGTGTGTGTGTGTGTGTGTGTGTGTGTGTGTGTGTGTGTGTGTTTAATGTCTTTTTTCCCGTGGGCGATAGCATAGCATAAAAGCATAGACTCCAGTGTTTGGGGGCCAGGATTCAAATCCTGCCTTTGGCACATAATAGTTGTATGATCTTGGATAAGTGACTTAAAGTCTCCATATCTTAATTGTTTCTCTTGTGAATGGTGGTAATTGGGTTCTTAGAGACTTGCTTCAGTTAATGGATGTTGTATTGATCCATTATCACACTGCTATAAAGTTGCTACCTGAGACTGAGTAATTTATAAAGGAAAGAGGTTTAACTGACTCACAGTTCTTCATTGCTGAGGAGGCCTTGGGAAACTTAAAATCATGGCAGAAGGCGAAGGGGAAGCAAGGCACATCTTACATGGCAGCAGGGGAGAGAGAACCGGGTGGGGGGAGCAGGGACTGCCAAACATTTTTAAACCATCAGATCTACTGAGAACTCACTCACTATCACAAGAACAGCATGGGGGAAACTGCTCCCATGATCCAGTCACCTCCCAACAGGTCCCTCCCCTGACATGTGGGGATTATAATTTGGATGAGAACACAGAGCCAAGCCATATCAGATATGATATGCTTAGCACAGGTCTGTGGTAAATAGTCAGTAAATGATAGTTTAAAAGAATGATAAACTTAGAAGCCTTTTCAGGCAACCAGCTTGGCAGGGGTGGGTAACTGATTACTCACTTGGCTGTTACTAGCCTTGAGGATTCAGCACTGGGAACAGTGTTCGCCGCCTACCATCGTGCCTTTCTTTCTGTACTCTCTTTTGGGGCAGTACCTCAGTGTTGCTCTTTGTCCCAGTTTTCTCTGAGTCTCACTTTGATCTCAAACCAGGAGATCTCAAACCAGGAGATCATGCCAATACCCCAAACCCTACACGTTAGAAACAAAGCTTTCCATAAAGAGATGAGGGGAATCAGAATAAGGTCTCGATTTGATAGGTGAGGTGATGGGGGATGAAATTTAGAGATTCTACATTGAAGGGGCATGCCATTGAAGAAGTTTAGCAGAGAGTTGGAGATTAGAACTGGTAGCTGAAGCTAAAGTTTCAAATTTAGGAATTGTGTTAGAACATGTAAAAGCCAAGAATGAAAGTGATTGTCAAGGGAAAGAGGAGAGGGCTATGGTGCTGCACCTTAAGGAACATCAATGTTTGCAAGGCTTGAGGGAGACAGGTACAGGATAGGGATGGGACAGATCAGGGACATAGGAAGAGAACCAGAAGAGTTCTGGGACAGGAGGGATTTCAGGATGGGAGTTGGCAGACCACATTGCCATGTGTGGCAGGAAAGCTGGAGAGGATGGTTGAGGACTGAGGAAAAGTCACTGTCGGGAAAGTCTGTTTCAGTGGAGTGAGTGGCAGCAAGGTTGCAAGGTGATATATGGTTTGACTGTGTCACCACCCAAATCTCATTTTGAATTGTAACTCCCACAATCCCTGCATGTCATGGGAGGAACCTGGTGGGAGGTGATTGAATTATGGGGGTGGGTCTTTCCCACGCTGTTCTCATGACAGTGAATGAGATCTGATAGTTTTAAAAACGGGAGTTTCCCTGCACAAGCGCTCTCTTTGCCTGCTGCCATCCATGTAGGACATGACTTGCTCCTCCTTGCCTTTCACCTTCTGCCAAGATTGTGAGGCCTCTCCAGGCATGTGGAACTGTAAGTCTAATAAACCTCTTTCTTTTGTAAATTGCCCAGTCTTGGGTATGTCCTTATCAGCAGCATGAAAACGGACTAATACACAAGGTGAGAAAGGAGTCATGAGAAAGTAAAGTGGGGCATGTAGATAGCTATTTTGAAAAGTATGAAAGAGAGACCTGTGATGACTAGAGGAACCTAGGGGGAGGGCTTTGTCGTTACCCTGTTTTGCTTTGTTTTCAACATGGGGCAATGTCAGTGTGTTTGTGTGGAGGAGCCACCAAAGGACAGGGTGAAGCAATGAAAGCTTCGCTGATGGAACCAGGTTCTAGGGGAGGCAGGAAGGCTCAAGGGGAGAGGGAAGGTTCATCTTGGGAAGGAGGAGGCATGTTTCATCCCATGAAGCCTAAGGGAATGAGGGAGGGGTGAGTGGGAAATTTGGAACTGAGAAAAATTTAAGGCACTATGGTTATCAAGTTATACATCGGTTCAACCTTCTTTTATTTTATTTATTTATTTTTATTTTTTGAGACAGAGTCTCGCTTTGTCGCCTAGGCTAGAGTGCAATGGCGCGATCTCAGCTCACTGCAACCTCCCCCGCCTGGGTTCAAGTGAATCGCCTGCCTCAGCCTCCCCAGTAGCTGGGATTATAGGCACTCGCCATCATGCCTGGCTAATTTTTGTATTTTTGTAGAAACAGGGTTTCACCATGTTGGCCAGGCTGGTCTCGAACTCCTGACCTCAGGTGATCCCCCCACCTCAGCCTCCTAAAATGCTGGGATTACAGGAGTGAGCCACTGCGCCCGACTGGGTTCAGCCTTCTTAGTGAAGTTTAAGTCACAGCCATTTTTATGAGTGAGGGAAAGAGACGTGATGGGAATGAAGACACTGGGAAGATCACAGAGGAGCAACCCCAAACCCAGAGCGGGTTAAGAATCATGGGGCTGGGTGCAGTGGCTCATGCCTTTAATCCCAGCACTTTGGGAGGCTGAGGTAGGCAGATTGCTTAAGCCCAGGAGTTCAAGGCCAGCCTGGGCAATGTAGCAAAACCCCATCTCTGCAAAAAATTTTTTAAATTAGCCAGGTATGGTGGCACATGCCTGTAGTCACAGTTGTGGTGGGAGGATCACCTGAGCCCAGGAGGTTAAGACTGCAGTGGGCTCTAATCACATCACTGCACTGTAGCCTGGGTGGCAGAGCTAGATCCTGTTTCAAAAAAAAAAAAAAAAAAGAATGGTGGGAAAGTAGGTGACAGCTCACCTAAGCCCTGATCTGGAAGGTGGGAGGGTCAGGTATAAGTAAAGTATTCTCAGGACAGAACCAAAGGCTTTCAGAGGAGAGCGCAGGCAGAGATCTGCAGTCCGCCTGCTCAGAATCACCGGAATGCCTGTGATGCGGTTACCAGGCTCCCCTGTAGACTGACAGAACAAAACCCTGGGATGTACCCAGGAATCTGCATTTTTAACAAGCTCCCCAGGTGATCCTTACGGATTATTACAGAATCCTTCCATATGCCAGATACTAGTCTAAATGTTTACACAGGTAACCACAATAACCTGTGAGATAGGGTGAGGACAGTGGGTCACAGAGAAGTCATTTGCCCAAAGTCATATAGCCAGTGAGTGGTGGAACTAGGTCTCCAACCCACTGGCCAAGAACATAGGTGGTTTGGGGAGCTGCTAGTAGTTCACTTTGGCTGCCACATACTTGGAGTAATGGGAGATAAGTCTAAGTGAGAAGTAAGGGGTGTGTTGAAAAGCTTAGATTTGGGATTAGTATTGTAGTGACTTTTTCAGCCATGCTTGAGTACTGAGAATGAAGGCAAAAAAAGCAGATGATGCCTTTTTAGATTTTTAGTACCATACTGCCTTTTTTTTTGAGATGGGGTCTCTCTCTGTCACCCAGGCTGGAGGGCGAGGGCAGTGGTGCCATCATGACTCACTACAGCCTCAACCTTCTGGCCTCAAGCAGTCCTCCTCCCTCAGCCTCTCAAGTAGCTGGGACTACAGGCATGTGCCACCATGCCTAGCTAATTTTTGTTTTTATTTTTCATAGAGACAGGGTCTCACTGTGTTGCCAGACTGATCTCGAACTCCTGGACTCAAGTGATCCTCCTGCCTCAACCTCCCAAAGTGTTAGGATTACAGGTGTGAACCACCACGCCTAGTGCAGACTGCCTAACCTTCATAGTCTTGTCCCAAACTGGTTCCATTTCTTCCAACTATTTCTCTTCCATAAATCATCCCCTACTAGACTGCGCCCTAGACATCCAAGACCGTGGCTTACTGGCCTGTGTATACCAGTGTCTAGCTCTTAACTGTTTTGTTTAGTCGTGCATCAGGCACTTTCGTGTGTGTGTTTCCCTCACTAGAATTTCAGCTGCATGAGAGTGGCGACCTGGCGTGTTTTGTTCATTGCTGTGACCCTACAGCCTGGCACACAGTAGTCAGTTGGAGAACAGAGGCTGAAGGTTGAAGCTTGCAGTGTCTACACAATGGCTTCCCATCTCATTTGGAATCAGAGTCAGGGTTCATAACAAGTCCCGCAGGCCTGGGCATGACCTGACCCTCTGTCCCCTCTAGGATGTCATCTCCTGCCACTCACTCAGCCACACCTGAGCCCAGCAAGCTCCTGCCTCAGAGACTTGGTGCTTGCTGTTCTTTCTGGCCCAGGTACCTGCACAGCTCCTTCCCTTCCTTCAGGCATCTGACCAAGTAGCCTCTTAGGGAGGCACAAAGGCACGAGTGAGGGGACCTGCTTCTTTGCGATGTCTCTTATATCATTGTCTGGTGATGTTAGGTATTTTGACCTGTACCTTATCTCCCAAAATAGGCTCCTAATTTCCCCGACTTCTAATTCAGTGACCTGTGTACAGGTGTTTGATAAATATGGATTTGATCTTAACCAGCTGGCTTTTCTTTCACCTTATACATTTTTATGTATGTGTATATTATTTTAATTTTTATTTGACATATTCCTAAGTAGATACCGAGAAGTACATACAATATTAACATGGTCATATTCTAGATTTGTACTGTTTAAATTCTGTGGCTTTTAAAATATAAATTACAATTTCAATCCCTCAGCCACATTTCAAGTTCTCAGTGACCATGTGTGGCCAGTGGCTACTGTATTGAGCAGTGCAGATAGAGAGCATTTCCATCATGACAGGTAATTCTGTTGAACAGCAGCGGTCTAGATGCCTCAGAAACAGAGGTGTGTGTGTGTGTGTGTGTGTGTGTGTGTGTGTGAGAGAGAAACTGTGATGAGAGAGTGAAGCACAGATCAATCAGTAAGTTTCAGTCCCATTTAGTTTCCAGTGAGGTCCTTAAGAATATCTGTCGTATCTGTGATTTTTTGCTGTAGGTCACCTGAATGGTTGAGCATGGACCCTGTTGCTACCCACAGCTGCCATCTGCTCCAGCAACTGCATGAGCAGCGAATCCAAGGCCTGCTTTGTGACTGTATGTTGGTGGTAAAAGGAGTCTGCTTTAAAGCGCATAAGAATGTCCTGGCAGCATTCAGCCAGTATTTTAGGTGGGTATTTTAGACTTCATTCTCCTAGCTGTGAATTAAGGGTAAAGCTCTTTTAGTATGGAAGTATTCATATTTTGTTCTCCTTGGATTTCACTATCTTTATCTTTTATAGCACATTGGATTTTGTAGGAGTTGTTTTAATTTTTAAGTTTGTTAACCATTTTTATTATTTTTGCTTTTGTGTTTAGAGTAACCTGAAAAGAAAAGAGGCTCTTAAGTAAAATGAATTTGGGATGATTGAAAGTATTTTGGTTGTTTGTCTTTCATTTTACTAATTCTGGCTAATGTCAGTCTTCTACATATATTTCTTATCCTTTCAAGATAAAATGATGGAGGAATTAAGTTCCCGGTCAGAATTTTTCTGTGATAAGAAATCAGGGGAAAAACATATTTGGTGTTGGATTTTTCTTTTCTTTTTTTTCTTAATTAAAGCATTTTAGTTTTTGTTTCTCATTTGAATATTCTAAGAAAACCTTATAATCATTTTGGCTTATATGAAATATTTATTTATAAATAATAATACTAAGAAGTTGTGTTTCAGCTTATTTAAACATTATTCTGTATTCCCAGCTACTCAGGAGGCTGAGGTGGAAGGATCCCTTGAGCACAGGAGTTGGAGGCTGCAGTGAGCCGTGGTCATGCCACTGTACTCCAGCCTGAGCAACAGAGGGAGACTCTGTCTCTTAAAAAAAAAAAAAAATTGTTAGAGTTAAGTGATTCTGCATAAGTTCATTTTGTTGTTAGCAGGTTTCTCTCTCTTTAAATACAAAGTCTTTTTTTTTTAAAGTACTTTTTGTTTCCAAAATGCATACCGTTTTACTGCTCTAGTAGACAACGTGGGACATGATTTGCTCTTTCCTTGATAATCCTGAATCATCAAATTGAGTCTCAGTTATTGTATAGACCACATTACACATTGTAATGAATCAGCTTCTTAAGGTAGGTAGCAGGTTTTGTTCCTAGGAAAAATGGTCGCAAACTCTTGGGTTTGCTATCACCTGTTTTTTCTGTCTTCCCAGGACAGTTAAATTTTGATATTGTGATACACAGGCTGTTTTGCGCTTAAAAACAGAACTGAAGGCTGTTTGGGGGAAATAGGTGATTGTATTTGACAAAATGTCTTCAACTTACTTACCTGAGCTTATTATTTCATACATAATACAAATTTGTTCACCTGTGACCTTGGCTTGTACCCAGAATAAAGTGCCTGGGCTTTAGAGTGCATTTTGGTCTTCACTAACTCTTAGGGTTTTTCTCACTGTTGGTTTTTGAACCACTGGCTGGCTGAAAAACCTAACAGCCAAATAAATTACTGGTTACAAAGGAATGTATGTGGAGGGTTGGTTTATTCTAGCTATTTTTTTTTAAGTTTTCTAGGCACTTAGATGTGGAAATATTTGTGTATATGGTTTATGGCCTAAAATATAATACTTGTCAGACTATGAAATAGTGAAAAGTATATATTATTTAATTTTGTGTACTCTATTAGTATGTATTTAATATATATGGATAATTACCTTTCGAAAAAATATTTAGAGCAATCTTTTATTTCTTAGATCATATTGGGAATTATCTTAGAAACTTCTTGATTTGTGGTTTATCAGTCATATAAATGTATGTAATTTTTTATTGTGTAAATTTGAGTATATTTCAAAATTTACTTTGAGATATATTTTGAAGTCTGCATACCCAATCCACCAATTTAATTCATCTGAATTATTTAGTTGGATGGTTTGCCAGGTTGTTTTAAAGGATTAAAATGTACTTATGTTAAAAGTTTTGACATTCACAGAAGGATAGTATTTTTTAATATTAATATATGAATGTTATTTATAAGAAAAAGATGGTGTGAATTTTTGGCACTGTAAACAGATATTCTTTCTTTTACCAGGAGCCTCTTTCAGAATTCTTCAAGCCAGAAGAATGATGTTTTTCACTTGGATGTTAAAAATGTCAGTGGCATAGGGCAGATCCTGGACTTCATGTACACTTCTCATCTAGATCTTAACCAGGACAATATACAAGTAATGCTGGACACAGCACAGTGTTTGCAAGTTCAAAATGTTCTGAGTCTGTGTCACACATTTTTAAAATCAGCCACTGTAGTACAGCCACCTGGCATGCCTTGTAATAGTACATTGTCTCTACAAAGCACCCTGACCCCAGATGCCACTTGTGTTATCAGTGAAAACTACCCCCCTCATTTACTGCAGGAATGTTCAGCAGATGCACAGCAGAACAAAACGTTGGATGAATCGCATCCGCATGCTTCACCATCAGTTAATCGTCATCACTCCGCAGGTGAAATCTCAAAACAAGCTCCTGATACTTCAGATGGCAGCTGCACAGAACTGCCTTTCAAACAGCCAAATTACTATTACAAACTCAGAAACTTTTACAGTAAGCAGTACCATAAACACGCAGCTGGTCCCAGTCAGGAGAGAGTTGTTGAGCAGCCTTTTGCTTTCAGCACCTCTACAGACCTTACCACGGTAGAGAGCCAGCCTTGTGCCGTCAGTCATTCTGAATGCATCCTGGAGTCTCCCGAGCACTTACCTTCCAACTTCCTGGCCCAGCCTGTGAATGACTCTGCCCCACACCCTGAGTCAGACGCCACATGCCAACAACCTGTCAAGCAGATGAGGCTCAAAAAGGCCATTCATCTGAAGAAGCTCAATTTCCTGAAGTCACAGAAATACGCAGAGCAAGTATCTGAACCCAAGTCAGATGATGGTTTGACAAAGAGGTTGGAATCTGCTAGTAAAAATACCCTAGAGAAAGCTAGCAGCCAAAGTGCTGAAGAAAAAGAAAGTGAAGAAGTCGTCAGTTGTGAGAATTTTAATTGCATTAGTGAGACGGAGAGGCCTGAAGACCCGGCTGCCCTGGAAGACCAGTCCCAGACACTTCAGTCCCAGAGACAATACGCGTGTGAATTATGCGGGAAACCTTTTAAACACCCAAGCAACTTGGAGCTTCACAAACGGTCTCATACAGGTAACTGATTCAGTACCCACAGGCAGAAGGGAAGGACGTAATGCGGATGCTCAGACACCACTGGCTCTTCTTGTTTTTGTAAGAAGTTTTGCTGTTGTTTGATGTCATTGATGATTTTAAACAAAATAAGGGGGATTAACTACTTTTTGTTTTATATTTTTGGTGATGCATCTGACTTAAAGTTTTGTAAATGGTTTTATAAAGTCACTTTAAAAAGGTGCATACTTTTAATTTTTATTTCAACTACATTTTTATATGACAAGCCATCTGTCTCTAAAGAAAGTATAGTAATTTTGGTGCACCCAGAATTTCAAATTAATTCTAAAATGGATAAGCTATATTTAGTTGTCTTTTTAGAATTAGATTAAGCTTATTTTTTGAAAGCATCATATAGGTTAATTTAGACTAACCTAATATACTTTGAATGATTCTACAAGTTCTCTTGGAAGGAATTTGAGTGTCTAATTTTTAAAATTCTAATTTGGGAGTCAGGAAGTAAACTTTTTAATAAGAATCAGCTTTAACCATTTGATATTCTCAAAAGAAAATTCTTCCAATTTAAACATTGAATTTTCAAAGTTTTGTTATCTTAATTCATGCCTCTTTCTCTTTCCCAAAAGATTTTTTTAAGGTATTCTCTCTCTCTCTCTCTCTCTCTCTCTCTCTCTCTGTGTGTGTGTCTCTCTCTCTCTCTATATATATATCTCCACACACACACATTATGTTATACAATACATATATATTACTTTTCTTCCTATAATTAAACATGAGTTTAATAGCACATTACAGATGAACAACAATTACCTTATAGGCATGAGAAGTAACATGCAACAGGATGCTTCCACAGCAGCTGCTTTTACGGTGTTTGTGTAATTGTGTTTGTTGATGTGACCTTCTGTTATCACTATGGATTCACAGTTTGCATTTTACGACCTTGTATTATTGGGAGATTTCTTTGATAATTGTGAAGGCCCTTTATACATTTTAGTGCATTTGAATATAAAGTACTGTTATTATCACTAGTAGTTCAAAATTATTCCACGTGAAGGCAATATCACAGACTTAGTTTTGCCCTGAAAAAACTTTAGATGATTCTGTTTGCCTAAATCTCCTACAGCCTAATGATTACTGCAATTTTTTTTTTTTTTTTTTGAGACAGAGTTTCGCTCTGTTGCCCAGACTGGAGTGCAGTGGCACAATCTCGGCTCACTGCAACCTCTGCCTCCTGGGTTCAATTGATTCTCCTGCCTGAGCCTCCCGAGTAGCTGGGACTACAGGCATGCGCCACCAATTTTTTTGTATTTTTAGTAGAGACAGGGTTTCACCATGTTGGTCAGGCTCATCTTGAACTCCTAACCTCAAGTGATCTGCCCACCTCGGCCTCCCAAAGTGCTGGGATTACAGGCATGAGCCACAACGCTTGGCCCGATGGCTGTAATTTTTTATTGTGAAACTTACCTGCTTAGCTTTTAAAGGAATCAAAAATTGTTTATTCTGGGAGAACCTCTTTGAATGACAGATACAGTCATGGCAAAGATGCTTACTGGCACATAAATATTCTACCGAGAAGGGCAGCAATTCTCAAAGTATGGTCTGGGGAACCCTTTTTGGGGGTCTGTGAGGCCAACACTATTTTCAAAATTGTCTAAGATGTTAGTTGTTTTTTCCTCCTCTTATGAGTGTACAGTTAGTCTGCCCAAAGCTACATGATGTGTGATGAAGTCCTCACCCTGGTGGCCTGTGAAGTGTGTATTTACCTGTTCTAAAGGTCACTCTGTTTTCATTTCCAGTATGGTAGATATCAATAGCTATAGCCCATATTAACAAAAGCTCTTTAGGACCTCAATTTTAAGGTGAAGGGGTCCTGAGGCCAAAAAGTCTGAGGCCTACTGGAGTAGGATTGTTAACCTTGGTCATTTATTAGTCTTAGTAACTGGTGACCTCTCTCTCTTTTCAAATTCTTATATTTCTTATGGGGGCTTTAACTTATTATCTGTCACCCCCAATAATTTCAGACATAAATGTAGTTTCATTTATTGCAATACAGAATTAATGTAATTATTAATTTATTATTAATATAAATATAATTATTCAGGGTCAAGGAAGCCATTAGACATTTTCAGGATAAAATAAAATTAAAATATCCTAGAATGAGCCCAGAAAGCTAGCAAGCTGCTTTCTTCAAGGTAGCAAGCCCCAACGATATAGTAGGAAGGGAAAACATTATTGTTACTTTTTAAAGAAGATCTTAATGAAACCATTTGATTTCAGGGAAATGGAGAAAATGAGAGGTTCTTAGTGTTCAAAGTCTATTCATTAGCGTTATATAGATTAAAGGCAGTACCATGGAGTGTGCTTTTAAATTCAGATCATGTTCTGTAGGCCACATTTCAGAACAGCTGTGGTTTTTTTGTAGTAGAGTACCATTCTTAGAATCTGTTCTGTCCCCAAGCGCAGTTACTTAGTTATTGAAATTAGAGGTGATAAAGAAGTCCGCAGAGGAGCACATCTCCCAAAATGAAATCTTACTTTCTCTCGTGAGAACCAAGGCAGGAAGACTGTGGTGAGGGGCTCTTTCCTTTTCACACTCATGCTTCAGGACGACCCACTGTGTTTGGGGCTCTCTGTGCTCATACCTTGTGTGGTGTGAACCAGTGACCCTGTGTCTGTTAGGATTGGTGGTTGGGTGGCATCAGGCTGAAGAATAGGTGAGCGGGATCGTGCTGTTCAGCAGGAAAACTCAACCACAGGAAAAGACCACTTCCAGAACGTGGGTCTGCTCTGGATGCAAATAAATACATTGATTTTAACATAAGTTTTGTTTGGAGAACAGTTTAAGTTTTTAGAGGAAAATATTACTTTTATCATCTCTGTGTAGAAATAAAGGCAAGAGAGAAATATAAGGAAGTAGACACTCCCTATTTTCATACTGTTAGGATGCAGAATGTAATGCCATTTTGAAAGTACATAGGAGGTCATTTAAACAAAAAATTATTGAACAAATACTAGTAATGATTTTACAAGTTGTTGTTTTGTTTTGTTTTAGGTGAGAAACCTTTTGAATGTAACATTTGTGGGAAACATTTCTCTCAGGTGGGAATACTCTTATTTATTGTTAATAATTGGAAACCTGCAACACAGTGTTTTTTTATTGGAAATAAGACATACTTTTGTACTTGTGAGAGAAGCCTCTAATGATGTCTGTAACTTAAAGACTTCAGAATAAATTAGGATAAATCGTTTTCAAGAAAACAGATTTCTAGTTCTTTGAGAGAAAAATAGCATTTTCATGTGTGAATTCTTACAATACTTTTTTCGCCTTGCTAAGGATGAGTCCAAACTTAGCATATGTCTTCCGTTTCATGAATGAAGTTCACAGTGAACCACCTTGAGCTTGGCGTACCTGGAGGCTGCACATTGTGCTGGGTTAGGCTGAAGACAACTAGGTCTCCTCATTCTTGTTGGGACTGTAGATTGTAGGATGTTGGAAAAAAAGATGAAACAAGTTTTGTTCCCTGTGTTGACTGCTACCTTTAGCTGACCTCCATTAAGGTCATTTGGACACATAGGCATTCAGTCCTTGAGGAAACGTTTGTTTTACCCTCCCATGGGCCAGGTGCTGTGCTGGGCATGGGACACAAAGAAACCTAGAGACCTAATGTTTTCTAGAAAATGGCTTGTGGGAACCTATTCTTTCTGAAACAGAAGGTAACTATTCACCGCCATGTGCAGTGCCCTGGGCTTCCAGAGGTAGATCAGATGGAAGCTGCTCCAGGGCGTGAGGGCGCAGCTCTTCAGGGCACAGTCACTGGCACGACTGTCTCACACAGCATGGTAGATCCTGTGGCAGCAGTGCATGCCTCTGGAGCTGGGAGGCAGGCCCCGCAGAGCTTGGAAATGGCAAGCGCCGTGTTTGCTCGCATTCCCCCTAGAGCAGACTCTTCCAGTTTCTCTTCATCTGTTGAGGGTGTCAGTTCCATTTGCTCACACACCCAAACCTGCCATCTTAATGACTCTTCACCCTCCCACTCTCTGAGTCCCTGCCTGCTGGGATTCACCAAGTCCTCGCCGTCTCTCATCGCGTACTCGGTCGGGTCATGTCCTCCTGAGCACTTCATTTCTCTGGGCCTGGGGCCATGTCTTCTCTCCCATCCAGGAGAACACCCAGCAGCCAGCAGATGCTCAGGAAGGATTTGATAAGCTGAGCTGAGTGCTCGTCCCTCCAGCCGCCATTCTTGATGAGCCTCCGCTTCTTCCTGCCAGCCTGGCCTGGGGTTCAGAGCTTGGCCTCTGGGGCTGGACAGTCTAGAACTGAGCTCTGCCTCTGTCAGGGCGTCACTACCCTGTGACTTTGGGCAGTCTCACCTTTTGCCCCTTCAGTTTCCTTATCTGTGAAACACGGATAACAAGATTAGTTAACCTCATAGAGTGTGAGGAGTAAATGAGGTAATAACGGAAAGTCCTTAGAGCAGGGCCTGGCACATAGTAAGCGCTCAAGAAACGCCAGCATTCCCTACCTTGTTGCCATCCGCTTTCTCCTCTCCTGTCCATCCTCATGACCCCCAGATGCCGGTCTTTCTGAGGCACCTCCCCGCCCCCACCGTTTTCATCTCAGCAGCTGTGGTTTGATGGGAAAAGCATGAGACTCGGACTAATGACCATGAATAATTAGCAATTGCGACTTCTCTGGGCCTCATTTTTCTAATTCTTAAAATAGGGATAATACTACTTCGTGGAACTAGTGGGAAAATGAAATGAAAAACTAGAGCTGAAAGCCCTTTATACATTTAAATTATGTTGAGAGTAGAAGTTCCATCCTTCTCATGCTTTCTCTGACTCTCCATAGCTGACCATATAAGTTAAAACCCGACATTCAGTCAGGCTGCAGTCCACCTCCACTCCTCTCTCCTGGCACGGATCCTTGGTGCCCACATCAGAGATTCTGATTCTGTGATTTGGAGTGGGGCTTAGGTATTGATGTTTTATTTATTTATTTATTTATTTTTGATGGAGCATCGCTCTGTCGCCCAGGCTGGAGTACAGTGGCGCAATCTGGGCTCACTGCAACCTCTGCCTCCCAGGTTCAAACGATTGTCTTGCCTTAGCCTCCCAAGTAGCTGGGACTACAGGTGCGTTCCACCACGCCCAGCTCAGTTTTTATATTTTTAGTAGAGATGGGGTTTCACCATGTTGGCCAGGATGGTCTCAAACTCCAGACCTCATGATCCACCAGGCTCAGCCTCCCAAAGTGCTGGGATTACAGGCGTGAGCCACCGTGCCCAGCCACGTATCAGTATTTTTAAAAATTCAGCAATTTTGGTGTGCAGCCAAGGTTGAGAACCACCACTATAGCTCTTGACCTGCACTTGCTCTCTTAAATCTTACCAAGGGTAGCCCTGCCCGATCCAGAAACCCTTCCCTTCTGTATTGGTCTGTGTACTTTTGTTAGGTTTCTGTGATTGTAGAGTCATACATAGTGATAGTTTTCAGATGTATATTGCTGCTTTATTTTCATAGTAAAGTATGAATTTTGATGAACAAGGAACTGTTTTAATGTTTGTTGCAAGCCTACAGTGTCCATGTGCTGTCCATGAGCTCTGCTGTGTGCCGGGAAGGGGGACAGAAATGGCCATGGCCTCCAGGAGCTTATTGTTTAGAGGAAGCAACAGACGTGTAAATGATCGAGTACAGTGAAATGTTGGAACTGCTGACAGTTATCTACGGGAACAGTGTGGGCAAAGAAAAGGCAGTAGTCCTTTCTACCTGAAAGGTGTGTTTGGGACAGCATGAGGCCATGAAATGCTTGAGAGATTGCTTAGGTGAGCCCTGCAGACAAGCAGGCACTGGGCAAGCCTGGCATCCCTGGCATGCTGGGGCAAGAAAGCAGTCAGATTGTCTGCATAGGGATGCGTGGTAAAGAATGCCCACCGGCCCATCCTCCACCGTATGCCTAACATTATTTTCTTGTAATGAACTAGAATAAATGTTTGTGGTTACATGGAATTGGAATGCTGTTGTATAAAAACATTTACAAATAAGAATCCCTCATCCTGCTTACTGAGAATTTAGTATTTAGTAGGTTAGTCTTTTTAAAATAGTTAACCGCAGCCTGCATTATGAGGATGGCATGCCAGCATAAGGAAGTTAGCATCATCTTAGAGTGACCACAGAAGCTGCATCTGTCCGTGTGACTGGACACTGTATGTGTCCAGATCTCTGCAGGGAAGAGTCATGTCATACTTTAACGGAAGAGTCATGTCCTACTTTAGAGTATGACTGAGTCGCAGTCAGAGGGAAGTGTTTCCTCTGTGGCGTAGAACATGGACTGTTTGGAGGGCACTGGAGAGAACCAAAAGAGTGACAAGTTTTGAGCGCTTGTCATTTGAGAAACGGGAAAGAAAATGCGGCGTAATTACCTGTCTTTGGGGAGAGGAGTAGGATTGCTTTTGTTCCTCCAAGTAGGCAGAAACAGAAACACTGGGCAGCTGGTACAGAGAGACGGGTTTTGAGAGGCAGTACTCTGCCAGCAGCGCCGTCTAGCCAGCTGTCTGCCCGAGTCCGGGGGTCCTAGTGCCTTCTGCAGGATTACCCTATAGGAGGCATTTCCAGGGTGCTGATGTGGACTCATGCCAGAGGTGACAGTGTCAGCCATCCATGGTGGAAACACAAAAATAAGGACACTTAGTGAGCTTGGCCCAAGCTATTACATTGTCATCTCTGAGGTTATATTTGCCACACCTTTACCGTTGAATGTCCTTTTATCAAAATAGCAGTCATTGTTTAAGTGATATCTCTATGTTAAACCTTACATTTTTTTCTTTTTAATTTTATCGCTGTGTGAAATCCTAAAGTCTTGAAACTCCTGAGCTAGCTGACTTTTAATATCTGGGATCTCTTTTATCTCTAAATGATTACGATTCCTGACTTTTTTTTGATATAAACACTCAACTGCCGTTAAGAGTGCTCATGATAGGGAATAGATGCTGGGTTTGTTCATGTTTAAATACTGAGGTTCAAGTACCTGTCAGAAGGAGTTTATTATAAAAATTGCTGAAGGCAGATGTTAATTCTTCTCTACAGCATAGTTTTTCTGTTAAAAATTCTAACTCCATTTGAAGGTAAAATGGTATTAGAAAGGATCAAAGTTCCTTTACTGCTAATATCGTTAACATAGGTTTAACAGTCCAAACTTTGGAGTCACTAGGCAAACCTGAATTAGTGAATTCAGTCCCCATTTTATGACCCAAGGCTGGTTACTAACCTCTCAGAGCCTCTGTTGACTTCTCTGTAAAACATGGATAATACTGCTTTACAAGACATTGTGATGACTAAGTTAAATACTCTTCGCAACGGTTTAGCAAAGAGCTTCATTCATAGTAAGTTCTTAATAAACGAGAGCTATTATTACCACTTGCTAGAATTTTTTTTTTTTTTTTGAGATGGAGTCTTGCTCTGTTGCCCAGGCTGGAGTGCAGTGGCATGATCTCGGCTCACTGCAAGCTCCACCTCCTGGGTTCACGCCATTCTCCTGCCTCAGCCTCCTGAGTAGCTGGGACTACAGGCGCCCGCCACCATGCCTGGCTAATTTTTTTTTTTTTTTTGTATTTTTAGTAGAGACGGGGTTTCACCATGTTAGCCAGGATGGTCTCGATCTCCTGATCTCATGATCCACCTGCCTCAGCCTCCCAAAGTGCTGGGATTACGGGCATGAGCCACTGCGCCCGGCCTACTTGCTAGAATTTTTATGGACACAACTATAGGTGATTTCTAAGACATGGTCTGTGCACCTAAGATATCCTTAGTACTAGAATATATCAAAAGTTTACCAAAAATAAAAATATTGACTAAAGCTCTAATAATCTGGGCCTGAGTTTGCTGTGTAACCTGGAATAAATTATCTGAATGTACTATTGGATTTTTTGCATGGCCCATTCCATTAGTTTTATTTAATCTGCTTTTATATTATTTATCAGAAATATGCATTCCTGTATCAGGGAGAAAGATTGTTTTCATTATCTATTTCTAGTACAAAATAGGTAAAGAACACTTTAAAGATTTTTCTACCACTTAAAATATTAAATGGAAGATCATTTGATTATATTTCTTTTGAAAACAAGTAATCGTTATGCCATTTTTAAAAAGGAAAAATGCAACATTGCTAAGAATTAACCCAGAATGCATTTCATTCAGAATACATAGTTTACAAAATAACCGAAAAAAGAGGGCTCTAATTTAACAGTTCAGCAGATGGTGCTATTCCGATTATTATGCAACTGATCAGCTTTTCTGAAATTTGCAAGTGACTAATTTAAAACACTGGTGTATTATTTTTAACTCTCCAGTATGTGTTTCCTGAGTGGCAAAGTTACCGTCATATTGAATATTCAAAACACACTATTTCATTCATAGAAACTTGTGTTTCCTCAAGGTTTCCCCACAAGTAGAGGAGTTTAGATTCACAGCAACCAGTATTAATTTCTGGCCCCACCATGTAACTGAGACAACTCCTTTATTTATCTGAATACAATGGTAATTGTACAGTTTATCTGAATACAGTGTTAGTTGTATTATTATCTCAAGAAAATAGGTGGTAAAGGCCTAATTTGAAGTTCAGCAAATGTATATTGCTGTTGATATTTGTTTTATTGTTATTAGGAGCCATTCTATTAAAAGCTGGACATTTTCCAAAGTTTTGTCAAACTCTTTCTCTTTGGTTGTTGAAAATAAACTTGAGTTTTTTCGAAGCCACATTTATCATATTCTTAAATGTAATGTCTAACTCTGTTTCCCAGAATTTGATAGACATGATGAATCTTTCATGTTATATAGTCCGCAGATGGCATTTTTAATACTTGTGAATTCTAGTTTTCATTCACAAGTCAATATCAAACTCATCTTCAAATCTTAACCATGAATCTTAATCTTTGCATTTTATTTAAAATGCAATTTGCAAATTAAAAAAAGCCCCGTGTGTTAGTTGGCTAGTATTCATTCTCGTTTTTCACTTATCTTGTGCATGACACCTGCTCATTTTTACCGCTGGGTATATTACCTCATTTCAGTAGGTTTTCCTTTTTTTTCTTTTTCTTTTTTTTGCCACAGAACACTGTACAAAATTAAAATGAGGAAAATAAAGGTTGAGACTATTAACTTAATTACAGCAATGGAAGATTTTCCAAACCTAATTCGAAACATTAGCAATTAGCTTTTTAAATATCTGAGGCATTTGCAGTTTTAATTTCGCTGTACTTTAGGTAATTTAATATTGATTTCCTGTTGATTAGTACATAGAAATCCATCTGATGATCTCCGTTTCAGTGTTATTCTTCGCAAAGCCTTGCTAGTTTCAGAAATTAGGAACACAATGGCCCTGCACCTGAGAGGCTGCTGTGATTCTCCTGATTTGCCCTTTTGCACAAAGGTAAAATTGAGAAACCTGTCAGAAAGAACCAAGTGTACTTGCCAGAGGAAGTACTTTTTGGAAATGTCTTCCCTTCTTTATGAACAGAAGTATGTTTTTTAGAAAGAAACAATACTGAAATAAGGACGTATGGTGCTTTTGTTTGTTTTAAGTGATGTTTTAAATACATGGCCCAAATAAAATACATCAAGGCCTATTTAAAGTCCAGGCTTGGCGACCACCAAAGCAGCCTCCACAGGGTGCTGTTAAGAGGGAAGCACTGCATAGGGCCTGCCTGAACTAGGACACAGCCAAGGGCTCACATGGAGGACGGGGTGGAGACACATCTCGTGTACAGCAGGTGGCCAGGCACTCTGGCTGCTCTTCACGCTCTTGCCCATGGCTTCTTTTGAGTTGTGTGTAGCTCATCTTCATCTGGAATTTGAATTGGAACCTGGCTAAATGTGTCAGTTTTCCTTTTGAATTTATATAATTTAAAAAACCAAAAACTTTCATTATTGGTGTGTTTTTCTTTTCCTCTTTTTGCAGGCAGGTAACTTGCAGACTCACTTACGACGGCATTCTGGTGAAAAACCATACATCTGCGAGATCTGTGGAAAGAGGTCAGTGCTGGGCGTGTTCTTCCGTGTGGAAGGGAGCATGTCTAGTCTCAGTGTCTTTGGTAGTCAGTGTCTTCTGAAGTGGTGGCTCACAGATGAGCCACAGGTGGGCTCACCCTGCCACTGCAGAACACAGGTAAATTCAAACCTTCTGGCTTTGCATGTGACACACGAGAGAATAATAAAAAGAAAAGTTAATTCAAAGAAAGAAAAGCTGGGACAGGAGTCCCAAAAAGGAAATGGGGTTTTAAATGCAACAAAATTATTTTATACTAATATTTTCATTCATTCTAAAAATGTCTCTGAAAATATAATAGATTAATGCCCCCAAGGAGGTGACTGTCTAGTAGGGGAAATGGGACTTGGCAGCTGAGTGACTAGATTTCAGGAGAGAAGGAGGTGGTGGAAGGTGCCACAAGCCGTGGGTCTGTAACAGCCTGTGAGAGCTCCACCCCAGGGAGGAGGAAACTAAGTCTTGATGGGTGGGTAGGATTTTGACCTGGCAAAAGAGAATCTGACTCTTGACGTGGAATAAAGTGTGTGGCAGCTCGATTCCTCTGCAGCGTGGTATAAATGAGGAGCTCTTCCCCTGCTGTGTGTGCAGGCTGGCACCCTCGACCCTCCTTCCTGTCCTTGGGCTGTACGTCAATCAGGCCACGTACTCCATCATCTGGTGGTTGTGCCAGGACAACAGGCATCAGCCAGGACTATGCCAGTCACGAAGCTCTGTACGCACCTTGGTTACGTAGCTTTTATATTCATTTATTTAATCATTCATTGATTCAACATTTTTTAGACACCTGCTGTATGCCAAGTGCTATATGGGTCCATAAAAATAAACAGTACAGAGTCTCTGCCTGTCACAGATTCATACCGAAGTGCCTTGAGGCAAGAGATAGTCACGGGGTCAGTTAGAAGTCAGTGTCCTCATATTCAGTCTCAGCACATGCTGGGGAAAGCCGAGGAGGAAGCGACTCTCGATTCAGTTTCAGGAAAACCATTTCTCTGCCAATGGTAGAAAACAAACAAAAGCTGCGGCGGGCAGCGCATCTCCCTTTCTGCTGTAGCTACCTGAACGCTGAAAGTCAAGTTCAGGGCCCAGTGTCATCTGCCGCTCCTTCCAGATGCCTGGGAGCATAGCCCTCCTGCTGCCTCTGATGGCATCACTTCACTGTTGGCCCCTGCATGTCTTGTTTTGCATGGTGTTTGAAATCTGAACTTTCTGAATTCCATTTCAAAGTGAGGCATGTGTTTATTTTTTATTTATTTATTTTTTTGAGACAGAGTTTTTGCTCTTTTGCCCAGGCTGTAGTGAAGTGGCTGAATCTCGGCTCACTGCAACCTCCACCCCCTGGGTTCAAGCGATTCTCCTGCCTCTGCCTCCCAAGTAGCTGGGATTGTAGGCATGTGCCACCATACCCGGTTAATTTTTGTATTTTTAGTAGAGACGGGGTTTCGCCATGCTGGCCAGGCCAGTCTCAAACTCCTGACCTCAGGTGATACACCCGCCTCTGCCTCCCAAAGTGCTAAGATTACAGACGTGAGCCACCGTGCCCAGCCAAGGCGTGTGTTTGAAACCAGACCTATATGCAGCGTCTTCCTTAGAATATAACATACTCTGCTATCAAGCGTAGTGGAAAGGAAAGAACATAGATTTCCACATCTGAGGGCTTGGGTTGGAATTATTGTCTAAGGCAAGTTAGTAACCGCCTCTGAACTTGGTTTTCCCATCTGGAAAGTGGAGGTGAAAATGCCTGCCTGGCAGTGTTGTGGAATGACTAGATGGGATAATGGTTGTTAAACATGTAACCGATCACCTGCACACAGCATCTGCTCAGTGAATGCTGGTTCCCTTTCTTCCATTAGTTCCCTTGTTCTCAATGTTAGGACTGATAGGCGTAAGTCTCTGTTGTGGCTCAGAAAGAGGAGAGCTTATTCTCTGGGGATATTCACAGTGGAGGGTGACAGCCATACCTCTTGGTCCCTGAGACTCTGAGCTCCTGTTTGCATTTTACTTTATAGTGAAAAGAGCGAGAGTCGCACCTGGCTAGACCAGGGCAGAACTCACTCTGGGCCCTCTCAAGGTCATCCTCCTTGGGTTGGCACCACCCAGCTAGGGTCTGTCCCGTGAGACCCCAGGAACCTTGGCAGGACTGCAAGGGTGGAAGGGGCATTTGGCTCTGAACTGGGGAGACTCCTTTTTCACTCTCTTTGTGGCCCCTAAGGTAGTGATGCTGAACCGTACGGTATCTGATCTTGTGCTCTGTAAAACTGAGGAAGAAAGTGTGATGAAATCAGGTAGAAAAAAATGCTTTAAAAACAAGACACTTGCATCATGTTCTGCTTTTCTTAAAAAAATAGAAAAGGGTTTTTTCCATGCACGTTTCAGATGAAACCAGTCCAGTTCACGTTCCTTTCTGCAGCAGTGTCAGGAGCAGGTATCTCCTCCCTCAGAGAGTTGCAGTTATAAAGACCCACAGTAATGTGGAAAGGCTCTTAATTGAATTTTCAAATTACATTCTAGGTTTGCAGCCTCTGGCGACGTCCAGCGTCACATTATTATTCACTCAGGAGAAAAACCACACTTGTGTGACATCTGTGGTCGAGGTACAGCTGAGTGTTTTCCTATTCTTCTTGAAGATTTCTGATTAAAATGTTCTCTGTCCTTCAGCTTAACACCTGTTATGGTCTCTCTAGGGTTTAGTAACTTCAGTAATTTGAAGGAGCACAAAAAGACACACACGGCTGATAAAGTCTTCACCTGTGATGAGTGTGGAAAGTCTTTTAATATGCAAAGGAAGTTAGTAAAGCACAGAATTCGGCACACGGGGGAGCGGCCTTACAGCTGCTCTGCCTGCGGTGAGTTTGGGTTTCTGGCTGTCCCCTAGTCATCTGTGTGTGGGAAGGGCTTTGTCCCCCAGCCCTCATTAGCTGAGTGCGTGTCTGGGATGAGCCCTTTGTTTCCTCCTGTTTTTTTATTGCCTCACATGATCTCTCATTCATTCCTGCATTTGTGTGTCAGGCATTTGCTGCTTGTCTTTGAGGTATTAGGAACTGTCCTAAACGCTCCGAATACAAAGATGACTAAGACAGAGTCCCAGGTGCTGAGGGCTCTTGGTCCAGATGGGAAGAGGGAGGGTGGCTGGGAAAGTAGGGGACAGCAGGACGTGTGGCTGCACATGAAGGAGAGCAGCGGTCCCGCCAGAGCATTAGGAGCACGTGCTGGGATCAGAGGGTCGGCTTCTATAGATCACAAACTTCAGAGCAGACTTTATTCTCGTGGGCACTTGATGCTTCGTTTGAGAGCGGAAAGCTGGCAGCCCTCGGTTTCAGGGCACCTGACTGCTCCGATGAGGACACGGAGGCTCAGGGTAAGGTAGCTCATGACCTGTGATCACAGCGTTGGAGCCAGGATTCCTATACACATGGCCTCTAAAGAGGGAGAGTGTGTACCCGTGACAAGTAATTGAGATGCCTATTGAATCATGGGCAAAACTATGAGTGACAGCAACTTTTATGAACTGTTTAGACCAAATAAGAAATGCACAGAGTCCAGCTGTAGGGAGCCTGGATTCAGGGCACCATTCAGAGAGGCACATTCTAATTGTAATTGGAATCTGAAACCAGCAGGACTTCTGCATATAACCAGAGGAAACTCGGTTTTTGTCCCTGCATTTAAATTGTACACGGATCTTCTGGATACAGATTTAGGCAACTCCATGACCATTCTGATCACTCTTAGAAAGTGAAGTTTCATCACTTTAAATCACTAACGTAGGAGCCTACTGTGGTGGCGTTCGCCTGTAATCTTAGCTACTTGGGAGGTTGAAGCTGGAGGATCTCTTGAGCCCAGGAGGCCGAGGCTGCAGTGAGCCGAGATTGCACCACTGCCTGGGTGACAGCGAGAGCTTCATCTCAAAGCATCAGTAGTGTAGTCTCAAATCACTAATTTAAAATGTCAGTTCCAAATAATTATCACAACTGTGAACTTGATTTAATGGTAAATTTTGTCCTCCTTCCCCAGCTAGGACTTGCTGCTGCTCAGACCCTGCAGTGGAGGAAGTGGGGCCTTCCGTCCCCTCTGCCCCACTTTGGGTTCTGCCCTTTCCCTGCCTCACTAACCCTGGTTTCACACTCTGATGAGGTCAGCTTCTGGGGGATGGGGGAGCGCTGAAGAGAGGAGGAATGTTATGTGACAGGGTCAGTTTTTTAACAGCTTTGAGACAATATTCCCATACCATAAAATTTACCAATTTAAAGTGAACAATTCATTGGTTTTTGGTAGATTCACAAAGTTGTATAATTCTCAACACAATCTAATTTTAGAACATTTTCATCACCCCAGAAGGAAGCCTTATACCCATTAGCAACCCCCTTCCCAGCCCTGGCCCCTGGCTGCCACTCATCTAGGTTCTGTCTCTGTGGACTTGCCCGTTCTAGACATTTACTATGCATGGACTCATACAACACGGGGTATTTTGTAGTCGACTTCTTGCACTAAGCAAATCAGCTATGAACATCCGTGTACCAAGGCTTGTGTGGGGGTGTGTTTCCATTTTCTTGGATATATAGACAGTTCTCTTTTAAGAGGGTTTCACATGCTGAGCTTCTCGGTGTTTCAAACTGCTCGCAGGCTCGTGTGCTCTCGCTGTCTTATGCGTGCTGGGCTTCGTAGTTCTCAAGTCTGCCTTCCCTGTCTTCCCCCAGCATTTCACTGCGCTTTCCGAGATGCAGGCCTGCACTGCACAGCCATGCATTTCCGTTCAGCTGGCGTCTTTCCTGGCTCTCTGGTTTTAGTGGCAGCTTCCTATAGGGAGGCTTCGTTGGGGTTTCACTGCTCTCCGGGCAGCCTCCCCTGCTGATTGAGAGCAGCTCCAGCATGCCTCTGTACAGTGGGTGGCAGCCCTCAGGCCTGTATTCAGGGGCCTGCAGGCCCACAGCAGTGTGGCGCCCACCCGCCTGTCCCCTACTAGACCTACTGTGCAGGAGGTGGGCGTCATTCCCCTGTGCCCTCCTCGCGATGGGACACAGGTGGAGCCAAGCTCCTCTCGACTCGAAAGATGAAGGACAGGCACCCATATTCCTCTTTCTTGGTGGAAACTCTGTCATGACTAAAAATTTTACATATTAAGGATGCTAAAAGTGGTTGTCCCATCTTGTTCAGTAATTCAACTATTGAGAATTTATCTTGAAGAAATGATGTAAAGAAAGATTAAAAACTTGGCCAGGTGTGGTGGCTCACGCCTGTAATCCCAACACTTTGGGAGGCCGAGGCAGGTGGATCACTTGACGTCAGGAGTTTGAGACCAGCCTGGCCGACATGGCGAAACCCCGTCTCTACTAAAAATACCAAAATTAGCTGGGCATGGTGGTGTGTTCCAGCTACTCAGGAGGCTGAGGCACAAGAATTAACTTGAACCCGGGAGACGGAGGTTGCAGTGAGCCGAGATCGTGCCACTGCATTCCAGCCTGGGCAACAAAGTGAGACTCCATCTCAAAAACAAAAACAAAAAAACAAAAAAGATAAAAACTTTATGCTAGAGCAGCAAACAGTTGGAAGCAGCCACCGTGTGCAGCAGTGAAGCTTCTAATTCACAAAATTCCGCATGTCTGAGTAAAGTGTGTGTTATAAGGACAACACAGAAACTAAATATGCTTTCACTCTAGTGTTCTGTGAAGGAGCCTGAGCCTTACATTGTGGACAAAACACAGACATGAAAGCACAAAGGCAAAGGTCACTGTGATGTGTTGTTGCAGTGTTTTGGTTTTTGTTTTTTTTAATCTTTTTTTTTTTTTTTTTTGAGATGGGTTCTTTGTTGCTCATGCTGCAGTGCAGTGGTGCGATCACAGCTCACTGCAGCCTCGACCTCCTGGACACAGGCAGTCCTCTCGCCTCAGTCTTCCAAATACTGGGACCACAGGCATGCACCACCACACCCAGCTAATTTTTATTTTATTTTTTGTAGAGACAGGGTCTCACTATGTTGCCTAGGCTGGTCTTGAACTCCTGAGCTCAAGCAATCCTCCCTCCTTAGACTCCCAAAGTGCTGGAACTACAGGTGTGAGCCACCTCACCTGGCCTACAGTATTTTTTATGTGGAAAATGTGCCCAAAGTTTAGGCATGTAAGCTCACATCCAGTTTGATTATTCAAAGGCTTTAAAAAAAAAATAGCCTAGCCATTGCTTGACTGGAGCTAGATAGCTGAGAATTCAGATGTAAAGTGAAAAGTTCTAAATATTTGTCCATGTGAGTTGTGCAGCTCATTCTTGGCTAGTCTGTGGCCTTTGTAAGGTTATGTGCTGAGTTCCTTCTCATCTTACCTATTCCAGTGGTGGAGCTAGATCCCTTACCTTTACCATATTCACAGAGAAAGAAAATAG
Source organism: Homo sapiens (assembly GCF_000001405.40). Lineage (NCBI taxonomy): Eukaryota > Metazoa > Chordata > Mammalia > Primates > Hominidae > Homo > Homo sapiens. The sequence goes on from NC_000004.12 coordinate 4,319,494, forward strand.
AACCTGGACAGGAATGCATAACATTTTGTTAAAAGCTGAATACAGGGCCAGGCGCCATGGCTCATGCCTGTAACCCCAGCACTTTGGGAGGCTGAGATGAGCTGATCACTTAAGGCCAGGAGTTCAAGACTAGCTAGGCCAACATGGCAAAACCCCATCTCTACAAAAAATATAAAAATTAGCCTGGTGTGTTGGCACACCTTGTAAATCCCAGCTACTCGGGAGGCTGTGACATGAGAATCGCTTGAACCCAGGAGGTGGAGGTTGCTGTGATCCGAGATTGCACCTCACTCCAGCCTGGGCGCCTCACTCCCAGCACTTTGGGAGGCTGAGGTGGGCAGATCACTTGAGGTCAGGAGTTCAAGACCAGCCTGGCCAACATGGTGAAATGCCATTTCTACTAAAAATATTAATACAAAAATTAGCCTGGCGTGGTGTCAGGCATCTGTAATCCCAGCCACTCAGGAGGCTGAGGCAGGAGAACCACCTGAACCTCGGAGGCAGAGGTTGCACTGAGCCGAGACAATGCCACTTCACTCCAGCCTGGGCGATTTTTTTCTTTTTTTCGAGACAAACACCCGAATACACAAACACCTTTAGAAAAGATGTTTCTAAATTATAGATTGGCTGTGTTAGATTTATGAACATGTAGTGAAACTGATGAGGAGAGCTGTGGTTTCTCAGCATGGGCTTGGCAGGTGCCTACGGCACCCATGTGCAGGGAGACTCAGTGAGAATCGAAGGACTGACACTGAGATACTCAAAACCCAAAGGCTGTCTGCTGGAGGGGTCCGCAGCTGGAGAAGCACCTCCCACAGGAATGGAAAGCCTTCCAGAGTGAGCAGAAGCTGTGAGGTGACCCCCTCTCCTCAGATCAGGGTTGTTCAGTGTCTTGGGAGGGGAGGGGAGAATCCTTCCAGAATGGCCACTGTAAAAGCATCTTTTTCCAGCCTGGGCATCATAGCAAGACCCTGTCTCTACAAAATGTATATGTATATTAGCCAGGCGTGGTGTCATGCGCCTGTCGTCCCAGCTACTTGAGAGGCTGAGGAAGAAGGATTGTTTGAGGCTAGGAGTTCACGACCAGCCTGGGCCACATAGTGAGACCCTGTTTAAGTAAATAAATAACTGTTTTTCTTTTTCCAGGGAAATGTTTTGGGGGATCAGGTGACCTCCGCAGGCATGTCCGCACTCACACTGGGGAGAAGCCGTACACATGTGAGATCTGTAACAAGTGCTTTACCCGCTCTGCGGTGCTCCGGCGGCACAAGAAGATGCACTGCAAAGCTGGTGACGAGAGCCCAGATGTGCTGGAGGAGCTCAGCCAAGCCATCGAGACCTCCGACCTCGAGAAATCTCAGAGCTCAGACTCTTTCTCCCAAGACACGTCTGTGACGCTGATGCCAGTGTCGGTTAAACTCCCTGTCCACCCAGTGGAAAATTCTGTGGCAGAATTTGATAGCCACTCTGGCGGCTCCTATTGTAAGTTACGGTCCATGATCCAACCTCATGGAGTTAGTGACCAGGAGAAGCTGAGTTTGGATCCTGGTAAACTTGCCAAGCCCCAGATGCAGCAGACACAGCCTCAGGCCTATGCTTACTCGGATGTGGACACCCCAGCCGGTGGCGAACCACTGCAGGCCGATGGCATGGCCATGATCCGTTCCTCTCTGGCTGCTTTGGACAACCACGGCGGTGACCCCCTGGGCAGTCGAGCATCTTCCACCACTTATAGGAACTCAGAGGGTCAGTTTTTCTCCAGCATGACTCTCTGGGGGCTAGCGATGAAGACGCTGCAGAATGAAAACGAGTTAGACCAGTGATGTACCGCGCTTCTCCACGGTAGAGGCGTGTTCTCAGTTTAGCAGGCTGGTGTTAAGGCTGTAGGAGGACCCAGTTTCCCCATGACAGTGCCTTCTAACTAGCCAGAGAATAGGTAGCTTCCCTCCTGATGATGGCTCATAATCTGAAGCATCTTGAGCTGGGGGTGTGAGGGGGAGGGCCTGCTGGCTCACCGTGAGGCAGCCGCGGGAGGGAGCGCTGACGTCACAGAAGCGAAGGCTTGATGCTGTCTCAGCAGCCTCAGCTGTGGGGGGGAAGCGCGTGTGCATCGTGTCAACTACTGTACATGTTGGTCATGTGAAAGGAATTATATATGTATAGTATTACAAGTATTTTTGCATTTTTACAAGATTGAAATTTGTAGCATTTTGTATTATTTACACAGAATTTATTTGTATATGAAACTCATACCATAATTTAATTCGAATAAATGAAACTTTTCTATATATTATATGTTTCCTCTAGCATTTTTATTAATCTAAAGACTATAGGGGTATAAAAATAAATAGCAGCGAGGACTCACTCTGCAAGGATAAGAACCTCATTGGTCAGTCTCCCTCCTGGTACAGCGGGTTTCTCAGTGGTCAGAACTGCCTGACTCCTGGCTGCCACTTACTGGCAAGGTCATGGGTGAGCTGTTCACCCTCTCAGGATCTTCTCTGGAGTTTCTTTTTTGCAGTATGAGAGGAACATCTTCCAGTATTTTCACAAGGCTTGTCTGATCTGAGCACTCACTTGAAAATACCTGCCCGGCGCCTGGCCCTTGACAGGGCGTTCTAAATATTTACTTCCCCTTCCCAGCGGGCTTGACAGCCTCTGCAGGAAGGAGATGTGCCCGTGGCTCTGTCGCTGGAATATCAAGGTGAGACTGGGGATGTGGCACGTCACAGGTGATCTGCTTATAGCACTGCCTGCACGGAAGACTGGAGAGCACCCTACACGGAGGACTGTGTGGAGAGCACCCTCGAATACTCGTGAGCAGCTCTAACTCAGAAGTACAAGATACTCAACGAGAGACCAGTGAGGAGGAGAGGATTTTCATAGAAAAACAGCACAGTTGCAGAGTAGGGCATCAGCTCTGAAGTCCATTACAGGTGCATTTCGTGTTTTCCCATCCATCAGCTGCACTACGCTTCTGCCAGGCTGGCTCAGCGAGCATCTGTTGTCCCCATTGCACACATGGAGTGAACTTGGAACACAATGGCCGCACGTGAGTGCAGATCTTCCTCCTTCCTCCCCATGTCCTCTCCTCTCATGGCCTCCTCTGGCTCCTCCCTCATCCCAACTCGTGTAGCTCTTCAGCCTCCCAGCACCTACAGTGCATCCATCCCCTTAGCTGTCCCTGTGGACCCTCCTTGGCCATGGTTCACCCACCAACCCCTTTATCCATTCCACCTGGTGAACCTCCAGCACTACACACAGGGAGCCCAGCCAGGCTGGTGAGAAACAGCCATTCTCTAGTTTCTACAGCTCTCCTGAGCCCCCGCCGTATCCTACAATCCCCTCTCCTTGATCCAGGCGACGTGCTGCCCTAGGCACTTGTGTCACATCTTCTCAGACCTCTGCAGCTCGCCTGTCCTCCTCCTTATGGCCTTGCTTCCTATTTCTCTCAGAACCTAGAAGCAAATAGGGGCCAGGCGTGGTGGCTCACACCTGTAATCTCAACACGTTGGGAGGCTGAGGCAGGTGGGTCACTTGAGGTCAGGAGTTCGAGACCAGCCTGGCCAACATGGTGAAACCTCATCTCTACTAAAAATACAAAAATTAGGTATACTGCCACATGCCTGTAGTCCCAGCTACTCAGGAGGCTGAGGCACGAGAATCGCTTGAACCTGGGAAGCGGAGGTTGCAGTGAGATCGCACCTCTGCACTCCAGCCTGGGCAACCGAGCAAGGCTGTCTCAAAAAAAAAAAAAAAAAAAAAGGAAAAGAAAAAAGAAACAAATAGGAAAGAACATTCCTCAAGCTCCCATAACACCTCCCTACCTCCCCACATCTGTGCCCGTGGACTCTGCACTTTCCCATCTAAAACCAACCTGCCCCCAACCCCTTGATTTCCCACCTCTGCTTTTTCTCACTAAGTCTTATTATCACCATCTGACCTACTATATAATCTTCCCCTATTACGATGTAACCTCTTCTTTTTTTTTTTTTAAATAGATACAGAGTCTCACTATGTTGCCCAGGCTGGTCTCAAACTCCTGAGCTCAAGTAATCCTCCCGCTTAGGCCTCCCAAAGTGCTAGGATTACGGGCATGAGCCACCGAGCCTGGCCAGGATATAAACTCTTTGTGTCTCTTTTGTTCACTGCTTTATCCTCAGTGCCCAGAACAGTGCCTGACCCTAAATGCTCAGTAACAAATAGTCAAATGAATGTCTTTGGAATACTTTTTAGTCAAAATACTGGACCTCCTAGATTGATTGATTTTTTTCTCCTGAACCTTGTTCATCAGACTCCACTGAAATACTTTTTGCCCAGGTGGCCCACGACCTCCCCATTGCTAAACCGAGTGAGAATTCTCAGTCCCCTTCCTAATGACTCTGAGGCAGGATATGACACGTCGGCAGCAAGTGCATTCCTTTTTTCTCCTTGAAACAACAACCAAGAGGACCACTCCTGCTAGGATTCCCCTTCATGCACGGGTGGCTCTGTCTTGGACTCCTTCCCCTACCCCAACACACATCTTAAAGTTGGGGTGCCCCAACTTTAAGAACACAGGCCCTGGACCTCCTCTCCGGCCTTGGCTCTGTCCCTAGGCCATCTCCTCAATGACAGAGCAGGAGCACTGTCATCTTGGACAAACAACTCCAAAAGTTCCAGCTCCCTTTCTAACCTCATGCGTTTCAAGGAAATGCAGCCAGGAAGAGCAGACAATGAAACACAGATAAGACAGCTTGAGCACAGAGGGAGGAGGGAAAGTCTCTTCGTAACCACCAAACTTCACCCTCATACAATGGGCCCCAGTAAAACAGTGGGCCCTAATAAGCACATTTCTTTCCCTTTAGGCATGCTGAGATAGGGAAGCTAAAAGCAAACTCGGGTGGTATGCCTGCAGCTGCAGGAAGATGTGTGGGAACAGATGCAAAAACTCTCCCTCCCAGATAAGCAAGACAAAGAGACACAGAAACATTCCGAGCCTGTGATAAGCTCTCCCACCCTGAACCCTTAAATACTCTTATTTTGTAAGAGAGAGGGCCTCTGACCTAAGTCGGCCAGAAGCCCCTCTCAGGTTTATTTTCCAAAATAACCTATCTTTGACTGTTGAGTGGCTTTTCATGTTTCTTTCCTCTTTATTTAACTCTTACACTCACATCTCATGACCTTAAATACTGTCTGCCCATGACTCCTCCCAAAACTCTGGATTCCTGTCCTGAGCTGCCTACCAGCGTCTTCACAGACACCCCAGACTAAGAGCTTTCAAGACCAAGCTCCTTGTCTTCTCAATTCATGGCCACCTTATTAAATGGCAATCCTGTTCCTCCAGGATTTTACTCAGACTAAAAACCTTAAGAGTTATCTTACTTCATCAGTATAAGTATGGAGGTGCCTCCTGTATGCCAGGTGCTGGATTTGCCAAAGGCTCAGAAAACAAGACCCCTAGGCCAAGTCACATTTTTGAATAAATCTGCTTGATGAGGACAATAATTTGCTCTTGTAGAATAAAACTTTAGGGAATAGCATTAAAACCAAAGCTCTCAGCTGGGCTCAATGGCTCATGCCTGTAATTCCAGCACTTTGGGAGGCTGAGGTGGGTAGATGTCAAGAGTTCAAGACCAGCCTGGCCAACATGGTGAAACCCCATCTCTACTAAAAATACAAAAATCAGCTGGGTGTGGTGGCAGGTGCCTGTGATCCCAGCTACTCAGGAGGCTGAGACAGGAGAATCGCTTGAACCAGGAGGCGGAGGTTGCAGTGAGCTGAGATAGTGCCACTGCGCCCCAGCCTGGGCAACAGAATGAGGCTCTGTCTCCAAAAACAAACAAACCAAAACCCCAAAGCCCTTTTCATTCACATTTCCTGTCTCTTCCTTTTCTGTTCTTGTTACCCTGGCCCCAAAGCCTTATCCTAAAGAAAGAAAATCTCAGAAGAGGTGAAAAGGCTTGCATATGCATGAGTGCAAACTTGGACAGCAAATTATCTGACAGCGGACCAGACCTTGACCTTGTGCTGTAGACACAGCATGGGCCATCCACAGCAAGAATAACAGTGTGTGTGTGCGTGTGTGTTCCCGCATGTGTGCACACACCTTTTATCCCAGTCAGGACACCAGGACTGTGTTCTTGGCTCCATCGCTAGCTGACTGTGCGACAAATGCCCTCTTCTCACTGGTCTTCAGTGTCCTGACATGCAATGGCTACAGAATTTCCATTTTAGAGCTCTATGATTTTCTAAGAATGGCCCATGGCTAGGTTTCTGTAGAACCTTCCAGCGTCAAGACCTGGCTTCCATTACCAAGTTGGAAGCAGAGGCCAAGAGGCTGGGCAGATCATCAGAAAACCCCCAGCATCTCAAAATGTCTGAGTGGAAAGGGACCTTAGCAACTGTACCCTATTCCATGGGCTTCAACCTTTTGTGACTCAGCTGGAAGACTTGTTGACAATGCAGATGTTTGGAAATGATTCTATAGGTTGGGGCAAGGCCTAGGAATCTGCAGTTAACTGGTTTTCTAGATGATTCTGAGGCAGGGAGTGCAAGGACAGTACTTGAAGGCATGCTGATCTAGTGTGAATCCCGCATTGTACAGACACCCTGAAATGTGAAGTGACTTGCTGGATAATAACAGTAGCTAGGACATATTGTGTCTATCATGTGCCAGCACAATGGTAAACGCTCTGCAAGTCAACTCAAGCTTCATAAGAGCCCTGTAAGGTGTATCTCATAATTACCCCACGGACAGTTGGGGAAAGTGACTCCCTGAGAGGTCAAGGAACTTGCCCAATACCACCTAGCCAGGAGAGTTGGGTCCCAAAGTTCCAGGATGACCTGGTGGCAAGCCCCAAGCCAGGATCAGATGCAGCCTGGAATGGAGCGCAGGGTTCACCTGCCGGGTTGTGATGGATCTGGAGAGACACCTACTGCTATTGTATTCATGATACTCATCACCCATCCTGCTCCAGGAGCATCTTGCATTCTTCCCTATTATTTTAACTACTTTTTGAGACAGGGTCTCACTTTGTTGCCCAGGCTGGAGTGCAGTGGTGATCACGGCTCATGGCAACCTCAACCTCCCATGCTCATGTGATCTTCCCACCTCAGCCTCCCAAATAGTCTGGGACCACAGGGAAGTACCACCATGCCTGACTAAATTTTTTTTTTTACTTTTTGTAGAGATGGAGTCTCACTATGTTGCCCAGGCTGGTCTGGAACTCCTGGCCTCAAGTGATCCTCCCACCTCAATTTCCCGAGTATCTGGGACCACAGGCATGCACCACCATGGCCGGCTAATTTTTAAATTTTTTTTTGTAGAGACGGGGTCTCACTATGTTGCCCAGGCTGATCTCAAACACCTCAACTCGAGAAATTCTCACACCTCGGCCTCCCAAAGTGCTGGGATTACAGGCGTGAGCCACAGTGCCCAGCCACTTCTTTTTTCTTAAATTACTCAAGTAATAATACATGGACAACAGGAAAATATATCAGAAAATACAAAGAAGTAAAAAGGAAAAAAGGCCTTCATGCATCGCATGCGTTCTCTCGTGAAGTCCCTTGACAATCCGATACGGCGGCACACTGTTCACATCTCAGTTTATTTCCTATCAGACATTTCCCTCTGCAATCAGACAAAAAGAAATATAGACTCTTGAAGGTTTTTATTTTATTTTATTTTATTTTTTTGACAGAGTCTCACTCAGTCCCCCAGGCTGGAGGGCAGTGGCGCTATCTCGGCTCACTGCAAGCTCTGCCTCCCAGGTTCACGCCATTCTCCTGCCTCAGCCTCCCGAGTAGCTAGGACTACAGGCGCCCGCCACCACGCCTGGCTATTTTTCTTTTCTTTTTTCTTTTTTTTTTTTTCTGTATTTTTAGTAGAGACGGGGTTTCACAGTGTTAGCCAGGATGGTCTCGATCTCCTGACCTCGTGATCCGCCCGCCTCGGCCTCCAAAGTGCTGGGATTACAGGCGTGAGCCACCTCTCCCTGCGAACGCTTTTCAAAGTAGCTTATACCGTACAACCTACTTTGTAATCCGCCTTTCATGTAGCAAATTGCCATAAACACCTTCCCTTGTCAGAAAACGTGTGTTTCGACACTGACTCTGAATCCCTGTGAAACTCCGGTCACTTTCCTTCAGCTCAGGACGTCTGTGAAGGCCCCACATGGTTCTGAGCAGGCGGGAGGAACTCGGTCCAAGCCCCTCTTCCCTGAACTCCCAGGGCTACAGCGTTTCCTTCCAGCCGCCAGATGACAACATAGCCACTGGCAACAGGCAGAGACGTGGCCCGGCTGTTCCCCGTGTTAAGGCCACCAGCAGGGGCAGCATTTCTGCAACCCTGGGCAGCTGACCAAGCACACTGGGGACCTTCCCCTTCGACCCCCAGGGGCCCGTTGGAGAGTGGCACTCTCTCTTGCCCCGGTTTGGAGGCGCGTGTCCTGAGAAGGGAAGTCGGTCAAGTATTTTTCACCCTGTTGAGCTGACTGTGGCCTGGACTTTAGCGTTCAGGCTGGAGCTGCCCTAGGAGCAACCCAGCCCGGGGCCCCACCTCCCAGCTCCCAACAGGCGCCGCATCTGACAGCAGCGTGAACTTGGCCAAGCTCCCGGGGGGGCCTCGGTGACCACGCCCGGCCTATTATCCCATTTTTATGAAATGTCCAGAGCAGACAAATCCACAGAGACAGAAAGTAAGTTAGTGGTGACCAGGGTCTGGGGGAGAGGGAATGGGGAGTGACTGACTGCTCACTGGGTTTCTGTGAGGGTTGATGAAAAAGTTCTGGAACTAGAGACTGGTTGTTATGGACTGGACTGTTTCCCCCTCCCCCTAAAATTCACATGTTGAACCCCCTAATCCCAAAGGTGACTGTATTTGGAGCTGGGGCAGTTAAGGAAGTAATAAGGGTTAAATTAGGTCATAAGGATGGGGCCCTGACTCCATAGGATTGGAGTCCTTAGAAGAAAAGGAAGAGACACCAGATTCTCTGCCTCTCTCTGCACATGCGGAAAGACCATGTGGGAATACAGAGAGAAGGCTGGGCTGTCTGCAAGCCAGGAAGAGAGGCCTCACCAGAAATCAATGCTGCTGACACCTTTTTTTCCTTTTTTTTTTTAAAAAAACCAAAAAAAACAAAGAGACAAGGTCTTGCTCTGTCAACCAGGCTGGAGTACAGTGATGCACTCCTGGCTCACCATAGCCTCCCCCTAGGCTCAAGCAATCCTCCTGCCTCAGCCTCCTTAGTAAACTATAGGCACATGCCATCATGTCTGGCTAATTTTTATTTTTTGTAGAGATGGGATCTCACTTTGTTGCCCTGGCTGATCTCAAACTCTTGGCCTCAAGCGATTCTCCCTTCTGGGCCTCCTAAAGTACTGGGGTTACCAGTGTGAGCCACTACAGCCAGCCTGCTGGCACCTTAAACCTTAGACTTCCAACCTCCAGAACTGTGAGAAAAAAACCGTAATCCCCCCAGCGTGCGGTATCTTGTTATATCAGCCAGAGCAGACTAATACAGTGGGGGTGGTTGCACAACCTTGTACACACACTAAATGCCACTGAATTGTACACTTTAAAATGGTGAAAATAGTAAATTTCATGTTGTGTGTATTTTACCACAATAAATAATATTAACAGCCAAGTAGCCCTATCCCACAGGACTGCTGTGAGGATGACATGAGTTTAGCTGGTGTCCAGGTGGCTGCTTCCAGAGTCTACACCCACGGGCTGAAGCTGAATCCAGCTCCCCTGTAGAGCAGAGTTCAAAATGGAACACAGTCTCCTTCATGCCGCTTCTTGCCACAGAAGTGGGAGCAGCAACTACAGAGCCTGGTGTTCTGGGGCTGCTGCTTCAGTTCAGCTGCTTCTTTTTTTTTTTTTTTTTTTTGAGATGGAGTCTCATTCTGTCGCCCAGGCTGGAGCGCAGTGGTGCAATCTCAGCTCACTGCAACCTCCACTTCCTGGGTTCAAGCAATTCTCTCGCCTCAGCCTCCCGAGTAGCTGGGATTACAGGCGCGTGCTCCCACGCGAAGCTAATGAGTTCAGCTGCTTCTTAAATATACTCATGCTGGGGGGCCTGATTTTTGTTTGGAAAATTCTGTCACCATAAAGTATCAACTTAAATCGAGGTCCAATATTGTTGACCGGCACCTGGAGGGATAAGAGAGGCACCTCAGAGAAACCGGGCCGTGACCTTGGGCCTGCGACTCAGTTTTCCCCTCTGTGAAGTGGGAGAGTAATAACCATGCCCACCTTCTAGGGCTGCTGTGAGGAACAGAGGAAATGGCCCATTAAGGGCCAGATCACAGCCTGGGGTGGGAATAAATCCACAATTCACGTGGGCCTTCGTGGTTGTTCTCTCTTGCAGGTGCCAAGGGAACAGGATTCCCGTCCTTCTCATTCACTGCATCTCCTCCAATCCCAGCAAAGCACCAGGTACATCACAGGCACTCGGCAATTATTTAATGAATGGATGGTGGAGGTGGAGTTTGTATTAGACAAAATAATTTCATTATGCTTGTGTCAAAATGACCACTAATAATTTTACCTAAAATCCAAGCAAGTTAGTTACTGTTATGGGTTGCATTGCACCCCCTCCCAAGTTCACATCTTGGAGTCCAAACCTCCAGAACCTTAGAATGTGACCTTATTTAGAAATAGAGTCAGTGCAGATGTAATTAGTTCAGATAAGGTCCTGCTAGAGTGGGGAAGGCCCCTGATGTGACAGGTGTCCTTGTGAAAAGGAGAAATTGGGACATAGACATGCACTCAGGGGGAGCACCCTGTGAACACGAAGGCAGAGGTCAGGGTGAGGCCCCCACAGGCCAGGGAGCACCAAAGATTTCATCAAAGCACCTGAAGCCAGGAGAGGGCCTGGTGCAGATTCCCTGTCACAGCCTCAGAAGGAAGCAACCCTGCAGACACCTTGATCCTGGCCTTCCAGCCTCCAGAACTGTGAGAGCAGAAATGTCCTTTTTTTTTTTTTGAGATGAAGTCTTGCTCTGTCACCCAGGTTGGTGTGCAGTGGCGCGATCTCGGCTCACTGCAAGCTCCGCCTCCTGGGTTCACACCATTCTCATGCCTCAGCCTCCTAAGTAGCTGGGACCATAGGCGCCTACCACCACGCCTGGCTAATTTTTTGTATTTTTAGTAGAGACGAGGTTTCACCGTGTTAGCCAGGATGGTCTCGATCTCCTGACCTGGTGGTCTGCCTGCCTCGGCCTCCCAAAGTGCTGGGATTACAGGCATGAGCCACCGCGCCCGGCCAGAAATGTCTATTTTTAAGCCACTGAGCTCCTGATACTTTGCCACTGCAGCCCTAGCAAACTAATGAAGTTACTCAGGTTTGAAGGCTTCAAATGCAATATATCAAGACCGTACAATTTAATTCACCCTATTCCTGGGTCTGCAGACAGAGCCAGACATAGGTGTGGCTGCATCTTGTTCCTCACCACCTCCTGCAGGCCTTAAAGCTGGCCATGCCCGCCACCACCGCCTGGCCTGTTGTAACCCTGCACACATACCCAACCTCTGTCCAGCAGCAGACCCACCTGCCCAGGGGGCTGTCATCTCAGCACCCGTGGGGCAGTGGCCCTAGTGACCCCAATGCCTGGCACCAGTAGTGAGTGCTGAGTGGCCCAGTAAACGAAGCTGCCTGTAATTCTCAAATCCTAGAGTCCAGGGCAGTGAGGCCCATGACAGACAGGTCCTATTGCTAATGAAAGCTGGTCATTTTATTTTTCATCTCCCAGATTCTCAAATTACAAGGTAATTTTATCAGGGCCCTTTGCTGTAGACTGCCTGCCCACTGACTGTAAGAAAGAAGAGAAAGAGAGAGAGAGAACTCTCAGCTTTGAGGAGAGACACTTTTTCCTTCTGGCTGAGCTGGTGGTTCTGGCTGGGCTGCAGGCTTTTCAAACACGTATTCATGACATGTTACGTGGAAGCCCAGTCCACAGGACAGAAAAACTGGATGCTCCGGTTGACAGGAGGATGGGAACCCAGAGCCCTGTGTGCCTGGCCCCTTATCCTTTTATCCCCCTCCAGCCTTGAGCTCCAGGAGACCCCCAGAAACTTCGAAGGACAACAGTGAAACCACTGACCTCGGGGACAGAAGAGACTCCAGGAAATGACCAGTCAATCATGGGGGGTGCTGTCCTTCTGGCTTCCATATATCAACTCTGGACAGTTCCACTATTTTGTGTTTATAAACATGTGCCTTGCTCCAAGAAGACTATGGAAATACCAAGGGAAAATAGAGGTGCAGGATGAGATGAAGCCAGGGGGTATGGTTCCTACATGGAAATGCATAACATGCTGTTATGAGCTGAATGCCTATGTCCCCCAGAATTCATATGGTGAGGCTCTAGCTCCCAGTATGGCTGCATTTGGAGAAAGGCCCTCTAAGGAAGTAATTAAGGTTAAATGAGGGCATAAGGGTGGGACCCTGATCCGGTAGGATTCATGCCTTTGTAGGAAGAGACACCAGAGACCTCACTCACTCGCCTTCCATGAGCACATACCAAGGAAAGGCCATGTGAGGACATGGCGAGAAGGTGGCCATGTCCCACAAAAATTCATATGTTGAAGTCACAAACCCCAGGACCTCAGAATGTGACCCTGTTTGGAAATAGAGTCATCTATATATCATGAGTCAAGTTAAGATGAGGTCACACTGGAATAGGATGGACACCTAATCCAATATGGCTGGCATCCTTATTATTTTATTTATTTATTTATTGAGACAGGATCTTGCTCTGTCATCCAGGTTGGAGTGTAGTGGTGCGATCATAGCTCACTGCAACCTTGGCTCAAGTGATCCTCCCAACTTGGCCTCTTAAGTAGCTACGACTATAGGCACATGCCACCACACCCTGCTAATTTTTAATTTTAGAGGAGACAGAGTCTCACTATGTTTCCCAGGCTGGTCTCAAACTCCTAGGCTCAAGTGATCCTCCTGCCTTGGCCTCCCTAAGCTCTGGGATTACAGGCATGAGCCACTGCTCCCAGTTTGGTGTCCTTATTAAAAGGGGAATTTGGGCACAGACGCATACAGAGCGAACATCATGTGAGGATTAGAACAGTGCTGCCACAAGCCGAGAAACTACCAGGAGCTAGAAGAGAGGTCCCTCCCAGAACCTTCAGAGGGAACCCTGTAATATCTTAATCTCATACTTCTGGCCTCTAGAACTGTAAGAATATCAATTTCTGTTGTTTAAGTCCCCCAGTTTGTGGTATGTTGTCATGGCAACCCCAGAAACTGACATACATACAGTCCTAACAATACCTGTGAGTTCCACCTTCAGTTATGAGATTCCTAGTGGGCAAGGCAAAGAAGGAAATCTGTTATTGGAATCTCAGCATTTCATGCAGGCTAAGCTGGCGACCTCATCAAAATGAACAGACCCAGAGTGATGAATGCAGTGTCTGGCACCCAGGTGGTACTTAAAAATAAATGTTACCTGGCATTTTTCTCATTTTAAAGTTTTTAATATTTTTTAACCACTGACTTTTTTTCCCCACGAAGTCAGGCATGTTAGAAAACAGTAGACTAGAGGCTGGACACAGTGGCTCACGCCTGTAATTCCAGCACTTTGGGAGGCCGAGGTGAGTGGATCACCTGAAGTCAGGAGTTCGAGATCAGCCTGGCCAACATGGTGAAACCCCGTCTCTACTAAAAACACAAAAATTAGCTGGGCATGGTGGCGGACGCCTGTAGTCCCAGCTATTCGGGGGGCTGAGGTGGGAGAATCACCTGAATCTAGGAGGCAGAGGTTGCACTGGGCCGAGATAGTGCCACCGCACTACAGTCTTGGCAAGACTCCCTCTGGGGGAAAAAAAAAATGCAGTAGACTGGAAACTGTCTAAAGTTTCCCTTCAGCCCTGTGGTTTTAAGGTTTTACAATTCTCTTTCAGCAGCTAGTGTTGGTTTTCATTCCAGAGAAGTAGCTGATATGGGAATGCAGAGGATATGGGCTCCGGCCAAACCACAGGACTGGGGCCAGCCTTGTTTCCCAGATGCGTGCTACAGAGACTGTCCCTGGCGTTGGCAGATGTGACTGGTGACGGCAGCCACAAAGCAGGAAGAAGACACTTAGTGCTTCGTATTTATCTGCCCGTTTGGCTGACAGAAGAGCCATCGGGCGATTTGTGTTCCGCCATTCCTGCTGTGCAAGCTTGGGGAAAGCACGTGACCTCTCTGGGCCTTGCTTTTTTTTTTTTTTTCTTTTGTAAAAACATTTCTGGCTTAGTGCAATGGCTCACACCTATCATCCCAGCACTTTGGGAGGTTGAGGAGGGAGGATCACTTGAGCTCAGTAGTTCAAGACTAGCCTGGGCAACATGGCGAAACCCCGTCTCTACAAAAATACAAAAATTAGCCAGGCGTGGTGGTGTGCACCAGTAGTCCCAGCTACTTGGGAGGCTGAGGTGGGAGGGTTGCATGAGCCCAGGAGGTCAAGGCTGCAGTGAGCCAAGATTGCCCCACTGCATTCCAGCCTAGGCGATGGGTGACAGAGGAGACCCCTTCTAAAAAACTAATAATAAACAAATAATAATGAAGACATTTCCTGCTCACCCACAACCCATGCCCCTGGCCTGCCTTGCTTGCTGATTGCAGTATTTTCTCACTGAGCTCAGGTTGACTCTAGGGTCCTCCTCAACACTGTGCTGCCACAGATGTTTTCAGCCTGACCAACTGCACCAACGAGGAAGGTCTCCAGCATCCCCAGACTCAATCATCTCAAAAGCCCCTTCAGGAGGGAGTGTTCTGGAATGCCTCTGTGCTGGGTCTTTGGGTTGGTCGCTGTGCCTCTGTGCCTCTCACTAGGTTGTGGTGCATGCGTGGTGGAAGTCCGAGCCTCTGACACCCAGCACTCGCTCACTCACGCACCTGTTGCAGGGTTACGCTCACTGGGCCCCGGGGCTCTCAGGGCAGAAGCCCCAAGAAGGTGGCACCTTCCCGCCCTCATAGCAAAGCCCTGTATAGCCTTCACCTTCTCATCCTGCCTGCCTGCACATCTGTTGTGGCTTTGCACTTAGTGCTCAGTAATATGTATTGATTTTGTCAAATAAGAAGCAAATATGACTTTGCTCCTATTACAATGGCTACTATTAAAAAAAAAGTAAAAATAGAAAATAACAAGTGTTGGTGAAAATGTGGAGAAATCGGGACCACCATGCACCATTGGTGGGAATGGAAAGTGCTGCAGCCACTGCAGAAAATGGTTCGGAGATTCCTCAGAATGTTTGACAAGTTCTATAGGGTCCAACCCTATGGGGTCTGTGGGTTTTTCTCCTCGTGTGCAGAGACGAGAGATTGTAGAAATAAAGACACAAGACAAAGAGGTAGAAGAAAAGACAGCTGGGCCCGAGGGCCACTACCACCTAGACGTGGAGACCAGTAGTGGCCCCGAATGCCTGGCTGCACAGTTATTTATTGGATACAAGACAAGGGGGCAGGGTAAGGAGTGTGAGTCATCTCCAATGATAGGTAAGGTCACGCGAGTCACGTGTCCACTGGACAGGGGGCCCTTCCCGGTTTGGCAGCCGAGGCAGAGGGAGAGAGAGGACAGCTTACTCCATTATTTCTTCTATGCATTTCAAAGACTTTTAGTACTTTCACTAATTCTGCTACTGTTATCTAGAAGGCAGAGCCAGGTGTACAGGGTGGAATATGAAAGCGGACCAGGAGTGTGACCGCTGAAGCACAGCATCACAGGGAGACGGTTAGGCCTCTGGATGGCTGCAGGCAGGCCTGACTGATGTCAAGCCTTCCACAAGAGGTGGTGGAACAGAGTCTTCTCTAACTCACCCAGGGAAAGGGAGACTTCCTTTCCCGGTCTACTAAGTAATGGGTGCCTTCCCCAGGCACTGACGCTACCGCTAAACCGAGGTCCGCTAGGTAACAGGTGCCTTCCCAGGCGCTGGTGTTACCGCGAGACCAGGGAGCCCTCTAGTGGCCCTGTCTGGGCGTGACAGAGGGCTCACACTCTTCTGATCACTTCTCACCATGTCCCTTCGGCTCCTATCTCTGTATGGCCTGGTTTTTCCTAGGTTATAATTGTAGAACAAAGATTATTATAACATTGGAAAGAAGAGTAATACTACAAACTAATGGTTAATGATATTCATATGTAATCATATTTATAATCTATTTCTAGTATAACTATTTTTATTCTATATATTTTCTTTATTATACTGGAACAGCTTGTGTCCCTCAGTCTCTTGCCTTGGCACCTGGGTGGCTTGCCACCCACAAAATTCGAATTAAAAAACCATGTCAGGCCAGGTGCAGTGGCTCATGCCTGTAATCCCAGCACTTTGGGAGGCTGAGGCGGGCAGATCATCTGAGGTCAGGATTTCAAGACCAGCCTGGCCAACATGGTGAAACCCCATCTCTACTAAAAATACAAAGATTAGCTGGGCATGATGGCGCAGGCCTGTAGCCCCAGCTACTTGGGAGGCTTAGGCAGGAGAATCACTTGAACCCAGGAGGCGGAGGTTGCAGTGAGCTTAGATCGCGCCATTGTACTCTAGCCTGGGCAACAGACTAAGAATCAGTCTCAAAAAAAAAAAAGAAAGAAAGAAAGAAAAGAAAAGAAAAGAAAACTATATTAAAAAATTGAAATGAAGGTCAGGTGCGGTGGCTCACTCCTGTAATCCCAGCACTTTGGGAGGCCGAGGTGGGAGGATCACTTGAGGTCAGGAGTTCGAGACCAGCCTGGCCAACATGATGAAACACGATCTCTACGAAAAATACAAAAATCAGCCGGGTGGCGGGTGCCTGTAATCTCAGCTACTTGGGAGGTTGAGGCAGGAAATCACTCCATCTCAAAAATAAATAAATAAATACTGAAATTAAAAATTAAAAACAGAACCAGCAATCCAAAAGAATTGACAGCAAGGTCTTTTTTTGTTTTTTGAGATGGAGTCTTGCTCTGTTGTCCAGGCTAGAGTACAGTGTCTTGATGTCGGCTCACTATAACCTCCACCTCCCGGGTTGAAGCAATTCTCCTGCCTCAGCCTCCCGAGTAGCTGGGATTACAGGTTCATACCACCATGTCCAGCTAATTTTTATATTTTTAGTAGTGATGAGGTTTTATCATATTGGCCAGGCTGGTCTCGAACTCCTGACCTCGTGATCCACCCACCTTGGCCTCCCAAAGTGCTGGGATTACAGGCGTGTGTCACCGCGCCCGGCCAGACAGCAGGGTCTTGAAGAGAAGCTGCACTCCCGATTCACAGCAGCCTCATTCACAATAGCCAGGAGGTGGAAGCAACACGAGTGTCAATTTTCAGACGAATGAATCAGTGAACTCTGGTGCATACATGCAGGGGAATTTTATCCAGCCGGAAAAAAGAGGGAAATTTCAACACATGCCACAGTACGGAGGAGTCTTGAAGACATTAGGTGAAGTGAAATAAGTCAGTAGGAAGGGTCAAATACTGGGATTCCACTAGATAGAAAGTAGAATGGTGTGTGCCAGGGGCTGGGGTCAGGGGGCAGGGAGTGAGTGTTTACTGGGGACAGAGGAGAAAGCTCTGGAGATGGATGGTGGTGATGGCCGTGCAACAAAGTGAATGTGCTTTATTCAACTATACTTGAAAATGGTTCACATGGCTCATTCGATGTTATGTTTTTTACCACAAGTTTAGGAAAAAGAAAAACAAGCACATATATTAAAAACAACAACAAACCAGGCCAGGCGTGGTGGCTCATGTCTGTAATCCCAGCACTTTGGGAGGCCGAGGTGGGCGGATCACGAGGTCAGGAGTTCAAAACCAGCCTGACCAACATGGTGAAACCCCGTTTCTACTAAAAATACAAAAGTTAGACAGGTGTGGTGGTGAGCTCCTGTAATCCCAGCTACTCAGGAGGCTGAGGCAGGAGAATCGCTTGAACCCGGGAGGCAGAAGTTGCAGTGAGCTGAGATCACGCCATTGCACTCCAGCCTGGGCAACAAGAGCAAAACTCCATCTCAAAAAAAAAAAAAGTCTGGACTTGGGTAAGCAGAGACTTTATTAGAAAGAATTGTTGCAAGAGGAGGGAAGGGATGATTGAATAGGGAGAAGGCTATGCAATGCCACCTGCAAGCATCTTGAAGCCCAGGCACAGCTTTTCTTCTCCAGGGAGGAGCAGACAAGGCTTAGACAGAACCAGGTGTGGGGAGTGGGATGGACGGGATTGGGGGAGTGATTAATCAGCAGATGAGAGAATGTCTTTCCTGTGGCCAGCCAAGGGTTTTGGGAGGTGCCACTAGGAGGGGGTATCCACTGGCCCAGGCAGAGGGTAGATCAAAGTTTGGGAACCTGGGGAGAGGAGAGAAGCTGAACTAAACTTGAGTCAATCAGATGAATGAACAAGTCCAGATTGATGAGTGGTGACACACAGTTTAGCTAATCTTTGACGAGGCAAAGAACGAGAATTTGGAAGTTCTGTGCCTGGCCTTGTCTCAAACAAACAAGTCGTGGATGGGCATCTGTGGGTCTCGCCCACGTCCACTGGGAAACGTTGATTCTTTGCGGTAAGCTGCTTCCTGGAACACGAAAGGGGTGAGGGTATTTCCTAATCCTCGCTGTTTTCCGGGAGCACAGCCTCAAGTCAAATTCAGCACTGTCCTTTCAAATAGGATGGAACTGAGAGGTATTATGGAGTATCTGATTTTTTTTTTCTGGCACAGAGGGGGCCACTAATAAACATCCATTGAAGAATGAATGAATGAATGAGTTGGCAGAAGGGAGCAACCACTAGGAGCTGGAGTGATCTGAGAAGGCTTCATGGAGGAAGGTGGTGTTTGAGGTGGACCTTAAAGGAAGGGTACATTCAACGAACAACACATTAAGGATCCCAATAAAACAGTTCCGAG
The DNA here is from genome assembly GCF_000001405.40 of Homo sapiens. Taxonomy (NCBI): domain Eukaryota; kingdom Metazoa; phylum Chordata; class Mammalia; order Primates; family Hominidae; genus Homo; species Homo sapiens. The sequence goes on from NC_000004.12 coordinate 4,338,346, forward strand.
GGTGGGGAGGAAGGAGAACGCTTATGTACTGGGTACACATTACACAAGAGACCTTGACTGGGTCCTTCAGGAAAACAGAAACCACTCTAGTTTTTTCAAGCAGAAAGGGGTTAAGACAAGGAGAAATTCATTGCTGACAGAGCTGTTGGAAGGTGGGGAGGAGCGAATGTCAGGCCCCGCTTTGATGTCTATTCTTCCAGGAACCGTTTCTCTCCTTTTCCCTCCTCTCTGTTTTTGCCATCCTTGGTCATGAGCAAGTGAGCCTCTGGGACTCAGCCTCCTCAAAAGCAAAGCCAGAGTCCTAGCCTCTGCCAGCCCAGGGCCAAGATGCCCAGCAGGGGCCTTCTGTATTTGAGATGGATTGAAGCTCTCCAATCGCTATCTTGATGCATTCCCTGCCAATACCCCAGGGATACAATTATGCAACCGCGCTTTTCAAACAGACCTCCCAGCTGTGCAAGCAAAATCAAGGGGAGCAGGGCTCTGATCCAGCTCACCCTCACGGCCCCACTCCTCTCATCAGCCTGGCAACGTACAGGGCTCAGGAGGAGGAGGAGGTGATCTAGAGCTGGTCAGAGACACTAGGCCCTTCCTGGAGCCAGTGATAGGCCAGTGGGCAGGACAATGCCTCAGATTTCAGAACAATGCTCTGCTCTGAGCAGGTCAAGGTGATGGGTGGGACATCAGAAGCAACTCAGGATGCCCACAGGTTGTTCCCAGGCGATAGTATCCCCAAGGCCCAGGGTCAAGCAACAGCAATGTGGCTGAACAGGAAGTAGAAGCTGGGTCCCTCAGACCCCACTACACCTGTGCTGAGCCCTGGACCTAGTTCCCAACACCCCTCCCTCCGGCCAGACAGAATCTCTGCAGATCCCACCATCCATGCACCCCCCCCATACCCCTACCACCATGCCTCTGCTCAAGTCCCTCCTCCAGGGCATCCCTGCCTTCTTCCCATCCCCTCTACCTTTCTCGGCAGTTACTGTACAATAAGCCCTCCTCACCTCCACCCAGGGGACGGGGTCACATCTAGGCAGAACAGCATCATGGTCAACCTGAAAAAAGACACCAGAGAAAATGATCTCTAAATATGTGGAGCTTACTCGCGAGTAAGAAATAAGGATGGTAATCCGGAATGCATGCAAGCCATCAGTGCATTCGGCGAGGGAAGGGTAAAGAGCCACTTTTATTGGGAAAAAGAGATTTACATAAGCTGCTTAGAAACAGAGTTCATTGGTTCCCGAGGTCGAAGCCAGAGTTGTTGTCAGTGCTTTGGTGGAGACGCCAGTGCTGGGCGAATGTTCTTCCGAGAGCGCCTTATCTGCGTTGCTGCAGTCCTGCAGAATGTCGAGTGGTAAGTCTCATCAAAGCAGGAGCTGTGTGAAGGACGCGCAAGGGTTTCTGATGGGGTTTTAGAAAGTCCTTGGAAACAGTTCTTATCTCAGATATGGAAGTGCGAGCCTCTCCTTCACGCCTTCCCAGCCCTATTTTGTCTAAGTCTGACAAAAGTGATTTTATCCTGGTATCTGCAACTTTCACAGTGTTTATGGGTGTGACTGACAGTTGCCCAGGTTCACATAGCCGCCCTCGCCGTTGCCACGTGATGGGAGGCACGTTCCTCTGAGCCTCAGTTTTCTCCTCCATGCACTGGGGGAGTCACACTCCTACCTCATAGGGTTAGTCTGGGGATGGGCGTAGGATGATCAAGCCCACGTTCCCCTGGGGCCTGGCTCAAGTATGTGCGCCGGACTTGCCGGCATTGCCACCCATCCCTGCACCCCTCCCTCCAGCAGGGACCTGACCTCCTTGATTACCTTGCTTGTCTCACCCACTGGACTGTGAGACCCCTCACTGCAGGGGCTGCATGTTGGCCACCGTTGTCCTCAGCCCCTTTAGCGCTAAGCCTGGCATTGGGTCCCTGTTCATGCTTACAGATACAAATGTACCAGGACAAAAGGCAGAAGAATAGCCACTCCGAGGGACACAGCCTCAGCCTCACAAATGGCCTGCGTTCATGCTAAGTGTGAACAGGATGGTGGGGGGAGCTGGAAAGATACCCGGCAGAGGTCCCCGTCCCCTGGCCAAGGTTCTGGTTTCAAAATACCCGAGAGAGGTCCCAGAAACTGACACATTGACCATGAGGTCCAGCTGTTGACAAACACGTTCACTCCTTCTTTGTATAAAAGCCTGGTTAGGCTGGACGCAGTGGCTCACGCCTGTAATCCCAGCACTTTGGGAGGCTGAGGAGGGAGGATCATCTGAAGTCAGGAGTTCGAGACCAGCCTGGCCAACATGCTGAAACCCTGTCTCTACTAAAAATACAAAAATTAGCTGGGTGTGGTGGCATGTGTCTGTAATCCCAGCTACTCGGGAGGCTGAGGCAGGAGAATCGCTTGAACTTGGGAGGCAGAGGTGGCAGTGAGCTGAGATCACGCCACTGCACATTCCAGCCTGGATGACAGAGTGAAACTCAGTCTCAAAAACAACAACAAAAAAAAGACTGGTTACGGTCAGGCTGGTGAGAATCCATGGCCATGTGGCTGCTGCCAAGTAGGCCAGATTTCCCAGGCTCAGCTGGCACGTCATGCATGCCCAGGGAGAATCCTCTCGTAAAGGAAGGAATTGCTGCTCTCCTATGGGGTGTGTGTAGTGGCGGGGGTGGGTGGTTGGTGTTATTATCAGCTTTCTCTTTTTCTTTCTTTCTTTCTTTTTTTTTTTTTTTGATACAGAGTCTCACTCTGTCACACAGGCTGGCGGTGGCACAATCTCGGCTCACTGCAACCTCAGCCTCCCGGGTTCACGCCACTCTTCTGCCTCAGCCTCCTGAGTAGCTGGGACTACAGGCGCCCATCACCACACCCAGCTAATTTTTGTATTTTTAGTAGAGACGGGGTTTCACCATGTTGGCCAGGCTGGTCTCGAACTCCTGACCTCAGGTGATCCACCCGCCTCAGCCTCCCAAAGTGCTGGGATTATAGGCATGGGCCATCGGGCCTGGCCTCAGCTTTTTCTTAAAGTGAGGCCTGCTCAAGCCCCCCAGGAGGGAGGATGAGAGCAAAGTCAGTTTATTGAACAATGGCCACAGTGAAGGGTCATGGAAGCAAGTTCTTTCTCATCTTTGTCCCTTTCAACCCATCTCAGGATGAAATCCTGCAGATCCCTTAGCCCTTCCAGCCATGCTCCGGAGAGACAGTGTGAAATGTGCCATTATCTGGGGATTCAAAGTCAGGTCCAGTTGGCTCTCAAGCCTGAGAGCTCTCGTCTGATTTAAAACTTCTCCCCTGCCCCAGGTCTTGGGCATGGAGGAGTGGGCTGGACTTTTCCTCTCTCCTGCTCACCCTGTGCAGGCCTCTCTCCTGCACTAGGCTCTTCTTGGCTCCCCCAGTGTGTTTGTGATTTAGAAGGGTGCTATGGTTTGAATATTTGTCCCCTCCAAAACTCATGTTTAAACTTAATCCTGTCCAAGTGCGGTGGTTCACACCTGTAATCCCAACACTTTGGGAAGCTGAGGCAAGAGGATGGCTTGAGCAGGAGTTTGAGGCCAGCCTGGGCAATATAGCAAGACCCCATCTCTAAAAAAATAAAAATAAAAAATAAAGAAAGGAAACATAATCCCTAATGTGGCGGTATTGAGAGGTGGGACTTTAAGAAGAGGGGTCATGAGGCTTCTGCCCTCATGAATGAATTACTGCATTCATGAGTTAATGGATGAATGGGTTGTCATGAGACTGGTGGTTTCACAAGAGGAAGAGAGACCTGAGCTAGCACGCTCAGCCCCCTCACCATGGGATGCCCTGTGCCACCTTGAGGCTCTGCAGAGTCCCCACCAGCAAGAAGGCCATCACCAGATGCAGTCCCTTGACTGTGGAATTCTCAGCCTCCAGAACTGTAAGAAATTAATTCTTTTCTTTATAAATTTCCCAGTTTCTGGCATTCTGTTATAAGGATCAGAATATGGATGAAGACAGGGGGTGCTGTAAAGAAAGCAAAACAGTCTTCCATAGCTGGCAGCGCTGAAGTTCACTACTAGCTGTGCAATGGCCCTGGTAGGCAGACACCTGGCCCTCCATCCTTCAGTGGTTTCCTTGCAGCCCGCTGCATCCCCACTGCCCGAGTCACCGGAGGCTCCCTTTTGCAGCTCCTTCGGCAGGCAATAGCTGCGGATAACACCCTTCAGGACCTGGCTTCCAGCAGGCACCATGAAGGATGCCTTCTGTGAGGTCCTGTGTTGTCATCTGGACATGGCTCTGGAGCTTTCTGGGACCTGATCCCTGGAATCCGTGAAGGGAACCTTGTATGGCAAGAGGGACTTTGTAGATGTGAAGGAGTAAGAGTCTTGAAATAGGGAGTTTATCCTGGATTATCCGGGTGGGTCCTAAATACAATCACAAAGGTCCTTATAAACAGGAGGCAGAGGAAGATTTGACACAAAGAAGAGGGCAGTGTGATGATGGAAACAGAGAGATAGATGAAGATGCCAGAGCTACGGACCCAGCCGTGTCACCAGGACACTGATCTCACAGAGTTTATGTTCTACTAGAGGAGACAAGGAGGCAAACAATGAATACGGTAATTTCAGAGAACAGACTATGCTACAAAGGTAATAAACAGGGAGGCAGGAGGGTACCTCTTGTAGATGAGGATTATTTACCTCGGGGAGGGCTGTGGTGGGGCTTAGGAGCTTGAACGCGATGACAGATGCCATGGTGTGTAGTTCAGAGCCTGGTGTGTGTTAGGTACTCACATGCCTATTAGCTAAATTTGGGCAGGAAATGCAGGCCGAGAGATGAAGCACAGGCTTTGGCTGTGCAGATACTGTTGCCCCAAGGGGCTAGGACACTCTTAGAGGAATCCTGAGAGGTTTCCATCCTTTTCTAGGGTTCTGTTGCCATTTGATCATTCATTCATTCATTCTTTACTCACTCGCTAATTCATTCATTCAGCACATCTCTGGGGAACTACTCTTCCTCCCTCTGTGTGCTGGACATTTTGCCACCGGATCTCTTTATCCCTCTCCCAGGCCACATGCCCTCCCAATTGGCCAGACGACCGTGATCAACAAAATGCCTGCTGTGTGTGAGGCCAGCTGTACTGTATAATCCAGACAAAACCGGCAGTTTTTGCTTTTTTTTTTTTTTTTTTTTTTTTTTTTGAGACAGAGTCTCACTCTGTCACCCCAGGCTGGAGTGCAGTGGCGTGATCTGGGCTCACTGCAACCTTTGCCTTCCAAGTTCCAGCAATTCGTGTGCCTCAGCCTCCCAAGTAGCTGGGATTACAGGTGTGCACCACTATGCCCAGCTAATTTGTCATACTTTTTGTAGAAACGGGGTTTCACCAGGCTGGCTTGAACGAGGCCTGGCACGAGGCCAGGCTGGTCTCGAACTCCTGGCCTCAAGTGATGCACCTGCCTCAGCCTCCCAAAGTGCTGAGATTACAGGCATGAGCCACCGCACCAGGCCCTACTTTTGCTCTGGATTGGTTCACCGTCCTTCATCCTTTCTTGAATTTCCCCTCCAGGACTTTCGCCCTCATCAGTGGCTCCTAGCTTCCTAGCTGTACTGTACTTTTTTTTTCTTTTTCTTTTTTTTTGAGACAGAGTCCCGCTCTGTCATCCAGGCTGCAGTGCAGTGGCACAATCTCAGCTCACTGCAACCTCTGCTTCCTGGGTTCAAGTGATTCTCCTGTCTCAGCCTCCCTAGTAGCTGGGATTACAGGCACGTGCCACCATGCCCAGCTAAATTTTTTTGTATTTTTAGTAGAGATGAGGTTTCACCTTGTTGGCCAGGCTAGTTTCGAATTCCTGACCTCAGGCAATCCGCCTGCCTCGGCCTCCCAAAGTGTTGGGATTACAGGCATAAGCCACCACACCTGGCTTTTTGTGTGTGTGTTTTTTTTGTTTGTTTTTGAAACAGGGTCTCACTCTGTTGCCCAGGCTAGAGTGCAGTGGTGCAATCGCGGCTCACTGCAGCCTTGATCTCCAAGGATCAAGCGTTCTCATCTGGTCTCTTTAACCCTTCCCTAGGCCACATGCCCACCCAATTGGCCAGGCTACCATGATCAACAAAACTCCTGGCCAGGCTATCCAGCCTCCTCCTGCTGGTTCATTGCTAGGTGTTTCCCAGGCGTCCAGGTAAGAAGAATCACCTCGGGAGCTTGTTGAGCACGCAGCTTCCCAGGCTCTGTCCCTAGTGAATCCACATTACCTCGTCCTAGGTGGAGGTCTGAGACTTTGTGATCAAAGCACTTTCCTGGGTGCATCTGAGAGCGGTGAGAGGTTGGAAACGCCGAATCCTGTGCATACAGCTCACCTGGGGGTCTCATTACGGGCACACTCTGATTCATCTGCTCTAAGGCGGGCCAAGATTCTGCGCTTCCATCCAGGATCCAGGCAGTGCCCATGCCGTGGTTCATGGACCCCGCTTTGAAGGGCAAAGTGTTACAGGTCTATAGTCCTTCAACATATAGTAGTTTCAATGTGCTTAACCGCTTTCTTTTTTTGTCTGTTTTTGGTTTTTTTGAGATGGAGTCTCCCTTTGTCGCCCAGGCTGGAGTGAAGTGGCACGATCTCAGCTCACTGCAACCTCAGCCTCCGGGGTTCAAGCAATTCTCCTGCCCCAGTCTCCTGAGCAGCTGGGGTTACAGGTGCGTGCCACCAAGCCCAGCTAATTTTAGTAGAGACGGGATTTCACCGTGTTGATCAGGCTGGTCTCTAACTCCTGATCTCGTGATCCGCCTGCCTTGGCCTCCCAAAGCAGGTGTGAGCCGCCGCGCCTGGCCGCTTGCTTAACCACTTTTAAATGAGATCCGGTGCGTTCAGTGTGGTATGGCCATAGACTGCTTAACCACTTTCAGATGAGATCTTCCTATGAGCTGGGGAACAGGTGAAGGACTTTGAATGCAATGTCTCATTTGATCTCTTAATAGCGCCCTTTTACAAATGAGGAAACTGAGGCTTTGAGAGGTTTGTGATTTGCTGAGTCATATAGCTGAGGTGGGCAGAGTTGGCCTTGAACCCAGGCTGTTATGAGGCTGGGGCCCAGGCAATGGAGAAGAAAAGGAATGACAATATCTGGGCATCTACTGTGTGTGAGGCCGGTGTTGCAGGCATTCATCATCTCCTCCCATTTTTTTTTCTTCTTCTTTTTTATTATACTTTTTTATTATACTGGGGTACATGTGCAGAACGTGCAGGTTTGTTACATAGGTATACATGTGCCATGGTGGTTTGCCGCACCCATCAACTCATCTTCTACATTAGGTATTTCTCCTAATGCTCTCCTTCCCCTAAACCCCCACCCCCAACAGGCCCCGGTGTGTGATGTTCCCCTCCCTGTGTCCACATGTTCTCGTTGTTCACCTCCCACTTATGAGTGAGAACATGCGGTGTTTGTTTTTCTGTTCCTGTGTTAGTTTGCTGCATCATCTCCTTCAACTCTTATAGCAGCCTCACGGGGCACTTATTAGTATCCTCAACTTACAGAAAGGGAAACTGAGGCACAGAGAGGCTACATAGCTGATCCAAAGCCAGTCAGCTCCGGGTGGCAGAGCTGGGGTTGAGTCCAGTCTCCCTGATGCCCACATGTACCCAGCTCTGCTGCATCTCAGCCACCTGGCCAACACCGTCCTGCCTGCCCTGACAGCCATAAGCCCTGTGTCAGTGTCCTGGGGCTTCCAGAACAAATGACCCCAAGCTGGGTGGCCTTCAGCAGCAGACATGTATTCTCTCCCAGTGCTGGAGGCCAGAAGTCCAAAGTCAAGGTGTTGGCAGGGCCGTCCTCTCTCTGATGACTTTAAGGCAGGACCCTTCCTCTTCTCTTCCCACTTCTGGTGGTCCTGGCCCACCTTGGCTTGTAGCTGCATCGCTCCAGTCTCTGCCTCCGTTGTCACATGGCCTTCCTTCCTCTGGGTCTGTCTCTGCATCTTTCTTTTTTTCTTTTGAAAAATTTAATCTATTTATTTATTTTGAGACCAGGTTATTAGACTGGCTAATTTTTGTATTTTGGTAGAGATGGGTTTTGCCATTTTGTCCAAACTGGTCTCGAACTCCTGGGCTCAAGCTATCTACCTGCCTCGGCCTCCGAAAGTGCTGCATTACAGGCATGAGCCGTCGCACCTGGCCTCTGCATCTCTGTTCTTTTCTTTGAGACAGAGATTCGCTCTGTTGCCCAGGCTGGAGTGCAGTGGCGCAATCTCGTCTCACTGCAACCTCTGCCTCCTGGGTTCAAGCAATTCTCGTGCCTCAGCCTCCCAAGCAGCTGGGATTACAGGCATGCACTACCATGCCCGGCTATTTTTGTATTTTTAGTAGAGATGGGGTTTCACCATGTTGGCCAGGTTGGTCTCGAACTCCCGACCTCAGGTGATCCGCCTGCCTCAGCCTCCCGAAGTGCTGGGATTACAGGCGTGAGTCATCACGCCAGGCCTTTTGTTGTACTTTTAAGAAGTCAAAAGCTGGGGCAGGGATCGGGGGAGGTTGGGAGGTGGATGAGGGATAAAAGACAACATATTGGGTACAGTGTACACTGCTGGGGTGATGGGTGCACTAAAATCTCAGAATTCGCCACTAAAGAACTCAGTGATGTAACCAAAATCCACCTGTACTCCCAAAAACTATTGAAATAATAAAATAAATAAAAGGTCAGAAGCAAAGAGAATTAACAGGCAACCCACAGAAGAAAATATTACTAGTTAACATGCCTGCAAATGTTTTCACCCCCTGGTGATCAAATAAATACTAACTGATGTAAGATGCCATTTCTTGGCCTTCATTAGTGAAAGTTTTTGTAAATGGTAATTGTGAATGCTGGAAACTGTTTCTTGAACAGTCACTTTCCTACATTGCTGTGGCCTCTTTTCGGGAAGCAATTGGACAGTGTTTCCCAGGGGCGGCCAAAAGATCCATTCCATTTGATTCCATGATTCCACTTCTAAAACTCTCTCCCAAGGAAATAATCAGAGATGTGGTCACAATTTCTATACAAAGATGCTGTTACAACATCTGAAAAAAAAAAAAAAAAACAGTGGCAGAAACAAATTAAAACTAGCTTAAATGTCTAACCATAGGCATTGATAAAATAAAAGGGTTTTTGCTAACTTAGAAGAATGCTTATGCTAAGTGAGAAGGGATGCAAAATTGTATATCCAGTGGGACCACAAATGTGTACAAAATTGTGCAGAATAAAAGGACTTGAGATACTCATGACAAGAGTCATAAAGAGAAAAATTTCCAAGTATGACAAGGGCCTCTCTCTGGGACAGATATGGGGCCATGTCATATACTATTGTTGGAGCACAGAAAACAATTCCCCACAATATGACACTTCCCATGCAGACCTGAAGAAGCAGCCTCAAGGTCTCTCTGATCCCTCTCCTCCTGCCTGTCAACCTTCTGTCTCTCTCAAAGCACTGGAGGAGGCTATTCTCTGACGCTCCCCTATCTACCTAGAAAACAGACCCCTAGTGAGGAACACAGCTGCCTCTGTTGACTTAAAAGGAAGAAGCTGAGGCAACATTCATTTAAGTACAAAGTTTATTTGGGCCAAGCTTGAGGATTGCATCCCAGGAGCATAGATTCAAATTGCTCTGAATATACACTCCAATTAGCAGCAGTTAAAAGTAAATTTTTAAAGGAAAAGAAGAGGCAGTTCCTGAGTTGTTTATCAAGAACGTGTAGTAAAATAACAAGTTTTGATTGGGTATAGGTTGTTCTTTTTATCACACATTTCAGGAACATGAAGATAATGAGTGAGGCAGCTAGGCAGGAACAAAATAACTTTTTTTTTCTTTTCTTTTTTTGTTTTTTGAGACAGAGTCTTGTTCTGTGGCCCAGGCTGGAGTGCAATGGTGTAATCTCAGCTCGCCACAACCTCCACCTCCTGAGTTCAAGCGATTCTCCTGCCTCAGCCTCCTAAGTAGCTGGGATTACAGGCATGCGCCACCACGCCCGGCTAATTTTTGTATTTTTAGTAGAGATGGGGTTTCACCATGTTGGTCAGGCTGGTTTTGAACTCCTGACCTTGTGATCTGCTGGTCTTGGCCTCCCAAAGTGCTGGTGTGTCTGGAATTGGTTACTTCTGGTGCGTTCTTCGTCTCGCTGACTTCAAGAATGAAGCCACGGACCCTCGCGGTGAGTGTTACAGTTCTTAAAGATGGTGTGTCCAGAGTTTGCTCCTTCAGATGTTCAGATGTGTCCCGAGTTTCTTCTTCCAGTGGGTTCGTGGTCTCGCTAACTTCAGGAGTGAAGCTGCAGACCTTAGCAGTGAGTGTTACAACTCTTAAAGGTGGCGCGTCCAGAGTTGTTTGTTCCTCCCGATGGGTTTGTGGTCTCGCTGACTTCAGGAGTGAAGCCACAGACCTTCACAGTGAGTGTTACAATAAAGCTAGTGGGGACCCAAAGAGTGAGCAGCAGCAAGATTTATTGTGAAGAGCCAAAGATCAAAGCTTCCACATCCTGCAAGGGGACCCCAACGGTTTGCAGCTGCTGGCTCAGGTGGCCAGCGTTTATTCCCTTATTTGGCCCTGACCACATCCTGCTGATTAGTCCATTTTACAGAGTGCTGATTGGTCGTTTTTACAGAGTGCTGATTGGTGCGTTTACAAACCTTTAGCTAGACACAGAGTGCTGATTGGTGCGTTTTTACAGAGTGCTGATTGGTGCGTTTTTACTGAGCGCTGATTGGTGCGTTTACAAACCTTTAGCTAGACACAGAGCGCTGATTGGTGTGTTTACAATCCTTTAGTTAGACAGAAAAGTTCTCCAAGTCCCCACCCAACCCAGAAGCCCAGCTGGCTTCACCTCTCACTGGGATTACAGGCGTGAGCCACCACGCCCAACCGGTAGGAACAAAATAACTTTAAACAATTGTCCCCAGGTGTAGGCACCGGCTACAGGGGGCCAGGGAATGACTGGAATTCCATACCCATGTCTCTGTGGGTCTGCAGATCTCTCAGTTCTCAGCCTGCTCTGAGCTATTTTTCTTTTCTCATATCCCCCCTGTTGATCAAAATTATTCCCATGGCAGCATTGATGATCAGTCTCTGTGCAGGTGGCAGTGATAGATGTCCTTCATCCCTCAGTGCTGGGAAGTCTCATTCCTGGGTAGTCCTCATTCAAGCCACTGATTTATATAAATGCTGTTGTTGCTTGTTGAATCATCTCCACTCTTCAGAATATCATTTTCTGGTTTTCTTGGAAGAAGCAAAACCCTGAGAGATACATAGTAACAAAGCCTATTCCATTGGGGATTCAGTTCAAATTGTAGGAAAATAATAAAAGAACTCAAAAACAATGGTCGGGGGCTGGAATCTAATAACAGGTGTTCTATAGCTTTCTTCAGGAGCCTAACTTTTTTCTCCAGTCCCTATTTTTACCAAAGTTTAGTATTATACTTGGCCTGATTATTTGCATAAAGTGCAGCAAGAATAGTGATTGGCCATATAGACCCTTTTAAGTTGACTTTGCTGGAACGTTCAGAAGGAATTTCAGATTAGACTTTTAAAAGTCTCAAGGCTAGGACATCAAACCAAGGATTCACCGCTAGACTGCACCTGTAATACTTGTACAAATTGGGTGAATTTCTCTCTTCCCAAGGTCCCCAAAATATCTTTTGGTTCCTGGGCATATCAGAAAGACACATTCTTTATTTACTGCAAGATTAGAAACCTTGAAAGGGAACTATGTAGACAAGATAGCAGGCCAGTTTTGCCAAGAGGCTTTTTATCAGCTCTATAAAGTCCATTTCAATTCCTCAAAGCAGTGTTATCATATCTGAAAATACGTCATTCCAGTCAGAATCTTGATTTGAAAAAAAAATTGTCTTAAATTGTATCCTGTGACAGAAAACAGATTCTTACTGAACTAATGCAAATAACTTGATTGCCATAAAATACGAATACTCATGAAGATTTTCCAAGTTTTGGGGAAATCAGGTAGAGATAAAGGCAAATGTTTCCATTTTGTTTACAAAGGTATATTTTATCCAGTTTCTATAAGCTACAAATAGTTCAAAAGAGAAAAGTTTTCTTGACTGTGGAAATCAAAATATAAAAAGAATCAGCAATGTTTTGGGCAAAAAATCATAAAAGTCATTTCAGTCCTCTATCAGTTCAGTCCCATGTAATTAATTCTTGTCTTGCTTGATGTTGGGTTAGCAATCTTCATGAATGCATTAGTTTATTAGAGTTCTGAATGTTTTTACTTGGTCCAATGATACGATCTTTGAAGTTATCAAAAACCTGTATTCAAGAGTACAGGGCCGGCCGGGCGCGGTGGCTCACACTTGTAATCCCAGCACTTTGGGAGGCCGAGGCGGGCGGATCACGAGGTCAGGAGATCGAGACCATCCTAGCTAACACGGTGAAACCCCGTCTCTACTAAAAATAGAAAAAATTAGCCGGGCGTGGTGGCGGGCGCCTGTAGTTCCAGCTACTCGGGAGGCTGTGGCAGGAGAATGGCGTGAACCCAGGAGGCGGAGCTTGCAGTGAGCTGAGATCAGGCCACTGCACTCCAGCCTGGGCGAAAGAGCAAGACTCCGTCTCAAAAAAAAAAAAGAGTACAGGGCCAGGGTCCTTTTCCATGAATCTCTTTGAAGAAAAAGCAAATTTGAACTGCAGCCAGTTGTAAATCACTTTTTGAGAAGAATCAAAATAGAGCAATAATTGTCTATGAATGGCAAAAGACTTCGGGTAGCTATAGTTAAAGATGTAATTAACAAGGAAATTTGATTATTTCTGTGGCATACAATAATTTAACATAATAACTATAATTATGTGTGACAACATAGACGTATCAGAATGTTAGGAATCTCATAACTTGAGAACACACATTCATAACGTATCTATACAAATATAACTCAAACAAATTTAAACACCATTTCTTATTTGACAAAGCTTCCTGTATGACTTTAACATACCACGGTGGCTTAATATGTTTCTCTTGGGCCACAGGAGTTCCTTCTTAAAAAGGAAGATTTAGCACACTTAATTAAAATAGGATCACAGGTCAGTGTAAAACAATAGTCATTTATTTTGCCAAAGTGATAATTTAAAGATTTCAAAAAGCACCCTCTTTACTCTTTGATAGAGAAGAGACCCGGTTTTCCAATCAAAAGGCCTAATAAAGACAGCATGAAGAATGAGATGAACGGAGTCTTTTTTTCTCTTTTTTTTTTTTGCAGTTTACTCAAAAGGTAAACATGAGTCTTTTATTATCTTATTAATATTATATGAAACTCATGTTCAAAAGATAAAACCAAATTCTACCTTTGTATCAGCATATTATTAATGCTAAAGGTAATTTAATAAAACCTAATTATCAACAAATCCATCCAATCTCAATCATCTTTGGCCACATAAGATTTCCATAAACCTTTTATAAACTCATATAATTTTATATTAAAGAATAGATGGATGCTTCAAGAAAACCCTGTCATTCCAACATTAAGGCCCATACTCTGACCCTGCATCAATGTGCTTTTCATATTAATGCACAGTTTCCTCAGTTTTTGGAAAAACTAAATAATTCCCTTCTAATTTTAGCCAACTTGATCACACACAAAATTCCTTTCATGAGATTAATCTTCCACAAATCTTTGTTTTTTTTTTTGAAACAGAGTCTTGCTTTGTCGCCTAGGCTGGAGTGCAGTGGCACGATCTCAGCTCACTGCAACCTCTGCCTCCCAGGTTCAAGGGATTCTCCTGCCTCAGCCTCCCCCAGTAGCTGGGATTACAGGTGCGCACCACCACACCCAGCTAATTTTTTGTATGTTTACTAGAGAGGGGGTTTCACCATACTGGTCAGGCTGGTCTCAAACTCCTGACCGCAAGTGATCCACCTGCCTTGGCCTCCCAAAGTGCTGGGATTACGAGCATAAGCCACCGCGCCCGGCCTCCTCATTTATTTCTACCTTTTTGTGCTTCTATCTTGGGTCACCATGCCCGGCCGTATCTCCCACAAACCTTCTACAGTTCATGTAACCTTCAATTTTGGCCTATACTTCCTTTTTCCTATTGGCATTCCACCTTAGGAAAAAAGTTTATTTTCTCCCTTATCATTTTGACCACACAAAATTCTTTCTCATGTAAAAGAAAACAAATTACTCTGTCTTTTCAATTTTCTTTTATTTTCTGTATATAAAATTGTTTATTTTGTAACTAGTAGTTTTAATTACATATATTAACTCCCATTTTAACTTTTCTTTTTTCTTTTTTTTTTTTTTTTGAGACAGAGTCTCCCACTGTCGCCCAGGCTGGAGTGCAGTGGCACGATCTTGGCTCACTGCAACCTCCACCTCCCAGGTTCAAGTGATTCTCCTGCCTCAGCCTCCCAAGTAGCTGGGATTACAGGTGCCCGCCACCACACCCAGCTAATTTTTGTATTTTTAGTAGACAGGGGGTTTCACTGTGTTGGCCAGGCTGGTCTTGAACTTCTGACCTTGTGATCTGCCCACTTTGGCCTCCCAAAGTTCTGGGATTGCAAGCGTGAGCCACCGGGCTCGGCCCATTTGTTAGTTTTAACACTGGTGCTGCCCCCAACCGAGAAATGAGACAACTCAATTTTGAGATAGTATAACACAAATTTGAGTTTGTTTTGTCTGGTGTACTCCCTCTTTTGGTCAGCTTAGCTTGCCCATTTATGTTGGGATCAAAAGAATCACACCAAAGATTCCTGCCCCAGTAGCACTAGAGATATGGGATGGATATCCAGACAAGAGTGTATCCACACCATTATATTACAAGGCACTGACTGGCATCCCACTGAAAGGGCACAGTGACTAGGTATTCATTGGTTAGCTGCAAATGGAACATCTTTGCTGTGCGGGCACCAACTATGGCCGTGGTTACCCATAGGATGGTTAAGACGGTATTTTTTGGGTTATGCCTGGGCACAAGGTTGAATAGTTTATACTCTTTCAAAGCCCACAAATCTTCCTCACTTATATAATCATTGAGTTCATTGGGTTCATTCTGTATGCCATTGGTGTGATCATTTAGCTTCCATCTTTCTGCCACAACTAGGTATTAAGGATGTCATTTGGCTTGCAGAGGCCCTAGCCATTTATACACAAAAGGCCCTAGATGATAGCCACATGGGCATCTCGTTATTAAACAACAAAGTTACTCTTATGAGAAAGGCCGTATCACAGAACTGTGTGTTGTGCCGAACCCCTATTAACCTCAGTAGGGAAGGCACAAGATTCAAGAGGCTAAGCGACCCAAAGCCAGCAAACAAGACACGGGGTTTTATCAGGGGGCTTACGCACAGGGGAGAGAATCCAGTGGCTGTGGGCTAGACAAGAGAACCCCCTTATGTATAGAAACCATCTAGGCTGGGCGTGGTGGCTCAGGCCTGTAATCCCAGCGCTTTGGGAGGCCGAGGTGAGTGGATCACCTGAGGTCAGGAGTTCGAGACCAGCCTGACCAACATGGAGAAACCCCGGCTCTACTAAAAATACAAAACTAGCCAGGCGTAATGGCGCATGCCTGTAATCCCAGCTATTCAGGAGGCTGAGACAGAAGAACTGCTTGAATCCGGGAGGCGGAGGTTGCAGTGAGCTGAGATTATGCCATTGCACTCTAGCCTGGGCAACAAGAGTGAAACTCTGTCGGAAAAAAAAAAGAAAGGCTCTAGTGATGGCAGGCTGAGCAGGGAAACCACAAATGCTTGCAAACAGCATGCAGTTCATATAGCATTTTCACTTAACACTTTCTCCCCTTAACAACCTACACCTGGCAACCTTCATTTAACCCAAAACTCAGAACCTCAGTGCCCTGTATGGCCCACATTCAATGGGATGGGATGGGAACTCAGATGTTTACCATAGATACGGAATGAATCTCCAGGTTGTCCACTCCCAGGTTCTCTAGTTGGGAACACACATTCAGGTGCATCTTCCACACAGGGTCAGTCTAAGGATATGCTTAAATGTTTGCTGTCAGGTGCATTTACCTGACACCATATGACTTTAGACATACTCACTGCAGCCCAAGGGGGAACCTATGCTATCATAAAAACTGGCTGCTGTATCTATATCCCAGGTAACATCACTAAATTGATGGCTGATATGAAAACTCAAATAATTATCCTTTCAGATCCAATGCCCTCCCTAAACGACTGGCTAAGCAGCTGGTTGGGATCTTGGGAAACTTGGTGGCAAAAGCTATTACTCGTTCTAGAAATTATCATCATTGTTTGGTTTTGTCTTCTTCTTTTTTTTTTCTTTTTTGAGACGGAGTCTCACTCTGTCACCCAGGCTGGAGTGTAATGGCACAACCTCGGCTCACTGCAACCTTCGCCTCCCAGGTTCAAGCGATTCTCCTGCCTCAGCCTCCCAAGTAGCTGGGATTACAGGTGCCCACCACCAAGCCCGGCTAATTTTTGTGTTTTTAGTAGAGACGGGGTTTCACCATGTTGGCTAGGCTGGTCTCGAACTCCTGACCTCAAGTGATCCACCCACCTTGGCCACCCAAAGTGTTGGGATTACAGGCATGAGCCACTGTGCCCAGCGGGTTTTGCCTTCTTTTTGTCTTCACTGCTGCTACAGAATGTATTTGCAAGGGAGTCAACTCACAACTGAAGAAATGAAATTAATGGTCACTTGAAGAACTGCATTAACTGAAGATGCAGCGGAGTAGCCTGACTCAGGTCACAAAGTCACTTCCCTCATATTGCTTTAAATTAGGTTGCTACCTTATCAGGTTGATAGCCTGACATTCCCCCTACCATGGACATGACACTCTAGGAATGAGCCTTCTAGCAATAAGGGACTAAGGTCCTGAACATAAAAGGAGCCAAAACCATTTGAGTTCATCTATGAAGCTTTCTTCCAAAGATCTTGATGAAAAGGGGGAAATGTGAAGTTAAATAATTCAAGCTTAAAGCTGTTGAAACCTCGAATTAACCTGAGCCTTGAGAGCAATGTGGCTATGCAATCTCGGTCACATGGGTTGCAGCTGCAACTTCTGCCTTTATTTCTTCTTGTTAGTAATTAAGAAGACCCAAGCTGCACCAGAGATGAGACCCCCTCAGATCATTGCCCCTCCTCATGGAGTAATAAAGTAATCTTCCTTGGTATGAAGCAATCTGTAACCAATCCAATTGCTGTGATGTATGCACCTGGCCTTGTAGGGTAGCTGATGTAATCTTCCTGGAACTTCTCTACTGATATCAATGAAACCTTAACTCCTCCACGTTGGAAACTCTGAGCCCATTCCTTTGGAGTTGGTACTTTCACTGGTAGCCATCCTTAAGCTTTGCACTTGAATAAACTCTATACTCAATCACACTTTCTGAATCTCATTCTTTAAGGTTAACACTTCCTTCCAAAGGCTCTAGGTGACAACTCTTTGCCTCTTTTCAACCTCTGGTGGCTCTAGGCGTTTCTTGGCTTGTAGCCGCCTCACTCCAATGTCTGCCTCCATTTCATGTGGGGTCCTCCTCTGTCTTCTATGTGTCTCTTACAAGGTCACTGTCATTAGATTTAGGGTTCAGGATCATCTGGGATGATCTCATCCCGAGATCCTCAATTTGGTTATATCTGCAAAGATCTTTATTCCAAATAAGGTGACATTCACAGTTTCCGATGGTTAGGACATGGCCATCTCTTTTTGGAGGTCAGCTTTCAACTCATTCAATACACCTGTAGTCAGTGTATTTATAATTCATTTCAATTCATTTCATTTCTATTCAGTGTTTCATTTTAATCCAATTCACTTCCATCAATATTGATTTTACACCAGCCATGTAACAGGCCTGACAAGTTCCAGAGATAACTGACGTGGGTCCTCCCTTGGAAATGGTTCCCCCTCTAATGAGGCAATAGGAGAGACGGAGACAGACAGAGGAGAGGGGCGGCTAGCTCTCCCTGTAGGCTTGGGGTGGTGCTTCCAGAAAAGGTGACATAGGAGCACAGTGGTTGGATGAGGAGGAGGCTGCTCTTTAGGAAGCCAAGGGACCAGCCTGCTAACAGCACAGCAGTGGACGGCTAGTCCCGCAGGGACCAACGAGCCTGCCGTGGAGGATGCTGGGAGAGCAGGGGAGACGTGGCCCAGGTCGCAGCTCAGGGGGAGCAGGACCCCCAGGCCTGCTGGTGGACCAAGTATTCCCGGGGTCTCAGAACATCCCCGGCCAAGCCCTCTCCACCCCCAGCACCCCTTGCGCACACAGGGCCACGGCTGTTGGATGCCGGGTCTGGGGCCTCCTTGGGACTATGAGGCTAGATTCTCTCTTTACAGTCGGGAAAAATGGCCACCTCGCCTGTAGCATTATATTCACCAGATTAAAGGCGGGCATTAAATGGCTGCTCGCCAATGGCCTCCTTTATCCCGAGAGCTATTCCCCCTCCTCCCTCCTCCCTCCTCCCTGAGCCTCTGTGATTCAGGAAAAGTCAATCTAGAGGAGATAAGGCCAGGCACATAAATATCCCTCCCTTCCTTTGTGGCAAAATCTCCTGCTTGGAACACATTCCTTGAGTGTAAATTTGGGTCCTTCTCTGGAGAGTTCACCCCCGCGGCCCTCACCCTCACCCCCACACAGAGCTCTTGCAGTTCCGATGCACAGGGTCGCCCCTGTGAGCTGCTGGAAGGCAGGAGCGCACCTCCCACGCTCCCTGCGCCTTTCTGCTCTGTCTGCTGTCTCCCTGCACAACCTCAGTCCTGGCTGCTCAGGGCTCTCCCCAGGCAGAGGCCTCTTTGTCCAGTTGGAGCTGCAGAGACATTTTCTGTTGGAGACGAACGTGCTCTGCAGGGAGCTATTTGGCCTTGGGCGTGTTACCCCTTCCTGCCTCTCTGTGTGCACATCTGTAAAATGGAGACAATAACTGCTTTTACTTCACTGGGTTTTTTAAATCGAGGTAAATAATATATATAACATAAAATTTGACATTTTATGTTACCATTTTTTAATTTAATTTTATTTTGAGATAGAGTTTCACTCTTTTTGCCCAGGCTGGAGTGCAATGGCACGATCTCGGCTCATTACAACCTCCACCGCCCAGGTTCAACCGATTCTCCTGCCTCAGCCTCCCCAGTAGCTGGGATTACAGGCATGTGCCACCACACCCGGCTAATGTTGTATTTTTGTAGAGACGGGGTTTCTCCATGTTGGTCAGGCTGGTCTCGAATTCCTGACCTAAGGTGATTTGCCCACCTTGGCCTCCCAAAGTGCTGGGATTACAGGCATGAGCCACCGCACCCGGCCTATGTTACCATTTTAAAATGCCATTCATTGGTATTAATTTCATTCACAGTGTCGTATAACCATCATCACAATCTATTTCCACGACTTTCTCATCACCCCAAACAGACACTCTGTACCCATGAAGCAATAGCTCCCTATGGTCTCCCCCAGCCCCTGTAGCCTCTAATCTACTTTTTGCCTCTTTGAATTTGACTTCCAGCTACCTCACATGAGTGGAATCACACACTGTTTGTCCTTTTGTGACTGCTTTTTAAATTTAGACTAAGGGCTTCCAAATTCATCCCTGTTGGCGCATGTGTCAGAATGTCCTTCCTTTTTAAGGCTGGACAATACTTTACTGTACGGACAGACCACATTTTATTTATCCATCCTTCCATGGATGGACACCTGGGTTGCTTCCACCTCGTGGGTACGGTGAATAATGCTGCTATGAATGTGAGTGTACTAATGTCTGTTTGAGTCTCTGCTTTTAGCTCTTTCGGGAACATACCTAGGCGTGGAGTGGCCGGATCATAGGGTAACTCTTAGCTTAATTTTCGTACAGAACTGCCAGACTGCTGCCTACAATGGCTGCACCTTTTCACGTTCAGTCATTTTAGCATCTAGAGGTTCTCGTCACCCAGGGCGAAGCCAAGCTTCTAACCCCACATGAATTTGACCTTCTTTAGAGAAAGTCACAAAATGAAGAGGCCGCTTAGCAATGGGGAAGAAGAGCAAGGATTCTGGAGCCAGGCCACCTGGGTCACCCTGCTGCCACCCGCTGGCTACATGATCTTAGGCAAATGACTTCTATGTGCCTGAGTTTCTTCTTAGTAAAATGGGGATGATAACGGTTCCTTCTCCCAGGGTGTCAGAGGATTAAATGAACTAATCTTTGTAAAACACAGAACGTGCCTGGCTTGAAGGTAGTCCTACCTAAGTGTTGTTAAATAAATAAACCGTCAGGTTGCTGCCTCCTGAAATAACCCCACACCCCATGCTCTTTCTTCCCTGCTTTGGAATCATGCACCATCCCCGCCAGCTGCCTGTGCCCCCTGCAAGGGGGAAGGACCTAATTTATTCATAACCAAGGACGCTTTGTTTCGCAGCTCACAGAAGCAGGCTGAGCCCTTCACACATGACTAGAGTCCAAATGCCAATTTTATGGTTTAAAGACCCTAATTTATTGTCTGTGAGGCAATAACGCTGCAGGCTACTGCAGGGGACCTGCTTGTGAAACATAGGACTGGCAGCAGAGAAAAGCCCCCAGCCTCAGCCCAGATGAGCCACGGTGCAGAATACACAACATCATCCTCCTGGAGTGTGTCTGCTCTGCAGCTTCAACATTTAACCTCTAAAGTGGGCTGAACCCCAGCCCACACCCCCCCAGCAGCCTGAGCCTTTGAGCTCTGTACGGTTGTCACTTTCACGACAGTCTTTCCAAATCTCAGTCCCCTCCCCTCTCAATCCCCCACCTAGTGTAGAGTTAAAGGGACAAGGGTTCGAAATCCGCTTTCGCTGCTTGTGGCTGTATGACCTTGACCAAGTCACTTAGCCTTGAAGTCGTCCTCACAGGGTTAATAAGAATTCTGCACAGAAATCTAGTTATAGTTAAGCATTCATCAGGCTACACTCTGGCCCAGTTCCCTGTTGTTAGAAGTCCCGTAGTACTAGACACTGACCATTTGCATGTAGCACTAGACACTACCCATCATTCCTAGAGGTAGGAATTCTGACATTAGGGTCATAAGACTGTTTAAGAACTGGTTTGCATCCCCACTGTTCCTACAGAAATTCTATAGGATATAGTTTAGCTGTGTCACCACCCAAATCTCATCTTGAATTGTAGCTTCCATAATTCCCACGTGTTGTAGGAGGGACCCTGTGGGAGATAATTGAATAAGGGGGGTGGTTCCCCCATCCTGTTCTTGTGGCAGTGAATAAGTCTTATGAGAGCTGATGATTTTAATAAGGGGAAACCCCTTTCACTTGGCTCTTATTCTCTCTTGCCTGCTGCCATGTAAGACATGCCTTTCACCTTTTGCCATGATTGTGAGGCCTCCTCAGCCATGTGGAACCGTGAGTCTATTGAACCTCTTTTTTATTTTTATTTTTTTATTTTTATTTTTTTGAGACAGAGTTTCGCTCTCGTTGCCAGGCTAGAGTGCAATGGTACAATCTCAGCTCACTGCAACCTTCGCCTCCCGGGTTCAAGGGATTCTCCTGCTTCAGCCTCCAGAGTAGCTGGGATTACAGGCGCGCTCCACCATGCCCAGCTAACTTTTTGTATTTTAGTAGAGATGGGGTTTCACTATGTTGGCCAGGCTGGTCTTGAACTCCTGACCCACCTCAGCCTCCCAAAGTATTGGGATTACAGGCACGAGCCACTGTGCCCGGCCCTATTTTTATTTTTATTTTTATTTTGAGACAGAGTTTTGCTCTTGTTTCCCAGGCTGGAGTGCAATGGTGCAATCTCTGCTCACTGCAATCTCTGCCTCCCGGATTCAAGCTATTATCCTGCCTCAGCCTCCTAAGTAGCTGGGAGTACAGGCGCTGGCCACCATGCCCTGGTAATTTTTTGTATTTTTAGTAGAGAAGGGGTTTCACCCTGTTGGCCAGGATGGTCTCAAACTCCTAACCTCAGGTGATCCACCCGCCTCAGCCTCCCAAAGTGCTGGGATTATGGGCGTGAGCCACTGTGCCCGGCCTAAACCTCTTTTTATTCATAAATTACCCAGTCTTGGGTGTGTCTTCATTAGCAGCATGAGAATAGACTAATATGCTAAACTATCTCTGGCTTTCTAATAATCATTAGGCTTTTGTTTAAGAAACACTTAAGATGCTTTTCACACCTTGAATTCCAGCAAACAGTTTGAAGCCCCCTCCAGAGGAATGGGGAAGAATTGGGGGGTGGGCAGGAGAATGCAGCCGGTTCCTCTCCCTGGTCCAGCTTCCACGGCTTTACCCCCCACTCTTCGAGCAATCAACCATCTCCACACGTCGGTGCACTCCAAAACCCTGAAAAACCCCAGCCCCAAACTCCCTGGGGAGATGAATTTGTCCTTCCATCTCCTCGTTTGGTGGCCCTACAATGGAACCTCTTCCTCTGCTGCCACCCCATGTCCTGGCATGCTGGTTTGCCACGCACACCGGGCAACGAGCCTATTGCAGTTACACTCTCTCTGAACCACTGCCTTCTTCCTTAAAGTGGGAATAATAATACTTTTGCGAAAGAGCACTGAGGGGGATCCAGTGAGGTCAGGAGGAAACAACGTCTTGGTTTCTGTCCTCGAAATGGTTTCCCCACTCAGCTCTCTCACTCTAGACAGCTGCTATGTGAAAGGAAAAGAAATCTTGGGGCCCCAAAATCACTAAGCTAAAGGGAAAGGTCAGGCTGGGAACTGCTTAGGGCAAACGTGCCTCCCATCCTATTCCAAGTCACCCCTCTGCTCACTGAGATAAATGCATATCTGACTGCCTCCTTTGGAGGGGCTAATTAGACACTCACAACAATGCAACCAGGCCAGGTGCAGTGGCTCATGCCTGTAATCCCAGCGCTTTAGGAGCCTGAGGCGGGCGGATCACCTGAGGTCAGGAGTTCAAGACCAGCCTGACCAATATGGAGAAACCCTGTCTCTACTATAACTACAGTATTAGATGGGCATAGTGGTGCATGCCTGTAATCCCAGCTACTCGGGAGGCTGAGGCAGGAGAATCAGTTGAACCTGGGAGGCTGAGGTTGTGGTGAGCCGAGATTGCGCCATTGCACTCCAGCCTGGGCAATAAGAGCAAAACTCCATCTCAAAGAAAAAACAAACAAAAAAAGAATGCAACTGTTTGTCTCTTATCTACCTAGGACCTGGAAACCCCCTCCCCACTTTGAGTTGTCCCGTTTTTGCTTCCAGTTGTCCCACCTTTCCGGACCAAACCAATGTTAATCTTACATATGTTCATTGATGGCTCATATCTCCCTAAAATGTATAAAACCAAACTGTGCTCTGACCACCCTGGGTACATGTCGTCAGGACCTCCTGAGGCTGCGTCACAGGCGTGTGTCCTCAACCTTGGCAAAATAAACTTTCTAAATTAACTGAGACCTGCCTCAGATTTTCAGGGTTCACAGCTAATTCTGTGTGGGCTGTGCACAGTGGCTCACGGGTAAGCTGCCCACGGCAAGATTCGGCCAGTGTCAGCTTTTTGTCCTGCACAGAACTCAGCACATGGAACTGCCCCATTTGACATCAGCCACCAGGATATTCATACCCTTGTCAACACAGGCCCTTCCTACACATGGTTTTCAGAATTTATTTGACAAGAAGCAGTGAGTGCTTATTTTTAGACTTGTTTTGTGCTGAGAAATTAAAGACGTAAGAAAACCCTCCTGAGTGTGTGTTGAACATGTGGGGAAACACTCAGGAGGGTAAGAAAGAGGCTTCCAGATGATTTAGGATCTGGAGCTTGGACGTGACCAAAGCCAAGCCCATATGTGGGGGCTGGGCAGGTGTTACACAGACACAGTGTCAGGTGGGGAAGTGGTACAAAAGCAAGCCCTAACCGCACACCAGCCTTGTGGCTGTAGACACCCTGGGCTCAGCTGATGACACCACTTATGAGCTGTAGTGGGTTGAATGGTGGCCCCTAAACAGATGTGTCCGTGCTCGAGTCCCCAGAACCTGCGAGTGCCACTGTGTTAGTCTGTTCTCACGCTGCTGTGAAGGACCGCCTGAGACTGGGTAATTTATAAAGGAAAGAGGTTTAATGGACTCACAGTTCCACATGGCGGGGGAGGCCTCAGGAAACTTACAATCATGGTAGAAGGGGAAACAAACACATCCTTCTTCACATGGTGGCAGGAAGAAGAGTAAGAGCCTAGCAAAGGGGGAAGCCCTTTAAAAAACCATCAGATCTTAGGCCAGGTGCTGTGGCTCGTACCTGTAATCCCAGCACTTTGGGAGGCCGAGGCGGGCAGATCACCTGAGGTCAGGAGTTTGAGACCGGCCTGGTCAATATGGCGAAACCCCGTCTCTACTAAAACTATAAAAATTAGCCAGGTGTGTTGGCCCATGCCTGTAATCCCAGCTACTTGGGAGGCTGAGGCAGGAGAATTGCTTGAACCTGGGAGGCGGAGGTTGCAGTGAGCCGAGATTGCGCTACTGCACTCCAGCCTGGGTAACAGCGTGAGACTCTGTCTCAAACAAACAAACAAACAAACAAACAGAAAACAACCATCAGATCTCATGAGAACTCACTTGCTATCACGAGAACAGCATGGGGGAAACTGCCCCCATGATTCAATGATCCCCACCTGGTCCCACCCTTGATACATGGGGATTATTACAATTCAAGATGAGATTTGGGTGGGGACACAGAGCTTAACCATATTAGCTACCTTATTTGGCAATAGGGTTTTGCAGATACAATTCAGTGAAGGATCTCCAGAGATCAGCCTGGATCATACAGGTGGATCCCAAATACAGTGACAGGGTCCCTGCAAGAGAAAGGCGGAGGGAGATTTGAGACCAAAGAGAAGGCCTGGAAGAGGCCAGCATGGATTCTCTCCTAGAGCAGTCGGAGGCAGCAGCCCTGTTGCCACTGTGATTTCAGACTTCTGGCCTTCAGAACTGTGGGAAAATACATCTGTGTTGTTTTAACCCATGCAAGCTGTGGTATGTGTCATGGCAGCCACAGAAAATGAATGTGAGCTTTGTGACTGAATTTCCAAATCATCTCAGTCTCAGTTTCCTCACTGGTAAAGCGTCCCTAACTTACACAATTATTCTGAGGATTAACTGAAGGATTTAGGTCGAACCGTATTAAATCGCCACTTTTTGTAGGTCAAAAATGACTGGATGTTGGCAGTTGCATCAGAGCCAACCCAGTGATCGGTGAGAAGTGCCCAGCATGGCAGGGAGCACGTGGTGAATGCACGGGGAGCGCCGTGTATGCACAGCGGGTGCTGTCGGGGCTGATTTCTCCAGGGGAGAGTAGCATCCACACTGGCCCCAAGGGATGGGCAGGAGCTCATGCGGAAGGAAAGGGCTGCTGGGCGCTGGGGGGCACCCACGAGACAGCAGTGTGGGCAGAGCACAGACTGGGGCAGGGAGGGGAAAGGCAGCTCTGGAGGGGCTGGGAGGGGACAGAGGGTGCAGGAGGGTTGATATATGCACCTACTGAATACACAGCCCTCTGTGCCTGCTCAGCCGCCAGAGGGGGTCTCTGCACCCTGCTACAATGGTGATTTTGCTGAGACAAGCCTGAATGCATTACACCCGGCGTCACCTGTGTTTCTAGCCTCTGTGAACTTGACACTTCGTTGACATCCATCCTCCATGCATGGGCCAGAAAGGCCTTGTTCTGAACAACCTGATAATGTGCTTAAGTCACCGTGCCTGACCTCCTGCCTCCCTCGTCACCTCCCCCACTCCTCAGAGGAGTCCTCTTCTGGGTAGAGGCACTTTTCAAATACAAACCAACCAACCCAGAGTCCACGCTGCAGCCACCTGTTTTTCTAGGCTCTACTGCTCCAGCCACATCTACCTGTCCTCATCAGCTCAGGGCAGGTACCAGATTAGTAGGGACAGCCTTGTGCCCTGGAGCAGCTTTAATTATTCAAACTGGCCAATCCTAAGCCTGCCTACCTTTCTTGCTGGTTCTGTCCCACAGCAACCACAGTCAAAGTGCCCACTCACTGCTCTCCCCTTTGCCTCCTCCTCGTGACTGTGCCCATCTTCCTGTGTGGCCCCAGGCATGGCCTGCCGCCTCCTCTTGGAAACTGTGAGTGACAAACAATCTTTTTATTGGCAGGCGTCTTGTGATCTGTGGGCCTTCAGGGACTTCAGATGTCCTATGAATACACTGTATTTTTAAACATCCCTGCTCAAAACTCTTCACTAGGTTATGTATGCTTGGGAGAAAGTTAAAAATTCCCTAGTTTATTAGTCAATTTTCATGCTGCTGATAAAGACATACCCAAGACAGGGCAATTTACAGAAGGAAGAGGTTTATTGGACTTACAGTTCCACATGGCTGTGGAGGCCTCACAATCATGGCAGAAGGCAAGGAGGAGCAAGTCACATCTTACGTGGATGGCAGCGGGCAAAGAGAGAGAGAGCTTGTGCAGGGGAATGTCTCTTTATAGAACTATGAGATCTTGTGAGACTCATGATCATGAGAACAGCATGGGAAAATCCCGCCCCCACGATTCAATTACCTCTCACCAGGTCCCTCCTGGAACACATGGGAATTCAAGATGAGATTTGGGTGGGGACACAGCCAAACTATATCACTTAACCTTGTGTATCAGTGTCCTGTGGCTGCTGTAACAAATTCATTAGCACACATTCAGTGGCTTAAAATGAGAGCAACTTTTGCAGTTCTGGAGGGCAGAGACCTGAAATGAGTTTCATGGGGCTTAAGGCAAGGTGTTGGCAGGGCTGCACTCCTGAGGCCCTGGGAGAATCCATTTCCAGCTCCGGGAACTGCTTTCTTCACATTCCTCGCATTCCTCAGGTGGCAACTCCTTCCTCCATCTTCAAAGGCAGCAGCGTCACATCTTGCTCCAGTTTTTCTTCTGCATCAAACCTCCCTCTTATAGGGACACCTGTGATTACATTCAGGGGTCATCCGATAACCTAGAATAAGCTTTACACCCAAAAACGTTTAGCTTGGTCTCAGCTGCAAAGTCCCTTTTGGCATATAAGGTAACAGCCATAGGTTATGCAGATTTGGACGGGGATAACCTTGGGGGCCATGTTGCAGCCAAACACAGCCGCCATTAAAAGCTTCTGCTTCCCTTGGCAACATCAGCTCCTCACCTTCCCACGTGCCCCATCTAGCCCTGCTTAGATGTGCCAAGGGGCTGCTCCTTCTGGAATGTTCTCCCTGCCCTTCCTCAGGGCCCTTCTGTCTGGAGACCTCATGAATAACCTCCTGGTGGCAATTCTCAGGCACCCCCAGAGCATCGTGTCTGCACACCTCACCTCTCATGCAGAATCTGAATCCTGGGCCAGTTCAGGACTCACACCAGAAAGGGCACATTGATGAAGAAGCACATGTCTTACCTGGGGTGACCCTGAAGGTACAAGGTTAGACAGGAAGGTACAGCTAGGTAAAAACAGTTGGAGGTGCTGAGAATGCCTGGAGAAAAGAAATGCCAGGGGCACAGTCTCTGATGGGTTAGCACAAGATTAAAACTCACAGCTGACACTGGGCTCTTACTATGTGCCAGCCACATGGATGATTCTAACTTCATCTTCCCAACATCCCCAAGTGAAACTAGTATTAGGTCCATTTTATAGGTGAGGAAACTGAGGCACAGAGTTTCAATAACTTCCACAAGGTCACACAGCTGGTGACCTACAGCAGAGCTGGGCTCTGATCAGGAAGCCTGGTTCCAGGGCTGGCACCATCCAGCATGATGTGACAGAAAAGAAGGCATGGAGGTAAGCCTGGAGCCCAAGGGGGCAAAACTCGGTAGAGGGGAGTGCCCAGGGAGTGGCTACCAGAGTCACACATGAGCCTGTCACCCAACTAGCTGTGTTGCCACTCTTGGTAAGTGGTAGCAGTTATTGCCCTTGATGGGAAAGTTGCCAGAAGTAGAAACAAATGACATGATACAAGAACTCAGCTTCCAATGAGAGGCGCATGGAGGCAGCCTGACCACCATCCAGTCTTCCTAGAAGCACCCAGGAAGGAGCCTCTACCAGGGGTCACTGAAGGGCCCTCCCAACTCAAGGATCTCCAATTCTGTAGGACAGGAGTGAAGCCATCAAGTGCTGAGGCTCAGAGGAGCGTCACTGCCGGAGGAAGAGAAAGGAGGCTGGGAGCTGGAGCATCATTGCTAAGGGGAAGAGAGAGAAGCTTCTAGCAAGACTGGCCAAGGAAAAAGAGAGAAGCTATGTTACCAAGACCCAGAATGAAAGATGGGTAATCACTACAGGTCATACAGACATTAGCAGGATAAAATGGATATGTCTCATATGATATGGTTTGGCTGTGTCCCCACCCAAATCCAGAATTGTAGTTCCCACAATCCTCACGTGTTGTGGGAGGGACAAGGTGGAGATAATTGCATCATGGGGGCGGTTCCCCCATCCTGTTCTGATGATAGTGAGTTAGTTCTTATGAGATCTGATTGGTTTTATAAGGGGCTTCCCCCTTCACTGGGCACTCATTTTTCTCCTTCCTGCTACCATGTGAAGAAGGACGTGTTTGCTTCCACTTCCACCATGATTGTAAGTTCCCTGAGGCCTCCTCAGCACAGAGGAACTATGAGTCACTTAAACCTCTTTCCTTTATAAATTACCCAGTCTTGGGCGTGTCCTTTTAGCAGCAGGAGAAGGAACTAATATGCCAAAAATTTTACATGAACCAATTCCTTGAAATCTACAGACTACCAAAAGTCACGCATGAAGAACTAGACCATCTGAATAATCTTATATTTATTCAAGAAATTAAGTTCAAAATTAAAGATATCTAATAATGACATTTCCAGGCCCAGATGGTTTTGTTGGCTAACTTTACCAAATATTTGAGGATGATAACTACTCTGCAGAATCTCCTTGAGAAAATAGAAGAACACTTCCCAACCCATCTCATGAGGTTAGCATGACTCTAATACCAAAACTAGACAGAGACACAACAAGGAAACAAACCCCTACAAACCAAGATTCTTCATGAACACAGGTGTGAAAATCAACAAAATATAGCCAACCAATTTCAGCGTGACCTGGGCAAGGCACTTAATCTCTCTGAAACAAAATTTTCTTTGGCTTAGGTGAGGACTGAAGCCAGATGTGGTGGCACAGGCCCACAGTTCCAGCTACTTGAGAGACTGAGGCAAAAGGATTGCTTGAGCCCAGGAATTTGAGACTAGCCTGGGCAACATAGTGAGACTCTGTCTCAAAAAGGAAAAAAAAGAAGGTTGATGCTGTCTTTGTGACATCATCATGAGATAATAATGCACCTTAGAATACTTACCATAGAATTGGCATAAGTGTCCAGGGAATTTTGTGTTGCCTTTAGTTTGGCCTAGTCATCTTCCTCACACCACTCTGGCACTTGTCACATGTTGT
The DNA here is from genome assembly GCF_000001405.40 of Homo sapiens. Taxonomy (NCBI): domain Eukaryota; kingdom Metazoa; phylum Chordata; class Mammalia; order Primates; family Hominidae; genus Homo; species Homo sapiens. Next base: position 4,367,593 of record NC_000004.12, read on the forward strand.
GCTTGTGAACTTATTGGAAGACAGAAGCTACTGCTACTGAAGTGGCTTTTGCTGTTGATGCAGGAGCCCTGTGGAGCTTCAGAGTATCCCTCCAGGTCACTTGGGGAGACCTGGGCTGGAGCCAGGTTCAGCACACTCCAGGAGTGGCACAGTTGTCAATTGTGTCATTGGGGCAGTCTCTGATCAGTGCTGTTTTATTAGCAAATACTGAATTCCACTCCAAAAGATATGGCCTGAGCTCAGAGTTTGTTATGGATAAAATCATTCTTCATGAGCAGTAAATATCTATCTCTGGGGGTATTCAGCATCTTGAAGGGGCTGGCTTATGTCTCTCTGTGAATCGATTTGAGTCAGCCCTACTTCCTACCCCTCATTTCCCTGAGCCCACTACGCTCCTAGTTCCCAAAGCCCCCTGATAAATTATTGCACCTGCCTCTTTTCTTGATGGTTTGGGAATCAATAGATTTGTTTTCCTTTCTTCCGCAATGAATGATATGGTTGGGCTGTGTCTCCATTCAAATCTCAACTTGAATTGTATCTCCCAGAATTCCCATATGTTGTGGGAGGGACTCAGGGGGAGGTAATTGAATCATGGGGGCCGGTCTTTCCCATGCTATTCTCATGATAGTGAATAAGTCTTAGGAGATCTGACGGGTTTATCAGGGGTTTCCACTTTTGCTTCTTCCTCATTTTTCTCTTGCCGCTGCCATGTAAGAAGTGCCTTTCACCTCCTGCCATGATTCTGAGGCCTCCCCAGTCACGTGGAACCATAAGTCCAATTAACCTCTTTTTCTTCCCAGTCTCAGGTATGTCTTTATCAGCAGCCTGAAAATGAACTAATACACTGGCTCAGAGTGCAACTGGGTGATGCCTCTTTTTAAAATCCCATAGCCTGAAAAACACTTCCTTAATGTAGGATCCAAACCCACCTCCCCACTCCCAGGGCTGGGCTTTGGTTCACACATCCTGCTGCCCACCTTTTCCTTTCAGCCTCTCTGACCCAGAATCAAGCCATTTTCCACCACCGACCCCTGGGTTTGAAAAGGTCCATCCACCCTTACAGTCACTGAGGGCTGGCATAGAGCTGCAGGGGCCTCTCTAGACATGAGTGTTCTCACCTATAAATTGGAGACACTAATACTCCTCACCTCCTAGGAGGAGCTGAGAGTCGCGAGAGATCATCCAGACAATCAGAAGGACAGGGCCTGACCTATTATCAGTGCTCAAGGAAGGCTAAGACTTACTATTGTTATTGTTTGGGGAAAAAATAATGCTTCCTCTTGTGTCCATAGTGCTTGTGAGTTTGCAAAGTGCTGATTTGTTTTCATTCCATTCCAGCTGGGAGGCAAGCTTGCAAGGGCGGGCCAAGGAGCGGGAAGGCCTCTGATCACAGATGAGGAAGCAGTGCTCCAGCCCCATGGTGGAGTGGGACGTAGCCCAGCAGGGCTGCAGGTCGAATGCCTGAGAGCTTCCCACATTTCTCTAGGGGAAGGACTGGCCAGCCCTTTAAAGAGGGAAACTGGGACTTCCGTGATGGGGCTTGGAGAGCAGAAACTGCACCTATTCATTGTGTTCCTGATGCCCCGTGCTGTGCCTGGTTTGAAAGGATAGACCCTCAGTAAAATATATTGGATGAATGAATGAGTGAGTGAATAAGGGCAAGGCAGGGTGGCTGAGTCAGGGATGGGAGATAGTGGCAATGGAGGGCGTGTGCTTAGCAATACCCTAAGCCCACTGAGTGCTGGGCATAGAGCCACACTGAGCCAGCTTGCATGACATCATCACTGGGATCATCAGTCCCGTTTTACAGATGAGGAAATGGAGACCTGCTTACCAGCAGGGAGTCAGCGAGTCCTACATCTGAGATTGAGTTCAGGCCTGTCTGATTCCCATCACACTTCCCAAATATCCCAGAGGTGTATGTGATGGTGGTTCATCAACGTTCGATTCAGGGCCCTGTTTTCTGTATAACTGCAATGATTCTGCTCATGGGAGCATAAGCCTGAAGCCCCAGATCAAGGCCCGGCAGGGTCCATTTCTGGTGAGGGCTCCCTTCTTGGCTTGCAGACAGCCACCTTCTCACTTTGTCCTCCTGTGGTGGAGAGAGAGGGTGAGCTCTGCTGTCTCTTCCTCTTCTTACAAGGGCACAGCCATATTGGATCAGGGCCCAACCCTGACGACCTCATTTCACCTTTATCACTTCCTCACAGGCTCTATCTCAAAATATGTCACAATGGGGATTAGGGCTTCATCACAGGAATTTGGGGGAGACACAAATATGTAGTCCAGATGGTGAGGTAGGCTGAACAATATCCCCCAAAATCTGTCCACATCTTAATCCCCAGATCCTACAAAAGGCTTCTTAAATGGGAAGAGGAGCTTTGCAGATGTGATTATGTGGAGGACCTTGGAACAGAAAGATGATCCTAGGCTATTGAGGGGGGTCTGATGTCATCCCCAGAGTCCTTATAAGAGGGAGTCAGGGGGAAACAGGCAGAGGGAAGGGCAATGTGAAAAGGGAAACAGAAATTGGAGTGATGTTGGCTGGGCATGATGGCTCACGCCTGTGATCCCTGCACTTTAGGAGGCTGAGGTGGGCAGATGACTTGAGGTCAGGAGTTCAAGATCAGCCTGGCCAACATGGCGAAACCCCATCTCTACCAAAAATACAAAAATTAGCTGGGTGTGGTGGTGTGTGCCTGTAATCCCAGCTACTCTGGAGGCTGAAGCAGGAGAATCGCTTGAACTCAGGAGGCAGAGATTGCAGTGAGCCGAGATTGCACCACTGCACTCCAGCCTGGGCAACAGAGTGAGACTCCATCTCAAAAAAAAAAGAAAAAAGAAAAAAGAAATCGGAGTGACGTATTTCGAAGATGGGGGAAGAGCCACCAACTAAGGAATGCCAGTGCGCCCAGTAGGCAGTGAGAAAGGCAGGGAAGCGACTCTATCTCAGCATCTCCAGAAGGAACCAACACCTTGTCTTCAGCGCAGTGAAGCTGAGTTTAGGCTTTGAGCTCTAAACGGTAAGAGAATTCGCCTGTTCTGGGGTCAGCCTCTCCATTTGTGGTAGGTTGTTACAGCGGCAACAGGGAACGAATACAGCCAGGATTAGGTTTGACGGTGAGCAACAGGAAATCCCAACTATCAGTGGCTTCAACAAGATAATTGGCTACAAAGTCTGTAGGTGGTCCGGGGCCATGGAGGGAGGGGCGCTGCTCCCTGGGGTCGTCAGGCCTGGCTCCTCCCAGGACCCTGCTTCACCATCCTGGGTGGGAATCTTAACCTCATGGCCCAAGATGGCATCCACACAACAGGTGGCATGAGGGAGAAGGGGACAGCAAGACAGGGAGAGGGCTGTGCACCAGTGTCCCTTCTGGAAGGCCTCTAGAGCTGCTGCGTACTTCTCTCATCCCTCTTGCCAGAATGTCATTACAGGGCCACACCTTGCCAAAAGGGAGACAGGACGAGGGGGTTCTTATTTTCTGCAAACACATGCCTGGAGGGAATTTTTATTGCAATGGAAGAAGGGGAGAATAGACGTTGGGGATAACCCACATCTCTGCTGTATTTCACCTGTCTGAGCCGATGCCAGTTGGGAATGTGCTCAGCATCAAGGAGCAGAAATCCTGCCCCAAAAGGGCCTAAGCAAGTAAGACTTCGTTATTCTCACTGAGTGAGAAGTGTCTGGGGGGTGGTACAGTGCAGTTGGCCCAAAGATGACCACACTTTGAGGGTGGGTTTCCAATCTCAGATCTGTAGCCTCAGGGACGGAAGAAGGCTGCTGTGGCTCCAGGTGTCATTTCTTTTCTTTCTTTTCTTTTTCTTTCTTTCTTTCTTTCTTTCTTTCTTTCTTTCTTTCTTTTTTTTTTTTTTTGAGAAAGAGTCTTGATCTGTCACTGGATCAGACTGGAGTGCAGTGGCACTATCTCGGCTCATTGCAACGTTCGCCTCCCAGGTTCAAGCGATTCTCATGCGCTTGCCTCCCGAGTAGCTGGGATTACAGGTGTGCACCACGATGCCCAGATAATTTTTGCATTTTTAGTAGAGATGGGGTTTCACCATGTTGGCCAGGATGGTCTCCAACTCCAGACCTCAACTGATCCGCCTGCCTCGGCCTCCCAAAGTGCTGGGATTACCAGTGTGAGCCACTGCGCCCGGCCCAGGTGTCATTTTTACATGTAAGGCAGGAAGAGGGATGAAGAATACTGCCAGACATGTATGTCCCTTTTCCACAGGAGAACAATGGCTTTCCCACACACCCACAAAGACTGCATAGAGTCCCATTGGCCAGGAGGGGATCTCCTGGAACCTCTCTCTGCAAGGGAGTCTGGAAAGCCAAGGATTTAGCTGTCTAGCCTCTCTATTACATAGTAGATGAAAATCCTTATACCCTTTGCACACTAATTCCATTTCTAGGAATTCCTATACCAACAGTTTCTATCAAAGATGTGCACAGAGAACATGCCCAAAGCCGCTCACTACAGCGTTACTTATTGTGAAGAACCCTAAATATCCCAAATGCTCAACCTGTGCTGTTGGGTCCCAAACTGGGTCCCAGTCATTCAGTGTCTGGCCCCAGCACCTCAGTTACTTAATCTGGAAAATAGAAGAAAATGTGTTTTACCTGTGAGGACGATGGTGAGGACCAGAGATAAGAAACAGAGCTTGTGTGTAGCCGGACACAGTGGCTCACGCCTGTAATCCCAGCACTTTGGGAGGCCAAGGCGGGCGGATCATGAGGTCAGGAGTTTGAGACCAGCCTGGTCAACGTGGTGAAACCCTGTCTCTACTAAAGATACAAAAAATTAGCTGGGCGTGGTGGCACACACCTGTAATCCCAGCTAATCGGGAGGCTGAGGCAGGAGAATTGCTTGAACCTGGGAGGTAGAGGTTGCGGTGAGCTGAGTTTGCACCATTGCACTGCAGCCTGGGCAACAGAGCAAGACTCCATCTCAAAACAAACAAACAGACAAACAAACAAAAACGAAAGAAATAGAGCTTGTGTGGTGCATGGTTGCTGCTCAGTCAACGGTCTCCAACCCTTCCTCCAGCACCAACACATCTTCACCAACCAAAAATATGGGGCCGATGTCAACATGTTCGAAGCACCTTATTCTCTAAGATCTCAGGAGAGTGGAACTCCGCCCTCCAACTCTCTAGACTCTGGAGTGAGAGTTATCTGTGTGACAGCGTGGGGACAACACTGGCTTTGGGGCAAGCTGTCTAGGCTCACATTGGTGGTTAGGTGACTTCATGTTCTCTAATCCTACGGAGGGGCCACTCAGCCGTCTTATCTGTATAACGGGGCAACAGTCCTGACCTCACAGGCAATTGTGAGGTTTCACAAAAAATAAAAAAGTGCCCCCAGACAGGGTCTGGAGCCTAGTAAGCCCCCAAAGAACCACTGGCCTTTTGACTCCTGACAGCTGGTATTGGAGGAAGCGCCCATCTCCTCTGACACAGAGGCACCCACAGTAGCAGAGGGAATACTGTAACACAGTTTCCATTCCAGCTGGAAGTTTCCTTGGCCTAGGGCATCCAGGGCTCCTGGCTAAAAGGTGACCTAATTATTAATGAAAGCTCCAGAGATGAAAGCTAAGACATAATCCACCCCTGAATGGACTCAGAAGGAGCAGATAATGGGACAATAAAATTAATCTTGTAGAAAAACACAATTAGCTGTATCATTTATAAATCTCATCTCCTTCCACATGGGGCGAAGAAGGAGCGACACAGTCAGAGCGCTCTCGGCACAGCCTCCCGTTTTGCACACACAAGTGCCCCTTTTCCTGGGACAACATTTTCCTTTCACATTCAGGGGTCATTGTTGGAGGTTTAAAAACAATCTTCAGAAACCAAGATGACCCAGAGAACGAAGTGAATGGCGCCATCCTATATCCCCCCCATTTCTTGCCCGTTTCCCGTCTCTTCAAAGCAACTGAAGGACCATTTAATGAGAACATGTTGGGGAACAGGCCCTGCACTAGGCCAGGTCCTGGGGGAATGAAGGAGCTCCCTCTCTGCCCTCCCAGGGCTCACAGACCAGAGTGGGGAAAGGAGAGGGCACAGAAAGCTGGAGACAGACCCAAGCCCAGCTCCTCCCTCCCAGCTGTGTGACCTTGAGCAAGTGCTTCACTTCCCTGGGCCTCAGTTTACTCACAGGTAACATGCGGCAAATGAGGGTGCCTCCCTCACTCCCACAGCTGGGAGACGATTAAAGGAGACAAAGTCTGCAGATTGCTCACCGGCACAGGACAGGCCCACGGCAGGCTCAGTCGCTGCAAGTTCAGAGTCATCCTCATCCCTGCCATTCCTCATCTTCCTCCTCATTTTACACCGACCATCTCTTTTGAAAAATTAAGATACACCTGAGGTCAGGAGTTTGAGACCATCCTGGCCAATATGGTGAAACCCCGTTGCTACTAAAACTACAAAAATTAGCTGGGCGTGGTGGCACGTGCCTGTAGTCCCAGCTACTTGGGAGGCTGAGGCAGGAGAATTGCTTGAACTCAGGAGGTGGAGGTTGCAGTGAGCTGAGATCATGCCACTGCACTCCAGCCTGGGCCACAGAGGGAGACTCTCTCTCAAAAAAAAAATAAAGTCCTTAAAATGACCTAAAATTATTAAAAATTTTCAAAAAAGAAAAAAATTGAGATATAACAATTCACATACCATAAAAACTCACCGTTTTGAGGCATAGAATTTGCTGGGGCTTTTTAAGAGTATATTTTACGGTCATGCACCTATCACCACTATTTAACTCCAGGATAGTTTCGTCATCCCCCCAAAACATCCCATACCCAACAGCAGTCACCTCCCACTCCCTCCACTCATCTGTTTTTTGTCTCTGAGGATTTGCCTCTTCTGCATGCTTCACATAAACGAATCACACAGCATGAGGTCTTTTCTTGTCTGGCTTCTTTCACTTAGTCAAATGGTTTCAAGGTTTAATCATGTGGTAGCATGTGTCAGTGTTCCATTCCTTTTTTATGGCTGAGTAATATTCCACTGTACAGCTAGACCACATTTTGTTTATCCCTTAATCAGTGGATGGACATTTGGGTTCTTTCCACCTGTTGGCTATTACGATTAACGCTGTCATAAACATTCATGTACACTTTTTTGTGTGAACTTGTTTCAATCCTCTTGAGTGTATTCCTAGGAGTGGTGTGGCTGGGTCATAGGATGACTCTATGTCTAACTTTTTGAAGAACTTTGATGCTGTTTTCCATAGTGGCTGCACCATTTTACATTCCCATCAACAACGTCTGAGAGTTCCAATTTCCTTGCATCCTTGTCAACACTTATTATTGGCTGGTGTTTTTTGTGGCCATCCTCTGGCCATCTCTTGTATCTCTCCCTCCTGTCCATCTCCATGGCCTTACCCTCATTCCACCCTCGCCTTCTCCAGCTTGGACTGTGGGCGCCACCAAGAGTTTCTCATTCCAGAACTGAGCTCCTGAGGATCTCAGGGTTCCCAGGTCCTCCCATGGGCTTCTTGTGCTTGCCTCTAGTAACTGCAAAGGCTTCTGAGCTGCCCAGTCACTCAGCAGTCGGTAGCATTGCATGGTTCCTGGAACATGCTCATTCCCTTTTGTGTGCCTCAGTTTCTCTACCTGTGAACTGAGGTATTGAACTGGATGAGGGGCTCACACTCAAGCACCCACAGGGCCAGGCAGGCTGGGCAGCCAAGGTGAGTGAGGCACAAGCCCCACATCTAAGGCAGGAGAGGGAATGGTGGGTGCAGGAGGTGGGCAGCCATTCTCCCCATGGAGCTGATTTTTGCCACGTGGGAATGTCTTTGTTGTGAGGTCTCTTAATTTTTCAGAAGAAGGCAGTAAATTTGCGTGTTTCATGAAATCTGGTTTTTAAGTGTTTCCAGTAAAGGCAATTTCCTTCCCTCCCTTCCTCCCTCCTTCCCTTCCCTTCCTTTCTTTCTTTCCTCCCTCCCTTCCTCCCTTTCCTTCCTTCTTTTTTTTTTTTTTCTGAGACAAGTTCTCATTTTGTGGCCCAGTCTGGAGTACAGTGGTATGATCATAGCTCACTGTCACCTCAATCTCCTGCACTCAAGTGATACTCTCACCTCAGTCTTCCAAGTAGCTAGGACTACAAATGTGCTGCACCACTAAATTCACCCGATTGTTTATTATTATCATTATTATTATTATTTTGTAGAGACAGGGTCTCATTATGTTGCCCAGGCTGGTCTTAAACTCCTGGGCTCAGGCAATCCTCCCACCTCGACCTCTCAAAGTGTTGAGATTATGGGCATCAGTCATCGCACCCAGCTGGCAATTTTCAAAACATACAAATGAGTATAGCTCACCCTGCAGAATTCCCGTTTACAAACCCAGAACCGATGATTCTGAAACTTAAGTGTGCATCAGAATCTCCCTGGAGGGTTTGTTAAAAAGCAGCGTTCCTGATTCAGCAAGTCTGGGGTGGGGCCTGAGCATCTGCATCTCTAACACGCTCCTAGGAAAGGCTGATCTGCTGGTCCAGGGACTGCACTTTGAGAACCAGAGCCCTGGACTAATGCTTTCTGGGATCCACCCCAGCTCTCCAATGCAGGTTTATGATTCCAAAACCCAATGTAGAGGCACTGTGCTCAGAGAGAAGAAGCACCGCAAGCTGGCTAGGCTCCAGACAAGTGCAGCAAGACCCATCCCTGTCCTGTCCTGCAAAGGCCACCAGGGAGGGACAGCAGCATTGAGTGGGGACCATGCATCTTCCCTCTGCTGAGCTCTAATCAATCCGGGGAATTTGGACTCGTGAAATGCTTCAAAAACTCTAAACAATGCATATGATGTCCAAATATGTAATATATTCAAACATAAAGGGAAAACACATTAAAAAGTAGAAAAGCTATCTGGGCTCGAGAACCTCCGTATTCATTTCCTGGGGCTGTCATAACAAATTACCATAAACTGGGCAGCTTAAAACAACAGAAACCTACTGTCTCAGAGTTCTGGAGGCTGGAAGTTCAAAATCAAGGTGTCAGCAGGGCTCCATGCCCTCTGAAGGCTCCGGGGAGGCTCCGTTCCTTGCCTCTTCCTTAACTGCTGGAGGCTCCTGGGGATCCTTAGCATCCCTTAGCTGTGGCCGCATCCCTCCAGTCTCTGCCTCTCTTGTCCCACAGCCTTTTCCCTGTGTGTCTCCCTGTGTCCTTTCATTTTTTCTTTTTTTCTTTTTTGAGACAGAGTCTTGTTTTGTCACCCAGGCTGGAGTGCAGTGGTGCTTTCTCAGCTCACTGCAACCTCTGCCTCCCTAGTTCAAGCGATTCTCCTACCTCAGCCTCCCCAGTAGCTAAGACTACAGGCATGCACCACCATACCTGGCTAATTTTTGTATTTTTAGTAGAGATGGGGTTTCGCCATGTTGGCCAGGCTGGTCTCAAACCCTTAGCCTCAAGTGATCTGCCTGCCTTGGCCTCCAAAAGTGTTGGGATTACAGGCGTGAGCTACCACACCCAGCCATGTCCCTTCTTCTTATAGGGATACTAGTTATTGGATTGAGGTCCACCCTACATCCAGGATGCTCTCATCTTAAGATCTTTACCTTTTCTATCTGATTGGACGTATTTCCATAAGGTCACATTCTGTGGTCCCAGATGGACATGAATTTTGGGGGGACACCTTTCAACCCAATACAGCCTCTTTCAGATGTCATTCTGATAAGTTCAGCAATTTGGACTCTCTGCCCATAGCAGATTAGAAACAGTGCACTGGAAAGAGCGAGGGGTGCACTATGAGGATCGCGTCTGCAACCGCTGTGGGGACGGCGGCCACAGAGGCAGCGACAAGGGCAGGGGCAAGCCTAGCCAAGCCTACAGCCTGTGGACAGCCAGTGTGGGGCACGAGTCCCAGCCCATAGCACCCAATCCAGTTCGGTCTATGGTGTTCATGAAGCTGACCTGATTCTTCAGCAAGAGGTTAAATTCTTTCCAACGTCCTCTGTTTTGGAAAGCAGGACGACGTGCTCTGCATTTTAGAATGACTCTGGTCCAAAATGAGGAAAATTAGACCTAGAGGGATAAAAATTCAATCTCTGGAAAATCTGCTCATGAGGACCCCAACCTTATTCCTGAGCTGGGCCTGAGAAACAAGGGGAGAAAAGGTGACAGATTATGAACATTAAAAAAAAAATAAGAAAAATGTCATGTCATGGCCAGAAGTTGCAGGACAGCTCAGGGCCTGTGCATCAGGGCTGGCCTAGGGGTTACGTGCTAATTTCACTGTGCTGTGGCCACCAAGCCCCAGACCCAGCTGCACGGATGGAGGCATTCCAGACGGAAAAGCCCCATTAGGTCATCGCTACGCCGCCTGCAATGCCGTTCAGCCTTCCGCTGTGTAATCTCCAGCACACTCCGGGGAGACTGTGAATTTCAGACACTCTCCCAGGGACCCTGGCTCCACAAAGCATGAAATGAATTGCATTCATCCATCTGTGGGCTTTTAAAAAATTCAATAATTAATTCAAGCGTATGGCGGTATCACTGTTATTAGAATTTGGCCTTTCTGCGGTTCTTTACTTTGGCAAAGTGCTTTTATAATCATTTACTGGCTAAATAATTTAATACGAGTTATTGCTACAAGCTCGAAATCTGGTACTTAGCTGGTGCTGAGGGACATTGGACTGCTTATGAAAAAAGCAGGGGAAGGGCGGAATGGAATTATGTGGCCTTCGTTATTTATCCCCCCGGTCACGCGTGGTCACTTGCTTGACCTCAGTGTGTCCTCGATAACTTTGGATCTGATTCATCCTGGGCCATTCTTGCCATCGTGACAGCGAACACAATGTGGGGGGGCACTTCTCAGGGGGAGGAGAATTAGTTATTCCAGTCCAAACCCCTCATTTTATGGAAGCGGAAACGGAGGTGGGGGCACGCTTTGCCCAAGGCCACATGGCTAGTATGAGGACTAGCATCAGCTCAGGACCGGAGGAGAGTATTCGGCTTTAGGGGATCCTCCCTCCCCACTTTATTACAGTCAAGAAGGGAAAGAGAGGTGTAGCTAGGTCTCCTGTCAGCCAGCATGGGCCGAGAGCAGGGCTGGGCCTGGGGACAGTAGGGGGCTGCATTGTTGCTCGGGAGTCCACCCCTCTGACCGAGTTCTTTCTTTTTTTTTTTTTTTCCTTGAGATGGAGTCTTGCTCCTTCGCCCAGAGTGGAGTGCAGTGGTGTGCTCTCGGCTCACTGCAACCTCCACCTCCTGGATTCAAGTGATTCTCCTGCCTCAGCCTCCCGAGTAGCTGGGATTACAGGGGTGCACCACCATGCCTGGCTAATTTTTGTATTTTTAGCAGAGATGGGGTTTTGCCACGTTGGCCAGGCTAGTCTCGAACTCCTGACCTCAGTGATCCTCCCACCTTGGCCTCCCAAAGTGCTGGGATTACAGGCGTGAGCCACCGCACCCGGACTCTGACCGAGTTCTTGAAGTGCCTGGTTTTCTCCCTCCTGCCAACATATCTTCCCAGCATCTTCTCTTTTTTTAATGTTTTTATCTGCATTATTATTTTTAATTTAATTTAATTTTAAGTTCTGGGATACATGTGCAGGACATGCAAGTTTGTTACATAGGTAAACCTGTGCCATGGTGACTCGCTGCACCTATCAACCCATCACCTAGGTATTAAGCCCCGCATGCATTAGCTATTTATCCTGATGCTCTCCCTCCCCTCGCCCTCACAACAGGCCCCACTCTCTGTTGTTTCCCACCCTGTGTCCGTGTGTTCTCATTGTTCAGCTCCCACTTATAAGTGAGAACATCCAGCATCTTCTTAATAATCATCTGTCACCCAAGCCTCGGTGGCCTCATCTGAGAGATGGACTATGAATAGAAACAGCCCTAGAATGTGGGTTGAGGGCATTGGGAGAAATACCTAGAAAGCACTTTGGTGCTCCCTCTGTATTCCCTGATGACACATGCTATTTAATATGGTCATTTACACCAATGATGATTGTTACCTTATCTGAAAAATGGGTGTAACAGTATCTGTCCTTTCTACTTCAGAATTTTTGTGAAGCTAAAAAAAACAAAGATAGTGACAGGGAAGGTATTTCATGGTCATCATCATCACCTAATTTTTCGCCTGGAGGATGGTTAAAGGGGGTTTCCTCCTTGAGGCTCTAGGGGGCTTCAGGGAGCAAGAAGTATTCTCCTCAGCATTTGCATCAGTAAAGATACCAAGAGGTTGCAGGGGCCACGCCAAATGGGGTCATGTGAGGAGATGTATTTCAAAGAATTGTCTGCAAAGGTGGCCAGGGTGTAGGGCTCAGAAGAAGCGTTCAGTGGCCTGGGCTCGCAAGGGGAGCTATTGCCATCCCTGGGCCAGCAGGAGGAGGGGAGGGGGTGTGACAGGGTTCTGGAAGGGCTGAGGCTGCCTTGGAGGAGAGGTGGCGTTTTTTGAGGAACAGGGTCAGTCTGAGGCAGCCAGGGGACAAATGCCTGTTGGCCAGAGGGCAAGGGAGTCCACTGCAGCGGCCACAGTCCATCCAGCCCAGCTCCTGTCCTAGAGACAGGATCTGCCGGGCCAAGGGCAGAGGCCCGCACAGCACCATTGGTGGATCAGAACAGCGAGGGTGCCTGGGGGTTGGGAGCTTTGCTGTGGAGGCAGGAGTCTGGCCTGGTCTGTGAGCCCCCCTGCCATGGCTCACTGGGGGTAACTGAACAGGCAGAAGTCCAGGGACAGGCTCCACCTCTCCTCTGAGTGGCCGGCAACAATGCACCTTACTCCCTGCTGGCCCAGGTATAAAATGAAGGCATGAACTAGAGGATTATTCAACCTTGGAAAAACCCTTGACCCTAACATAATTGTTCATTCGGTCCACATTTCGCCCCCTCCCCTCTGCAAGACTGTAGAGCTCTATCTTCTGAATTTGACCCTCTCCCAAAAAAAGGCATATTGGATGCACTCTTTAGAAGTTCACATGTGCGGCTGGGCGTGGTGGCTCACGCCTGTAATCCCAGCACTTTGGGAGGCTGAGGCAGGCAGATCACTTGAGGTCAGGAGTTTGAGACCAGCCTGGTCAACATGGCAAAATCCTGTTTCTACCAAAAATACAAAAAAATTAGCCAGGCGTGGTGGCAGGCACCTGTAATCCTAGCTACTCAGGAAGCTGAGGCAGGAGAATCATTTGAACCTGGGAGGTGGAGGTTGCAGTGAGCCAAGATTGTGCCCCTGCACTCTAGCCTGGGTGAGAGAGCAAGACTGTTTCAAAAAAAAGAAAAAGAAAAAGAAGTCCTCATGTGCCTCCCTCCCCTGCCTCTGCTGGGTTTGGGGGCTGGGCTGCTTCTCCGCTCTCCCCTCCACCCTCTCCATGACGCAAATCCTAGACAGGGAGAACATTTCTTGACCTAAATATTTTTCTACTCTAATGTCCTTAATTTTAGAGTTGGACAGGTTGGATTATTTGAAAACAGCCTGGGTTGTGAGAGGAAAATGAGCAGGCCAGAGGAATTTGGAGCTGCCAGCATCTTGGAGGTGAGCATCCAACCAAAGAACACTCAGCTTCTGCTGCCTTTATGCCCATCGATCACCCCACATTGCAAGGTTCTCATCACAAATCCAGAAATAGGACTCCAATGGGGAGTATTTGTAAATCATCTTTTCTTAGATAACAAATCCTGGAGCTGAAAGAAAACATGTGTGACCATTCTTGTCAATTTACAGATGAGGAAACGCAGGCCACAGAGGGCTTTTCACCAAAGCCTTTGGCTGTCTTTTTCTTGCTCCCACTCCCCCAAGGTCAAGTGCCTCACAGCCAAAGCAAAATGGATCTTAGAAATAATTTGGGAAAATCAGGAATTGCTGAGTGGTTCATTAAGACTATAAGACAAAACAGCAACAACAAGCAAACAAAATCCCCAAACCCCCAAACTAAACACGCAGACACAATTCTGTTTAAATACATCATCGGTCATCAAATGATTCTGAGCCCCATAATCGTATTTACCCAGTGAAAGCAAAGAAGTAGAGTGAGTCCATTCATTTCTTAGCCATTTACTGAGCGTCTCATGTGGCCAAGCGCTGGGAAACACAAAGGTAAATAAAACGCTGGAGAGCACTAGAAACTATATTTATGATTTCATTTATATATTATGTATTTTAAATAATAACATTTGGGGTTTTCCAGAAATGGGTATTTTGCAGTAAGGTGAACTCTAAGAAGAGAGCATCACAACGATGTCATGGGCAAACCTGCCTTCGGTTTTAATTAGACCATGAATTTTCTTTTCTTTCTTTCTTTTTTTTTTTTTTTTTTGTTCTTGTTCTGTTGCTGAGGCTGGAGAGCAGGGTGCAATCACAGCTCACTGCAGCCTTAAACTCCTGGGCTCAAGCGATCCTCCCACCTCAGCCTCCTGAGTAGCTGGGGTCACAGGTTTGTGCTACCACACCTGGCTAATTCTCTCTTCCCTCCCTCCCTCCCTTCCTTCCTTTCTTTCTTTTTCTTTTTTTTTTTTTTTTATGGGGGTCCACTTTGTTGTCCAGGTGGTTCTCAGACTCCTGGGCTCAAGGGTTCTTTCCACTTCAGCCTCCCAAAGTGCTGTGATTAAAGGGATGAGCCACCAGGCCTGACCTGACTTTCTTACTATGCACTTGAATTCGAATTTACACCTCTGATGTTCATGTCTTACTTTACTGTGAATGTAAGCTAAGTGGATGCCTATTCAATTAAGCAAACATTTCCTGATTACCAGGCCATGCTCTAGACAGGGGGGATATGGAAATGAAAGATTAAGTGGTTCTGCCTGATTTGCTCATGATCTATATAGAAATGTAAATACCCAGACTCCGGGATAGAGGAGCATAAAGAAAGGCCAAGCTTCAAAGAGGAGGCAACATTGGATCTGGGCTTTGGAGGATGAGGAGCAGTTTGCAAAATCGATGAGGAGTGGGGAAGGCAATCTAGGCAAGAGAAGCAGCATTTGCAAAGGCCTGGAGGCAGGCACTTGGGGGAATGGAGAATTTGGCTACAGGACAGGGTTTAAGGAGAAACAGGGATGACTTCACCCAGGTGGGCTGATTCTTCACATTGCAAATGGATTGTCCCATTTGCAGAAAGATCCAGAGCCTAATGTCTCTCCCGATTCTGTGTCAGTGTGCCGGCTGATCCCAGTGTGCCGGCTGGTCCCAGCGTGCCGGCTGGTCCCGTGGATTGAGAAGTGGACCCAAGAAACTTAAAACCATCAGAGATGAGGATGTGTGCAGGGAGTGACTGTTGTGGGATGCAGGTTTCTTTACGGGGTGATGAAAATGTTCTGAAATTAGTGGTGATGATTGTACAACCTTGTAAATATACTAAAACCAGTTAAGCGTATACTTTAAACTGGTGATATCTGTGGCATGTGAATTACATCTCAATCTAAAAACAAGACATTTGGATGAAGCATCGCTGGATCGACGTGGCCAGGCTGCAGAAAAACAGAGCAGAACCTCTGCTGATCACCTGCCACTGAACCTCCATAGGCTGACAGCACTGGGTGGCCACCCTCCCAGCAGGACCTCATCCATCCTGGAGATCTGGCTGGCTGTGGGAGGCCTGACTAGATCCTGCAACCCATCCCAGCTCTGCAGGGAAGCCTGTGGCCGGGGACTCATCATTTGACTTCTGTGACCTGCAAAGAGGCTCATGAGGCCTCTAGGGGAAGAGTCACCTTAGTCACTCTGAACACTTGTCACATAACCAGGAAAAGTGTCTATCACCTCGCCCTGGCTCCAGCACCGGCTGCTAAGAATAGAGACCACAGGAGTACAGAATTAGAGGTCAAAGCAATAGTAATACCTAAAACAGGCACTTAAAAAAATAAGAATAGCTCATTTGATTCTCACAACACTGCTCTGATGGAGGTTTCATTATCTCCATTTATAGATGGGGAAACTGAAGCATAGAAAGGTTAAGCAGCTTGCCTGAAGTCACACTGCTAGGAAGAGAGGGACAGGATTCAAAATCGGGCCACGGCTTAGCCACTGTGTCACATTGTCTCTTGCTGTGACAGTCTGGACTTCAACCAGTGGGACAAGGGAAGTTGCTAAAACGCTTGGACCTGGAAGTACCAGGGTCATTAGAGAGCAGCGCCTGGCTGCCCTGAGGAGAGGGAGCAGGGTAGGAGTTACAATCGTACAGGCAGTGATGGGTCTGTGCCTGAGATCAGCAACCCTGGAAGTATTCCTAAAAGAGTCATTTAGGGCCAGGTGCAGTGGCTCACTCCTGTAATTCCAACACTTTGGGAGGCTGAAGCAGGTGGATCACGAGGTCAGGAGATCAGGACCATCCTTACCAATATGGTGAAACTCCGTCTCTACTAAAAATACAAAAATTAGCTGGGAGTGGTGGCACGTGCCTGTAATCCCAGCTACTCAGGAAGCTGAGGCAGGAGAATCACTTGCACCAGGGAGGCGGAGGTTGCAGTAAGCTGAGATCACGGCACTGCACTCCAGCCTGGCGACGGAGCAAGACTCCGTCCCAAAAAAAAAAAAAAAAAAAGAGTCATTTAGAAAAACTGAGTATGTGTCAACAATCTTCTGTGGCACTTGGATTTTAAATTGTTGGTGCTGGGATGAAACTGGTCCAGGGGGAGATCGCATCCCATTGATTTTCCCTTTTTGTATGTTGTGAAAATACCTGACATCTGTTTGACCTGCAACCACCATTGCAGCCTCAGCCATCCCCATTTTGGTGGCTGTGGCTTCTTCAACCTAATTTCTGCCACCCTCTGTGAATGACTTGGGTTCTCCAAATCACCACACCCTTGCAAGCTTAATGCCTGTAGTGAGCTGAATGGCGACCCTTAAAAGATATGTCCACATGCTAACCCCGGGAACCTGATTTACCTTACATAGTAAAAGAGTGAACATTATCTTATATGGCAAAGATAGGATTAAGTTAAGGATTTTGAGAGGGAGACCTTATCCTGGATTATCCCAGCAGGCCCTAAATCCTATGATGAGTGTCCTTATAAGAGACACAGAGAAGAGGAGGAGGCAATATGACTGGAGTGACATGAAGGCAGAGATTGGAGTGATGCAGCCACAGTCAAAGAATGTCTGGAGCCACTGGAAGCTGGAGGGGGAAAGAACAGGTTCTTCTCTGTGGCTTGTAGAGGGAGTGAGGCCCTGCTGGGACCTAGACTTTAGACTTCTGGCCTCCAAAGCCAGGAGAGAACATGTTTCTATTGTTTTAAGCCAAATTTGTTCCAACAGTGGCAGGAAGCTCATATACTGTCTTAACACATTCTGTTCTCCTACCTGGAATGCCTTCCCCTCTGCACGCACCTCTCTCAGGCCCACCTGTAGGAAGCTTTATCCACAGTCTTTACCCACAGTCTCTGGATGTCCTCCCTCCTGGCAAGAGGCAGAGGCCACTCTCCCACAGGGCCACTGCTCCCAGCAAAGACTTGCCCTTGTCCGTAGCTCCCTGCGGGTGGCGCTGTGTCTCATGCATTTTGCATTGTCCATGCCCTTCACAGGGCCCAGATACAATCAGCAGAGGAAGAAAACCACAGGATGAAACAGTCCCAATGACCAGCACCAGTGAAGACCCAAGACAGCACAAAAGGCCAGCTAGCAGAGAAACATGATTGTTCACCGTCCATCTCTGGGACAACCTAGGTCCTTCTTGCCTTTCTGTCCTCCTCAGTTGACAGAGTCTCTAAGGGAGGGGCAGGGCCTCCACTTTGTTCCTCCTGGTGTGGAATTCTGACCAAGTGTGTGTGTGTGTGTGTGTGTGTGTGTGTGTGTGTTTGCGCGCGCGCGTGTGTGTTGGGTTCTGTTAAATGCTTGAGCCTGAGACGGGGGGCGGGGCGGGGGGGGGTGCGGGAAAGCCATTTCCTTGCTTAAGCCCAAAGGGTTTCTCCTGACCAGTGGGTCACTCTCATGGCAGATGCCTGGGCAGATTTCTGAAGTGGAGCAAGAGAAATCTTCTCTTCTTCACCTGCTTCAGGGAGGCATCAAAGTGCCAAAAAGGTGGGTTCTGTGGGTCCCCGAGGCCCGTGGCAGGGGCCAGAGTCTGACACCCGCTTTCCCTGGGTTGGGGGCGGGGTGCCTCTGCCAGGAGCCTGGGTTCAGACCAGGCTGGCCTGTGGTCAAAGGCACACTTAGACCCTGGCTGGAGAGTTGGGGCGAGTTACGAGATACCCACTAGGTCACCTGTCAAAGACGGCTAGCCCTCCTGGGGATTTTGAAATCAGGGCACCCGCGGCAAGTTCCCAGGCTGTGCCTGGGGCTCAAGGCGGTGGCTGCTCCTGTGCTCTGGGCTTATTCCCAGGATTCTCAGACGGCTGATGGAAAACGCCCCGGACCCTCCGTAGTGCCGCGGGGAAGTCCCCGGAAAGGGTGTGAAAAAGTATCGAATTTGGGTGATGCCTCCTCCTCGTCCAGCGCCTGACAGGGCCCAGCTCCTGGCCCAGGTGCCCAGGAGGCACCGATCCCCGCAGCCGGCCTCCTCCCGCGCGGGCTCCACTCCCATTTCGGCCTCGCCCCCACACCCCATAGTCTTTCATCCGTGAGTCCTGCAGGCAGGACGGGTTGGAGGTCTGCAAACAGGACCCTCTCTGGGAAGCCGCGACAGCGGCTGAGCTCGGGGTTTGGGGGCGCAGGTCGGGCTAGAACCACCCCCCTTCTCTCCGCGTCCGGGCATCGTCCCAGCGGCCCCTCCTCTGTGCCCAGGATGCTCGGGCGGCGGCTGCAGTGGGACCTCCACCTTCTCTGCCAACCAGAGCGGAGGAACCTTTCCGCCTCCCTCCAAGCGGCGCACTGAGCGCTCTTTGCCTAGAACGACTTCCCTCCCGCTGCCTGGGGCAGCCTCACCCTGGGCGCCCACACCCCAGCCCTGGGAGAGCGCTACTCCGCCTCCCGCACCACCGAAAACCTCCTCCTCCTTTACGGGCCGCGCCTCCTTTACGGGCCGCGCCCCCTTTATACGCGGACGCGCCCTCTTTTGGTCGCCCCCTCCCCAACCCAGCACTAAGGAGCACCCTGCTCTGGTCTCCGCCACCACCCAGCGCCTCCTGGACCCATCCCCCCAAACCCTTGAACGTCCTCAGGACCCCCAGGTGAGCGCGGCGCGCTGCGGGCGGGGACCCTCTCTGCACCTCCCCGCACCCCTGGGGGTCGCTCTGTCCCTACGGTCCCCGCCTCCCCTTTCTCCTTTCTAAGCGCCTCGCGCCCAGGCCGCCGCCCGGGGTGGCGCAGCCCGCAGCCCTCCCGCTCCGGGCGCCCTCCGCCGCTCCGAGACCCCCTGGGGGCGCGTCCTCTCCCGCTCCCCTGTTCCCTCCCCCGGCTCAGGGCGGGCGCGTGGTCCCAGGGGAGGCTCCCGCCCAGCCCCGCACTCCTTTGTGCGGCCGGGCGGGCGCTGCGTCAAGGTGGAGGCGCGGCCACACGCGCGCACCCACCCGCGCGCACCCAGCCCCCGGGAGAGGCAGGAAGGGAGGCGGCGGCGCGAGGAGGAGGGAGCGGCCGTGGAGCCCAATCGTTCGCTCCCCTTCCCGGGTCCGCGCGCGGCGCCGCCTCCGCCATTGCTGCGAGCAGGAGCAGGAGACGCGGAGCTCGGAGCGCTCAGCTGACCTGCCGGAGCCGGGCGTGGGTGAGTGCGGCCGGCCGCGCCTGGGCTTGCCGAGGCCAGACCTTGCCCGCCCAGGAGCAGTGCCCGGGGGATGCCCATCTCCCGGAGTACGCGGGACGGGGCTGTGAACAGCGGGTCGCCCGGGTGCGGCGGCCCCAGGACCGGGGACCGGGTCTGGAGGTGCTGGGCAGGGGCGGCGCCCCCTTCCCTGGCCGCGGTGCGCCCTTGCGCCCGGCGCTTGGGTCCTGCGAGATGAGGGTCTAGAAATACACAGCACCACCCGACCCCCGCATCGGGCCGTGACCACCGCGTCCCCACGAGCCCTCCCCGAGACGAAGCGGGGCCGGGGAGCTCGCGGACGCCGGGACGCCGGTGGGTGTGGGTGCCCACTTCCCCCCCGCCCCGCCCCGGGTCTTGCTTGTGGTGACTCCCCCCGGCCCTCCCGCCGCAGGCTGCAGCCTCGGAGCTCCCGGAACGATGGTGAAGTTGGGGAACAATTTCGCAGAGAAGGGCACCAAGCAGCCGCTGCTGGAGGATGGCTTCGACACCATTCCCCTGATGACGCCCCTCGATGTCAATCAGCTGCAGTTCCCGCCCCCGGATAAGGTAAGCCCCCCCACGCCCCTCCACGTTGCCGGGTGTGCACCCCCAAATCTCGCACGGCGGGCGCAACAAAAGAAACGCGCCGCGTGCGCTGGGTACGCGAAGTGGGGGCGGGCTCGGGAGGCCGGAGGGAGCGCGGCGAGGACAGTGTACCCGCGCGGGATTCTGGATCGCGGGATGCTGGGCGGGGGAGGGGAGCCCTGCCTTAGATGATATTCTCGTCCTGACAGTGGAACGCGGTGGGGCAAGATTCCTTCGCGTTTTTCCTGGGAGCCTCATCCGAGAGGGCCCTGGCCCCGCAGCTGCCCTGCTCCTCCCTTGCCCCGTGGCCCCAGGGGCTCTGGATCGGGGGTGAGCCTAGGGGCGGGCGAGGCTGCCCCTGTACCTTCCCGGGTGTGGCAGTTCAGCCCGACTTGCCCCACCGAGGCGGGGGAGCGTTCTCCTTGGTCAGATGGCCCCTCCCCAGGGCTGAATTGTTCTCGCCCTTTCTGCCTGCCCCTGCCAGGCTGGCGCTAGGTGCAGGAGGGTGTGCGCGCTCACACAGGGTCTCCTTCCTCTTTGTTCCTTTTGTGAAATCTCCAAATAAGTGCCCGGGCTCGCTCAGTATTGGTGTCACTGGGAAAAACCATTCATCAACCTTTCCCCAAAGTGTTTTCTGCTGAATTTAAAGAATCTCCTCTTTTTGAATGTAGCATCCAATTAAGTAGTTTCTGTTTGCTAAGAATAATATTTCCAAGAGTTAACACTTAAAAATGTAAATAGATCTTTGCATGTCTAGGCAATTGTACTGTAAAATTCACATCTAAGACCATAGACACAGCATCTACTCTCAGCATCTTGCTGCCGCTTACGAACCACCACAGCCACGAATAATTCCCGGAAGTGCTTTTCTATTTATTTTCTCATTTAGTCCCTGGTGAAGGGGCTCTGAGCCAGGGCTCTGTCTTCGTTCCAGCAAGTTGGTGATTGCTGACGGGGTGGGTGTTGTGGGGTGGGGGTGTCCTGGTGGGGGCCCTGACCCCTGTGAAGGTGTCCTCCCAGCTTTATTGTGTGTGTCGTCTGGGGAGGGAGGCAGGAGCCGGGAAGAGGCTGGCAGCGGGGGTTTCAGTTCAAGAAAGGGGGATCAGCCGGCCACACCTGTGCCCCCCAGGCCACGGTGGTGCCACTCTGGGCCACTGATGGTCCAGGCTAGGCTTTGCAGGAGGGGCAGGGCTGCCTGAGGCCTCAGCTTCCACTCCACCCCTCCCTGTCTAGGCATCAGACTCGTCCAGTTAGCGGGGCCTGGCCCCGAGGCCCCCACACCCCCTCCTGCCTGGGCCCCCAGCTGCTCGGCTGAGGAGCAGTGGCGCCTGTGCCAGGAACTCCGTGTCCTGAGGCAGCACCTCTATCAGGTGATTCCCCTCACTTGGCCTGAGCCTCCTCTCTTGTCCTCAGTCTGTTCCATTCCAGAACCATTTGGCACAGTTGGTTTATACAGGGAGGAGGGTTTCAGGCAGGTATGAAATCCTCACCAACTAATTAGGTCGACCAGGAGTAGCCTAGGCAGCTCGGAAAGGTGATGAGTCTGCTCTCTCTGCAAGCGTCCGAAGCGGGGCAGCCAGCAGGGATGCTCTTCTCGGGTCCAGCCAGACCTTCCATCCCGGACTTCCCGCCGGGACTGAGTGTGGGTACAAGGGTTATGGCTCTTGGGATCATTTTCCAGAAGGCTTCTAAGGTCACAATGAGGGAACTGAGCCTCAGAGCATTTATGGGACATACCCAAGGTCACTGGGCTGAAGGTTACAGTCCTCCAGGATGCAGAAGTTTCTGGCAGTGCCTCTTACTCCACTGTGCTTGGAGCCAGATGTCTCTCACGTAAGACCTCTCTTAACCTGAACAACAGCAACGTGTTGCTAACGGTCAGAGTTCAGGGAGGCGATGTCACCTGTTTCAGGTGACATGGCTTCTGAGGGGTGGTGACACAGTTGGGTTATAAATGAGAATCTGTTCTGAGAACGTGTATGGAGTGCTGAGGTGCTGGGGTGCAGCGGTGACAGCAGTCACAGTGCTGGCAGCAGAGTCAGGGCTGGTCTCCCCTGACATTTGCCAGACACTTATTCTGCACCAGGAACTATTCTGCCAGTTTTACAGGTTTAAATTCTTTTAATGTGTTGATAATGCCATGAGGTCACTACCATGTTACCCCCATTTTGCAGATGTGGAAATGCAGGCACGGAGAGTTTGAGAATTGCCCAAGGTCACCTAGCCTGTTAGTGGCAGGTGGGGATAGAATCCAGGTCGACAGAATATTGATGGGGCCCCCACATACGGGAGAGGTTTCCATGGGTTTCCTCATCCTCAGCAGTAGCCTTATTTCCCATTCATTGGCCAGTCTAGGCCTGCGTGCTCAAGGTCACATGGCTAGTTGGGTCCAGTCGGGGTTTGAGGATGGCAGGGTGACACCCAACCACTGCCTCAAGCAATGAGTGCCTCACAGGGGTGGGTGCCCAGGCCAACCCATGCCAGGCACCCCTCCCTCTCCACCGCAGGAGCACTGGGTGGAAAAGGAGTTGGGGTCAGAGGCCAAGAGTGTGGTTACAAGGTTTATGGCTCTTGGGATCATTTTTCAGTGACCCTGGAATGGGCTCCGCTGTTCTTTCTCCCCAAGGCTGGCTTTGGGGGTCGTAGCACCGGATGAGAGGCCCTCTGGCTGCCCGCCTGGGGCTGACCATCCCCAGTTGCTGGGGTCTCTTTGTTCTGTCCTGGTCCCCACCATCGTGGAGAGCAGGTGACGGACTGCCCAATGAAGGGGCCTCGTCCCTCGGGGGAGAAAGAGCTTGGAGGTGGCTGGCTGTCTCTAGTGCAACAGCCTCTCCTGGAACCTGGCTTGGGGAGCGGGGTTTGGGGATTAGAGACCTATAACACCTTGACCCTGCTCTTGAACACCTCCCAGTCCAGTGGGACAGAGAAGTAAACAGTCCCTGGCAACGGGTGTGGTGAGTGATGAAGGCAGCGCCGCTGAGGCCAGGGCTGTGAGTGTCCAGGGCTGGGAGGCTTCTTGGGTCCATCTGAAGCTGCTGGGGTGTAGGGCAGATGCAAGGGCTGGTTTCCAGGTTGGACAAACATCGTTCTGCTTCACAGTAGGGGGTGGAGGGGAATGAGAGCAGGGAGACCCTTTGGGGGCTGTGGCAGGGGCAGGGGGAGAGGAGGATGTGGGGGTGGAGACAAAGAGGTTGATCCTGGATCTGTTTCCAGACAAGCTGGTGGCCAGCTTCTCCAGCCAGTCCTGGAGGGCTGTGGACAGTACCCTCAGACCTCCTCTTCTTGTGCCCATGGTGGCACAGCAAGGCCAGTGAAAAGGCAGGTGCAGCCTCCCAGCTTCCTGGGCCAAGCCAGGCTTTGGCTCTGGTGGGTGGAAGGAGCACTGGGTTAGGAGTCAGCTGCCAGGCTGCATCCCCGCCCTGCCGCCTATAAACCGCATGACCTTGGCCAATGAGCTTAACTTCTGTGCCCCTCGGTTATAATATTTCCCTCCTGGGACTGCTATCAGGATTATGAATGGGTCATTTCTCTGAAAGTCCTGCCACAGAGGAGATTTCCAAAAAGTAGTGGCTGTTCTCGTTCTTGTGAATTTCTTCCTGGCAAATGGTGACTTTGAATATGGGAGTTCCCAGACCCACCCTCTTTGGGCAGATATGTCTGAATGCATCTGACTTTTGTTTCTCTGTTTCCTGGATAAGGTGGTCGTGAAAACTAAGACCGAGTATGAACCTGACCGCAAGAAAGGGAAAGCACGTCCTCCCCAAATTGCTGAGTTCACCGTCAGCATCACGGAGGGTGTCACCGAGAGGTTTAAGGTGAGTGGTCCTGTGCTGGGTGAGATGCTGCTTTTGCCCCCAGAAGGGGTCTGCTGAGCTGCATAGATGCCCTGCAGGGAGGGCCAGGGTTTGACGCCGTTTGTCTGGGCTCATCCCAGCTGTGCACACCCAGTAGCTTGTGACTGCCTGCCAAGATGTTGTCCTTGTGCTTTTTGTACATTTCTTTTTTCTTTTCCTCTTCCAAAATGATCACATATTACTTATTTTTATAACAGGGGAAACCCACCCACAAACTGTCTTTTAGGCAAAGATTATAAACATATGAAAAATCACTTACCAAACATTACAATATTTACTTAACAGTTCCAGGAAGGAAGCAGGCAATAACAAAAAGATAACGCACAGCACTGATCACATGCCAGAAAGGGGTCCCAGCCCTTTACCTAGTGAGCTCATCTGAGCAACCCTCCTGGCACACCAGTACTATCGGTATAACCCATTTTGCAGATGGAAAGGTTGAGGCACAGAGTGGTCACAGCTCTACACAGCAGAGCCAGGATCTGATCTGCAGGGGGTCTGGCTTTGGGCCTGTGTGTATCCTCCATCCTTCCCCCCATCCCAATGGGATGAAGGGGTGCTGCTGAGAGCGGGAGGGTTCCAGCCTGTCTCGGTGGGAGGAGCCTTCTTGCCAGCCTGGCTGCCTTCAGAGGCCACGTTGGTTGAAGAACAAGTTGGGATATTGATCAGGAAACTCATTCTTTGGGAAACATGAGAGAGAGAGAGTAAAGCGGTAGCCTCATCCAGATTCAAGGAGGTGAATTGAGAGACATCAGTGGGCCCCAGGCCTTGCAGAGTGGCCCTGTCTGGCTCTCTGGTCACCCTCCACTTGGCAGTGTGAGCAGTTTGCTTGTGCTGGGGGCACAGGGACTCCCACCCCCACCCGCTGCAGTTTCCAGAGCCCCTGTGGGTATGGCATCATATTGGATCTCTGTGACAACCTTGTGGATCACAGAAGGTGGGACTGGGAGCCATCCCTGGTTAACAGATGAAGCCAAAACCACAGAGTGACTGGGGAAGCCAGGGCGTAATCTGACTTTCAGTCCCTCCTTCTTCCCGTTGCCACACACTGCCTGTCAGGGCCTGCCTGGTCCAGCGGGTCCCATGAGTGTTGCTGTGGGGCAATTACTTGTGTCAGCTCAGCAAATCCTCCCAGCAGCCCTCTGCCTGCTCCCTACTAATAGTAGGTACTATTTGTATTACCAGTGTTACAGATGGGGAAGTCGAGGCACAGAGCAGTCTGTGTCTGTCCCTGCTGGTATGTAAGGATGTCGTGTGTGCCGAGAGGCTCTTTTGGTGGCTCCTGGCTCGGCCCATCGTACGTTTTTGAGGTTCTTGGCCAGGACCAAGACATACTGATCCGAGGTCAATACCTGTCTTCTGCGCTGGCCAGTGGGATTAGCGCGTGCCTTATCTGCTGCCACTCACCTGTCCTGCCCCATTTGCACCCTGGGTTTGGCTGCTGTCCCTGGTTGAGGCAGGAGTGGCCTTGATTTCAAGGTCATGGTGTCCTCTGTCCTGATGGCTAAATGCTGTGTGATGTCTGAGTGTGTCTGGGTTTCTCAGGCCCCACTTGCCCTTTGCTTTCCCAGCCCCGGCGTTTTAGGTCCCCACAGAGCAGGGCGCAGTGCGGCACTTGAACAGCTATTCCTTCATCTGTTGAGTGTCTATGATGTGCCAGCCTCTGTCCCCGACCTCTGGTGTTCTTCATTTGCACTTTTCCCACATGACCACCTGAAGCAGGTCCCCAGGTCTCTTGCCTAAGGAATGGGTGATGCATATTTGCCACCAGGGCCCTTGGCAGCCTTGGCTGGGACTCTGTGGTTACCTGGCCCCTGTTGCCCAGAACCTGAAGGCTCAGAAGACCATGGGTGATTATGCTCATCCCAATAGACTGGCTGCTGGCAGCAGAAGCCCTGCCTCATCTCCCTGCCTCTACCTCCTGTGGCTGTCTGAGAAGGCGATGTATGCAGTAGGTGCTCAGTACATGACTATACTGGACTAAGTCTGCTGGGTGTGTTCCTCTGCTTAGTTTTCTTTTCCTCCTTTATGATTCACAACTGCCCTGAAGGGGTGGCATCGGCCCCTTTACACGTAAGGCTGTTGAGTCCCAGGTGGTCCCAGGGTGGCTGGGGTGCTCCCTCTGTGACTCTCTAGCTTCAAAGCCAAGGCCTTCCCAACATACCTTGCACCACATCCCTCCCCACTCCCATGGGACGCCTGCTGCTTCCCAGACCCCATCCCTTCCATCTCCTCCCAGGGCAGGTGCAGATCACACCTCTGCCAGGAAGCCTCCTGGGTCACTCTCATTTGCAACAGACCTCACCGCCCTGTTTCCAGTGCCTTTTGTAGCCAGGCTGCAATGGCATCTAACAGTGACGGAGTGATCCATGAGCTAGACTCTGCTTCACACTCCTAATGCTCATATTGTCTCATTTAATCTTCATAAACACCTCAGGAGGTAGGCGCCCTTATAGCTCCATTTTACATAGAGGGGAAACTGAGGCAGAGAGCCTTGGCAGCCTGCTCTTGGCTGTGGCACCAGAGGTCCTTGGTTTCTTGGAGAAGTGGGTTTGTGTGGGAGCACTCACCCCAGGCGCCATCGCTGTTGAGCCATTCCACTTCTTCAAATCCTTTTCCTTTGTTGATTCAAAACCCTTGCTCTGCTGCCTTGAGCCACACAGAATGTGCGGCGCCCTCCTTCCCCATCCCCAAGGCCTTCAGAGACATGGCAGGCACAGGTACCCCGGAAGCCTCCCCAGTGTACAGCTTCTTTTTCTCTTGTGTCTTTCTGAGTCCTGGTTTCCACGCTCCCTTCCCCCAGGTGCTCTCTTTTGAGGGTCTGGGTTGGGCTGTCTTCTCTTTGGGTGTGAAACCTGTGACTGGGTGTCCTGGCAAGGTCCATTGGTGTGGCCCTTCCAAGCATAGGCCCCCTCGACCTGAACTGGTGACCCGAGGAGGGGAACAAGGCCATGGAGACCCCCTGAGCCAAGAATGTCAGCCAAGAATGAATGCTTAGGGACTCTTTGTGCAGACGGAACTTACTCATCAGCCGCTCTATGCCAGCCATGGTAAGAGCTCCTTGATATCATCTCTCTGGCGCTTCTTGCACACACAGTAACAGCTTGATAAGTAAATGGATGACTAATTGTGCTGCTGGCCTCCCATGAATGGGGTACTTGGCGAGATTTCCTGGGTCTGCCCGTGGGTCCTTGCTTGTTGAGTAAGTTCAGCTGGCAGCTCATTGGATTGAAGCCTCTCTCGGGGCCATGCTTACGCGTAAGCCTCTAACAGGTGATGCCTGTCAGCTCTCACCAAGTCAGACAGGTGACCTGCTCAAGACCACACAGTCAGTGAGTGGCAGAGGCAGAGTAGGAGCTGGGCAGCCGGCTCTAGAAGCCTGTTGCTGTGGCATACTTCAGCCCACTAGCTTGCCCAGGAAGCCTGCAGGCTGGACTTTCGCAGCTGAACAACTTGCATTCTAAGGGCATCTCTTCTCTGTGCCTGCTCCGAGCCCCTTCTCAACTGGGAAGGAGATTTACCTAGCTCCCTGCCCACTTGCTGTGGGGTGGATGTGAGAGGCAGCCTCCAAAGTGCTGCTTCCCCAGGTGTTTCTGGAGCCACCTGAGTCAGCATCACCTGAAGTTTGATTTTAACTTGGACCCTGAACCGCAGGGAGATGCGTTTTGACAAATGCTTTCCAGGTGATCCTAATGTGTCCTGAGTTTTCGAGCCTTTCCGATGGGGGTGCATTCCAGCACAGAAGCTGGGAAGGATGAGGAGGGCTGGTGCTTTTTGGGAATGCTAAGGGTGCCCACCTTTCTGGAATGTTCTCCCAGCTTTTTATTACCCAGTTAGATTTCTGGCATCCCTGAACGCGTGCACACAATGAGGCGTGTGTGAAGCTGCAGCTGGTTGAGGGCTGGGCGGGTCTCTCTTTCTGAAACGGGAGCATATGGGGAGCAGGCTATGCTGGAGACACGGGCATGATGGAGGGTCCGCAATAGAGATTCACCCTCCCTGGCTTGTGTACCCCCCTGCCAGGGCCCAGTCGAAGCTGTGGTTGGGACAGAGCATCTTCCTCGTCCCACTAGTGACTGGACAGCTTCTGTGCAGCTCCCTGGCCCAGCCATCATCTTAGCTCTTTCATCTCCATGCATGAATTGCAGGAATGGAATCTCGCCTTTCCGATCTTGAAGTGACAGGTAAATCGTTTGTCCCCTCCTCTCTCCAATTTGTGTAGCTCAGAAGCACCTCATCTTTATAGGCGTTTGGATGGCATCCTTGAAACGGAGTGTCTTTTTGCATGCAGCTTTCTGATTGTCACTTGGGGATTAATCTCTTGGCTGTGAGGTTACTAGGCTGGTTGCTAGGTAACTGCTGACTGGGAGAAGGTTCTGAGAGACTCCGCCACACGGGATGGCAGGAGGACTCCCCCAGCGGCGGCCAGCTGCTTGGGCTTCCAAAGAGGTTCTTGTCAAGGAAAGCAGTCGCTTAATTAACTGGAGGCATATTTACAGTGAGAATAAACACTGGCTGAGATGTTTCTCAACCAAACCTAAACATTTTTGAAATTGCACTTCCCCACTGATGCCTGCAGAGTGGCGGGTCGGGGCTGCTGGGGCCGCTGCTTGCAGTTCTCCTTCCGGTCTGGAGACTGTCATTAGGGGCCGTCATCAGACAGGTGACAGGAAGGCTCCCTCAGGGCCCGCTCCAGCCCTTCGTGCTTCGTGATTCCGGTGATGACCGGTTGCTGACGCTGGAGAGGTCTCCACACCCTGTTTGCCTGTGATGTGAGGTCAGGTTTGGGTGGTCCAGCCTTGACCCTCACCGGGTACCATGTCACCCTGGGGCCTTGAGAGATCTGAAGGTCGGCTTTGCACGGGAACACCTTTCACCGCCAGCACAGGGCTGGGGAGTGACTTGGCAGGAGAGCCCTCGTTAGTCTGCGTGGTCCCCCTGGTTGGCAGTCCAGACTCTGGTGGGGACGTCCCTCTGCATCCTGTCGCAGAGGACTCTGTGGGTGGTTTGTGTCTTTTCTTCACATCCCTAATGACCTTGAGCTTCCTGCGTGCCCATCTGTTTCCACATTCTCCAGTAAGCCCCTGGTGTGTTCCCTAATGACCTTGAGCTTCCTGCGTGCGCATCTGTTTCCACATTCTCCAGTAAGCCCCTGGTGTGTTTCAAGATGCATTTCTTAAATATTTATGAAGAGTGATGCCGTTTCCTTGGCATTCAGCAGTGGGGGTGGGGGTTCTTCCCGTGGGGGTGGTATTGGAGACCCTGAAGGTGTGTGTGGACGCCCCCTCACCTTTAGCTATGCGAGCATCTTGTAGGATCCTGGGGCTGTGGTTGCAGAGCCCACCTTCCCCAGGCTAGCTGTAGTGTGGGGGCTTCGGCTGAATCAGATACCACGTGGGTTCAGTCATCTGTGTGTGTGTGTGTGTGTGTATGTATTCACTTTTGTGTGGGTTACCTAAAATATTTAGTGCTGTAAACGCTTGAAGATGTCGGGATTCATCTTCTTTTTCCAAGTTTTTTCCTTTTTTTTTTTTTTTAAACTGAATTACTCAGCAGAAATGCTCATTTCCTTCTCCCTCCGCCTGAGGGTAGGAGGATGGGGAGAGTAACAGCAGCCACCCAGCGCCGTCGACCTGGCGCCATCGACCCAGTGCATGCCTGGGCTTGGGGCGCCATGAGCACTGTCTCGTTCCCTGTTAGTCTCTGATGGTTGACCCTGCTGTCCTGATTTTGTAGGTGGGGAAATAAGGCCAGAAAGGTTAAGGAACAGACCCAAGGTCACCCAGCTAATGAGGGTGACACACCAAATCCCACTGTGCTCCGTCCTCCATGCCAGTGGGGTGTGCAGGGCAACTCCCCTGTGGACCCTGAGCTGGGCAGTGGCCCCAGACCTGAGAGGGCAGACGGGAGCACAGCCAGTGCTGAGGCCGCTCACGCTTCCCTGTCCAGACGGTGAGCGTTCCCAGAACAAGGCCACGGGCCACTGCCTTTCACGTGAGTGACCATGTAACTCCTGGCCCAGGTGGGGCCCTTCTGTGAGTGACAGCAGACACAGTGATTGGCCAGGATGCTGGGTGGCGGCCATCACCCAGGACCCCCAAGCCTCGAGGACACATATTCCCTCCTTATCCACTCGTTATAAACGCACCCTGAGGCCCAGATCCTGTTTGTATTTCTCTGTTCCCGGCTGTTCTTTCCAGAAAACACTCCTCAGGTCTCCCTTGCCTTCCACTGGGGCTCATGGCCTCTTGTCAGCACACCCACAATAGTTTGCGACACCAGCCTCCCGCCTCTCTCCTCTGGCCCATTCTTTATTTTTTTCTTTTTCTTTTTTACTTTTTGAGATGGAGTCTTGCTGTGTCACCCAGGCTGGAGTGCAGTGGCACGATCTCGGCTCACTGCAACCTCCACCCCACCAGGTTCAAGTGATTCTCCTGCCTCAGCCTCCTAAGTAGCTGGTATTACAGGCACCTGCCACCATGCCCGGCTAATTTTTGTATTTTTAGTGGAGATGGGGTTTCACTATCTTGGCCAGGCTGGTCTTGAATTCCTGACCTCGTGATCCACCTGCCTCGGCCTCCCAAAGTGCTGTGATTACAGGTGTGAGCCACCACGCCCGGCTTGGCCCATTCTTTAAATAATTGTGGTAAAATATGCAAAATATAAAACTTACCGCTTTAAGGTAAGTGCCATATTAAATTCAGTGCCATTTAATACATTCACCATGTTGTCCAACCACCATCACTAAGCTAGTTCCAGCACATTTTTATCACCCCAAAAGGAGACCCCATTCCCATTAAGCAGTCACTCCCATGCCCCCCCCCACAGCCCCTGGTTAGCCACAAATCTGTTTTGTGTCCCTGTGACTTACCTATTCTAGACATGTCATAGAAATAGAATCTTGTAAGATGTGATGTGACCATCTATCTGGCCTCTTTCACTTAGCATGCTATTTCAAAGCTCAGCTACGTTGTAGCACTTACAACTGCTTCATTCCTTTTCATGGCTGAGTAATATTCCATTGTACCGATAGACCACATTTTGTTTATTGATTCATTGGTTGATAGACATTTGGGTTGTTTCCACATTTGGGCTGTTGTGGGTAGCGCTGCTGTGAACATTCATTTACAGGTTTTTGTTTGAATACCTGTTGAATTTTTGGGGGTATATGCCCCGGAGTAGAATTGCTGGGCTGTGTGGTAATTTGATATTTAACGTATTGTGGAGTTACCAAACTTCTCCACAGAGCTGTACCATTTTACATTGCCATTAGCAATGCACAATGGTTTCAATTTCTCCACATCCTCACCAGCACTTGTTTGTTTTTATTTTATTTTATTATAGCCATCCTAGTGGATATGAAGTAGTATCTCATTATGGTTTTGATTTGTATTTTCCTAATGGCTAATGATGTCCTGCATCTTTTCATGTACTTGTTGGCCATTTGTATCTCTTCTTCAGAGAGATGTCTACTCAAGTCCTTTCTCATTTTTTAATCAGTTTGTTTGTGTTTTTATTGTTGTTGTTTTTGAGACAGGGTCTCACTCTGTCGCCGAGGCTGGAGTGCAGTGGTGGGATCTCAGCTCACTGCAGCCTCGACCTCCTGGGCTCAAGTGATCCTCCCACCTCAGCCCCTGGAGTAGCTGGGACTACAGGCATTCACCACCACACCCAGCTAATTTTCATATTTTTTGTAGAGATGGGGTTTCACTATGTTGCCCAGGCTGGTCTCAAACTCCTGGACTCAAGCATTCCTCCTGCCTTGGGCTCCCAAAGTGCTGGGATTACAGGTGTGAGCCACCTCACCCAGCCGTGTTTTTGTTGTTGAGTTGTAAGAGTTCCTTATATATTTTGGATATATATAAGCCCTTGTAAGATATGCTTATATATATATAAGCCCTTGTAAGATATGTGATTTGTAAATATTTTCTACCATTCTATAGGTTCTTTTTTCACTTTCTTGCTAGTTTCTTTGATAAACAAAATCTTACATTTTTGGTGAAGTATCATTTATTTTTTCTTCTATTGCTTGTATTTTTGGTGTCATAGCTATCTAAGATAGCGGTCCCCAACCTTTTTGGCACCAGGGACTGGTTTTGTGGAAGACAGTTTTTGTACTGACCAGGGAGCAGGGGATGGTTTTGGGATGAAACTAGATCATCAGGCATTAGATCCTCATAAGGAGAACACAACCTAGATTCTCATAAGGAGAACACAACTTGCATGCACAGTTCACAATAGGGTTCATGCTCCTATGAGAATCTAATGCTGCCACTGATCTGACAGGAGACAGAGCTCAGGCAATAATGCTTGCTCACCTGCCACTCATCTCCTGCTGTGCAGACCAGTTCCTAACAGGCCATGGACTGGTACTGGTCTGCAGCCCAGGGGTTCGGGACCCCTGATCTAAGACACCATTGCCAAATCACATGAAGATTTTTCCCTTGTGTTTTCTTCTAAGAGTTTTATGGCTTAGCTTTTATATTTAGATATTTGACTCAATTGAGTTAGTTTTTATATATGGTATGAGGTAAGGGTCACATTCTTTTGCATGTGGTCCTAACAGCATTGTTGAAGAGACTGTTCTTTCCTTATTGAATGAATGGTCTTGGCCCCCTTATTGAAAATCAGTTGACCATGGACTCATAGTTTTGTTTCTGGACTCTCAATTGTATTACGTGGATTTATATATCTCGTCTTATGCTAATACCACTCCGTTTTGATTATCGTAGCTTTGTAGTAAGTTTTAAAATTGAGAACTCCTCCAATTTGTTCTTTGTTTTCAAGACTGGTTTTGAAAACAGTTTTGGCTCTTTAGGGTCCCTTGTAATTTCCATTTTCGGCAAACAAACAAAAAGACCTTTGGGTTGCTGACAGAGATGGTTTTGAATCTGTAGATCAGTTTGGAAAGTGTTCCCATCCTAACAATATTATGTTTTTCAATCTGTGAACACAGGGTATCTTTCCTTTTATTTATATCCTCTTTAAGTTCCTTCAAAAATTTTTTATAGTTTTCAGTGTACAAATTCCTTCACTTTTTAATGTAGGCAGTAAACCACAGAGGTATTAGTAGTACTTGTGACTTTGTCACCAATGCATACCAGGTGTTTTTATATCACATTGCAGCTGTGGGACAGTGTGGTCTTGGGACAGTGTTTATTGCTCATGGTTCCTTTGAAGCCACAGTATCAGATCTTGTTCAGTGTGTTAATAAATGCATATCTATCACAAATTTATATTTTTGTAATATTTCGATACCAGTATTTCAATATAATCAGTTTTCCTTGCAAGTCTATGTATTGTGTTTTACTCATTTAAAACATCATTCTAAGGATTTGTGGTTTCACACAGCTGCCAAAGAGGTCAATGACACAAACCTGGTGGAGCCCTGCACCCGCTGCTCCAGTGCACTATCCCTTAACACCCACAGCAGTGGGGGCTGGGCCACCTTGGGCCACCGTGGGATGCACAGCAATGAGTACAAATCCCTGCCCAGCAGCTATAATCCCATTGCCCCTGCTTTAGAGCTTTTACTGCCAGCTGCACAGAAGTGATGTAAATTTCGGGATAATGTAGACCCTGCTGTAATACACACATGCATGCATATCAGTGGTAGGCATCTGTCCTTCAGATGACTGCTTGTGCTGTGAGAAATGCTAGTTTGTCACAAAGTGGCAGTTGCTTCCTGGGGTCCTGAAACACCCGGGACCTGTCTGCTTCCAGTGTCTTGGTGTGGCAGACAGGCATCTTTGTCGCCGGGCTCGTGTTCCCTCTCCTGCAGGGTGTGCGATGCTGCAGCCACACTGGTCGTAGACACTGGGTTTTTTGATGCTTCAGGCCCGTGGCACAAACCCTTTCTTCCTGCTGGACTCCCATTTCCCTCCTCCCTGGTAAGCTCCTCCTCCTTTGGGACATGGACACCTCCTCCCAGAAGCCTTCCCTAGCAAAGTTATCGGGGCTGGCTCTTTAGCAGTTCTCGCCCTGTGTTGGGAAGAGTTAACACCAGGGTGACGCTGTGGGACCGTACAGCCCTGCAGGGCTGCTCAACCACGTCAAAGCACCTGAGAATGTCCCCTGGCTGCCTGGGGATTCCAGTAAGAAGGAAGAAGGCAGGGCCTTTTGGGACTGAGGTGCTTTGGCCATCATGGACCCCTTCCTTCATTAAAAAAAGAGAAAATTTTGACTGCTTTGATCTAAAGATGAATATAGTCCAGGCTGGGTTCCTCAATATAGATTCACCAGTGTCAGTATGATGATGATGATTTTTTGAGACAGGGCCTCGCTTTGTCACCCAGGCTGGTGTGTAGTGGCACCATCTCGGCTCACTTCAGCCTCAAACTCCCAGGCTGAAGCGATCCTCCCAAATCAGCCTCCTGAGCAGCTGGGACCACAGATGCTTACCCCCATGCCCAGCTAATTTTTTTTTTTTTTTTTTTTTGGCAGAAATGAGTTATCCCTATGTTGCCCAGGCTGGTCTCGAACTCCTGGGCTCAAGTGATCCTCTCGCTTCGGCCTCCCAAAGTGCTGGGATTACAGCATGAGCCACAGCACCCAGCCTGGTTTCTTATTTTTTCCTTTGATTTTTTTTTTTTTCGAGATGGGGTTTTGCTGTGTAGCCCAGGTTGGAGTGCAGTCCATGATCTTGGCTCACTATAACTTCTATCTCCCGGGTTCGAATGATTCTTCTGCCTCAGCCCTCCGAGTAGCTGGGATTATAGACACGCAGCACCACGCCTGGTTATTTTTTTTTTTTTTTTTTTTTTTTTTTTTTTTTTGAGACGGAGTCTTGCTCTGTCGCCCAGGCTGGAGTGCAGTGGCGGGATCTCGGCTCACTGCAAGCTCCGCCTTCCGGGTTCACGCCATTCTCCTGCCTCAGCCTCCCAAGTAGCTGGGACTACAGGCGTCCGCCACTACACCCGGCTAATTTTTGTATTTTTAGTAGAGACGGGGTTTCACCGTTTTTTAGCCAGGATGGTCTCGATCTCCTGACCTCGTGATCCGCCCGCCTCGGCCTCCCAAAGGGCTGGAATGACAGGCCTGAGCCATGGTGCCCGGCCTTTCTCCTTTGATTTTGAAACAAAAACTTGAACAGGTTCATGGGTTCCTGCAGGCACGGTGGGCCCGGGTGTGGGCCCCGCACTTCCTGTGCCTGGTGGAAGAAAGGCCCGGCTTCTAAGGAAATGCGCTTCTCCCAACCTAGAGACTGCCTGGCCCACCTGGAGAAGCCAGGCATGGGAATCAGACACTGTCTATCAACCCACGGGGCGTGGATGGAAGAGCTGCCCTGGATCTGCTTCCTTCCCAGGCGAGATCATTTGCTTAATAAAACCAAGACAGCCAGCACCTCCTGCAAACTAAATCCACGTTCTGTTCGATGCGTAGACGTTATTCTGGGTCGGCTCCAGGTGTCCAAGAGTTGTTCAGTGTGTGTTCATTAGGAGATGGAGTATCTGCTGGTTGTACTCACTCACTCACTCACTCACTCGCTGAACGTGCAGGAGGCATCTTCTCTGTGCCAGATGTGTGAATCACAGCCCTGCCCTCGGGGGCTCCATCTGTGGGAAGATGAACTGAAAGGAGAGGTGAGTGTAACAAATTACCACCCATGCCATGGCTGAAGACGGCGCACGGGCATTCTCCCCAGGCCTGAAAGTCAGAAGTCCTAAGTCAGTTTCATTGCACCAAAATCAAGGGGTGTGCCGGGCCCTGCTCTGTCCGGAGGCTCTTAGGCAGACACTGTTTCCCTGCCGCTTCTGTCTTCTGGAATCACATGGGGCTCATGGTCCCGTCCTCCGCCGTCATATCCTGTAGCGCAATGTCTTCAAGCTTCTCTCTGCTCTTTTCTCTGTCTTCAAGTCGCCGCCTCCTCAGCAGGGGCACCTCCCTCTGCTCCCCTGCTAGGAGGACACCTGTGATTACCTTTAGAGCCCACCTAATCATCCAGGATAATCTCCTCTTCTCAAGGTCCTTGACTTGATTGAATCAGCAAAGTCCCTTACCATATACATTTCCGGGAGTAGGACCTGGGTGTCTTTAGGGCCGTTATTCAGCCAACGACAGCCAGTTTGCCTGGGCCCAGTCATGTACATCTGAGCCTCAGTTTCCCCATTTGTAAAACACAGTCAGTAATACTGCCTTGCAGGTGTTGTGTTAGGAGTACGCAGACTTTAAATGCTGACCAGAGTGCAGAAGGCGGCGGACGTCTCCAGAGCTCCTCCTAATGGTAGTGTTTTGGTGTGAGAGTATAAAGTCTGGTGGGGGGTGTAGCTCGAGAGCCCCCAGGAATTCTGCCCAGATGTGGAATCCTTTGTTTATCCCCTTGCTTCCAGCTTAGGCTACATGCGGGAGGCATCTGGAGAGTTTTAAACTTGCTATGCCGCTATCGCTACTTGGAGTGGAGTCCAGATGATGGGGACATTAGAGCCTCCCATGATTCTCATTGGCAGCCACAGTTGAGTCCATTTTGTACCCAGGCTGGAGTCACTGCGAATGGCCGCCACCTCTCTTTTTGCATAGCCAACACCGGCCTCTTAGGATCACCTGGGTCCTGTTGGCCGACTTGGAGGTGCTGCCTTTTCAATGACAAGGCGTTTGTTATGTGTAAAGAAAGGCGTTGAATTGGACGGTCTCCAGCTTCTGCCCAGCATGGAGCCTGCAACATTGTGTGGGAGTGGGGCTCCCATAGGGTAACAATGGCTCACCCAGCTCACCGTGCCCACTGTTTGCCAGCCATGGGGTCTCCTGCACACCCCATCATAGACGCAGGTGCTGGGCCGGCATCCCCCTTTCACAGGAAACCAGGCGTTGGGGCGAATGCCCTTTGCAGGGTCACTGCGTGTGGCCGAGCAGGCCAGGAACCCGGGCTTATCTCACTTTTAGTCCCTGGCATGAATGGCTAGTTCGTCCATCAAGTATTTTCAAATTGGTTGAACGATGGAGTTGCTGGTGGTCGTGGTTCTCCAAGATGCTTCCGATCATGGCATGTTGTTGTAGAGGAAGCTTAAAAGATACTGCAAGGTCCTGGAGGAAACGCCGATGTCTGGCTCAGTAACATCATCCAATGTTCCAGAATTCTTCTAAGTATCTCATGGGGAGGGGGCAGGGACTTAGGAAAGTCTCCAAACTGTGACACTTTTATTTCACTTTAATTAGGAAAAAAGAGATGCTGGGCTCCTTGGTGCCTGCATTCACGATTGGTGTCCCGATAGAGGCTGGGATGTTCCAGAGCCTTCCTGGGGCAGGGGGCCTGGCCAGGGCTTTGAAGGGCAAGGAGAGAGGGCAGGGCAGCCTGGCATGGTGCGGAAGGAACGGGGTAATGGCAGAGAGAACAAGTATGGGGGAGGGGAGCCAGTCCTGACCCCTGTGAAGTCACTCTGCTGTTAGGGGCCCTATAACAAAGTACCACAAACTGGGGGGACTCAGAGCAACAGAAATTTACTCCCCCACTACTGGAGGCCAGAAGTCTGAAATCAAGGCTTCGGCAGAACTGTGCTCCCTTGGAAACCTGCAGGGGAGACTCTGTCCTTGCCCCTCCTAGTTCCTGGAGGTTGCCACCATCCTTGGCTTTGCTGTGTAGACACAGTGCTGTAATCTTCCGTCCTCACGCGGCCCTCTCCCTATATGCGTGTCTGTCTACATCCAAATTTCCCCTCTTTATAAGGACACACCAGTTTGGTTGGATTAGGGCCCACCCTGATGGGCTCATTTGCAAAGATCCTATTTTCAAATCAGGTCCCCTTCACAGATCCTGGGGGCTGGACTTCAGCATCTCTTTTTGAGGGGCCCAGCGTGCTCTCAACTTGTGGTCTCTTGTCCTTCTCCTGAGATGCGTCAGGGTGTAAGGCATGGTTCCCCCACTTTGGCGATGAGATGTGGGGCCCAGAGAGGCCAGGTGACCTGTTCAAGATCACACAGGCAGCAGCTTACAGGATTCAATTCCGAGCCAGTTTCTGGAGAGGCCCGTGGCCCTCTCTCTCCTTAGGCCATGGACCCCATGCTGTGCCCTGCAGTGGCTGAGGAGACCCCAGCTCCAGAGTCTGCACAGGGCAGGGGGAAGAGAGAGCTCAGCCTGTAGGGGAGCTCTTTGCCACACCACGGGCCGCCCGCTGACTCTCCCTGGATGTATTTCTTTGCCCTTCTCCCCTTGACTGTTCCAGGGACTCTCGCATTCTCGTTGCACGGTTCGGCTGGCTCCTCAGCCGTTGGGCCTGGGATCCTGGAGGAAAGGCTTGGCCAGGTTTCGGAGGACACCCCCGAGGAGGTGGTTCCCCCACAGCCCTGCAGGAGAGAATGGGGGTTCTTTTTAAATCTAGACAGGTGGGGTACCAGGAGCCAAACTGATGTGGCTTCCCAACTGGAGAAACAGGTTTAATGATGCCCCATCTCTTCAAGGACTTGAAACCCTCTTCTTTTTTTGAGACGGAGTCTCACTCTGTTGCCCAGGCTGGAGTGCAGTGGCGCGATCTTGGCTCACTGCAACCTCCACCTCCTGGGTTCAAGCGATTCTCCTGCCTCAGCCTCCTGAGTAGCTGGGATTACAGGCACTCACCACCACGCCCGGCTAATTTTTTATATTTTTAGTAGAGACGGGGTCTCACCATGCTGGCCAGGCTGGTCTTGAACTCCTGACCTCATGATCCACCCGCCTCTGCCTCCCAAAGTGTTGGGATTACAGGCGTGAGCCACCACGTCTGCCCCTGAAACCCTCTTCTAACAGGACATCTGCACCTGTGGTGGCTTGGCTCTCTTCTCAGAATAGTGTTTTCAGATGCACAGAATAAAATGCAAAGGGTTACGAAGGAGGCCAGTTAAATGGAACCAAGTCCTTCTGGACCACCCTGAGTGAGGCAGCCCTGCAGTGTAGACTTGGAGAAAGGCAGGTAGCTGGAGCCCGGGCAGGCTGGCCCCGGGTGAACATGCGACGGGGCAGCTGGTTAGAGGGTTGAGAGCCCGCTCTGCTGTCTGCCAGGCGCACACCCCAGGGCCAGTGAGGAGATGAGAGTGAGGATAACAGCAGCGACAGCAGACAGCTCCGTCATGCTCCCCCCCAACCCAGGTGCTGTTCTCAGTGTCCCGTGACTGTCCCTGGAAGGCGTTCCTTTCACTGCTATTCACAGGCTGGAGCCAGGTGCCAGACTCCCGGCCAGTGAGCTAGAGCCGCAGGGTCTGTGCTCCGGCCCCTGTCCAGAGCCTGTCCCAACCCCAGGCACCATCAGGGCTTGCGGCTATCATCGCCAGGCAGCCCTCCCTGGCTGGGCTCCTGCCACTGCCTCTGGCTGCCACGTGCCTCAGACGGCTGCGCCTTCTTTCTCCGGCCAGCTCTGCCTGCTTCATCACAGCTCTGCGCTCTGCTGCCCTGGCCCAGGTGCTGTGCGCTGGCCTGTGCACTGCAGCTGTGATCTGGACTAAACGGCGCCTTTCCCTGTGGGCACTGCGGCCCTGGGGAGCAGCCTGGCTCCATCCTGTCTGTGTCCCTTGTCAGGCACAGGCTCCATATGCACTGTAGGCCATCCCAGTGGACTGGAGTTTCTCTGGCCCTTAGAGAGGGTGATGGCCCTGAGAAGGCAACCTACGGTCGGGGTTGGGGGAGTGGAGGCGGGAGACGTGACTGAGGAACTGGCAGGACCTGGGGACCAGGAGGATGGGCCTGCTCAGAGGGGATGTGAATCTGCCTGCCAGGGGCCTGAGGGGTCCCTCCCTAGGTGAAGGGACACAGAGGGGACAGGTCTCATTGGAGTTGTAGTGGGTCTGAGCTGGGGAGATGGGAGGGCGGGCGGTGGGATGTAGCAGGTAGCCAGGCGGAGTGCGAGAGCAGCCTGGGCTGGGGTCTCAGGGTCTTGGTGCTGCCCTTGTCCTGCCCCGGGCACTGTGCTGAGAGCCCCTGGGACCAATGAATCTGGCAGCACAATGGACAGGAATCTGACTGCAGAGAGGCCACGTCCCTCAGCTCTGAGCCACCCCATTCAGCTGGTCCTGTGGCCAGGGCTCCCTGCAGTCAGGATGCAGGCTCGGGGACAATTGTGAGGCCTGGAGATGAAGACCTCCGGGAAGTGGAGGCAGGGGATGAGCTGCAGTGACTAGTGTGGCTCTCCAGGCATCTGCAGCCTTGCAGAGACGGGGACGTGGTGGAGGTGTCGTCCCATGTCATAGGGAAGGAGTCTGTGGCTCAGAGAGGTTAAGGGGCTTCCAAGGTGGTGAGGCTGGTAAGCTGCGAAGGTGCAGAGCTGCAGGCAGAATCTGCACCCTGGGCCCTGGTGCTGGGGCCTGAGCGGCTTGCAGGGGGTGCATAGGGGCCCCCAAAGAGAAGGAGGGTTAGCCTCAGCATTCACGGCAGGGTGGCCGCCCGTCTCCCAGGTGACCATGCTGCACGGCTGATAGGACACTTTCTCACGTACATCTCCTGCTTCCCCAGGACCAGTGCCTGGGACGCCCTTGGTCTCCTATCACAGATGGGAACTGGGGACTGCATGGTGTTAGGGGACTCCAAGCCTAGAGTTCCTGAAGCGGGCAGGGCTCAGGAGGGCACTCTGCTGGAGGGTCTACCCAGTTGAGCTTCGGGACTGCAGCCTTAGGAAGCAGCAGAGCTCCCCAGTTCTTTAACCTTGTTGGCTGTAGGGTCTGTATGTGGCCAGGGGAGAGTCCCAGCCCCTCGCATCCTCCAGGCTGCTGGGAGGGGCGGTGGGGAGCGAGCAGCTCTGTGCATGTTCATACGATTACGGAGGCCCTGCCACGTGCTGGCACCTGGCATCCTCCCACCCGGCCAGGGAGCCCCATCGCTCTCTCTGCCTCTCTGGGCAGGCGGAGGGCCATCTGCACGCTGTTTTAGCTTTTTATTGATTGATTTATTTTGAGGTAGAGTCTCGCTCTGTCACCCAGGCTGGAGTTCAGTGGCACTATCTCAGCTCACTGCAGCCTCTGCCTCCTGGGTTCAAGCGATTCTCCTGCCTCAGCTTTCCTGAGTAGCTGGGATTACAGGTGCGCACCAACATGCCCGGCTAATTTTTATTTTTAGTAGAGATGGGGTTTCGCCCTGTTGGCCAAGCTGGTGTCGAATTCCTGACCTCAGGTGATCCACCCACCTCGGCATCCCAAAGTGCTGGGATTACAGGTGTGAGTCACCACGCCCAGCCCGTTTTGGCTTTGAGACATACTCTCGTCCCTGCCAGGCTCCCTGGCAGCCGGGTGAGTGCCTTCAAGGTCCAGGTCCAGTGTCATCTAGTGACCCATGCCCCGTGCCCTCCAGCCGGGGCAGGCTGTCCCCCTCCAAGCCAGCTGTCTTGCAGCTGTCGTGAGTTCATCTGTAAACACCAGCTGAACACCTACTGTGTGCTGGGGCTGTCTAGTGCTCAGCATACCATGGTGAAGAAAACCGAATCCCTGTCCCTGAGGACACTTAATTAACCACATGGGAAACCGCCGAGGGCGAAGGCCAATGGGGCTGCAGAGGTTCTGTCTTTCCTGGTCCCACGCAAAAGCAGGCTGGTGTCCATGCGACACTGCGTCCCAGCACTGAGCCCAGGGCTCAGGACACATTTGCTGAGCGGATGCTTGGCTGGTAGCTGATGCACCACCGCCGTGATGGGGCAGTGGGCAGCCCAACCCCACTTCTCACACATGTGTCTTAGTGGCCCGAGAGCTGCCTGGGCAACAGTGGGGCTTCTTCATATCTGTACCCTGAGCTCTCTATGCAGGACCTTGGGTACTAAAAATAACTAATTTAAAATGAATGTCACTTATGAATATGGTGAAAAATTAAAATGTTACCAAAAAATTGCCCAGTGAACAGTGATGCTTCTAACCTCTTGTGCCTAGCTGCCCTTACCAGGTTCTTCCAGAGATAGTCTCTGCACATGCTGTGTGGGGGGGGGCCTTCGTGTGCGGGTGTGTGTGTGTCTGTCCTGCTGCCTTCCGGCCACCCCTGACAGTCCCACCTCTGCCCACAGGTCTCCGTGTTGGTCCTCTTCGCCCTGGCCTTCCTCACCTGCGTCGTCTTCCTGGTTGTCTACAAGGTGTACAAGTATGACCGCGCCTGCCCCGATGGGTTCGTCCTCAAGGTAAAACTCCGTTTTCCCCCAGAGGCCCTGGGACGCCTTTGCACCCCATGTTCTCTCCCTTGAACTCAAGGCTGCTCCTGCCGTCTCCCCCAGCTGGCCCACGGACAGGCCTTAGAGCAGCAGGGGGCCAGTGTCAGGAGTGTCCCTGTGGAAGGCCCACCTGGAGAGCAGGGCAGGTAGGCAGGGGGCACATGAGACCCACAGGAAGGAAACTCCCGGACTTGGCCCCTGGGAGCTGACCTCAGCAGTCCGGGGAAGGGCCCTCCTCGAAAGTGGGCCCAGCCAGGGTCTGCCGTGGGAAATGCCCAGGATGATACCTACCGGATCCCAGCGGATTGCTCTGGGGGAGGGAGGGAGAGAGACGGGACCATGTCCGCCACATGAAAGAGGAGAGGATGTACTGGGGGAAGCCAAGTCCCACAGAGAGGAAGGCCTTGCCCAAGGCCACGCAGGGAAAGGGGAGCAGGGCTGGGGGGCACACCCACCCTCCTGACCTGTGTCCCTCTCCTGCCTGTCCCACCGCAGGAGCCACACTGGTGCTGGGCTCTCTACAGGCATGGAAATGCTCGCTTTGCATATATAATGCTCATTCCCAAAAGCCCACAAGTGACATGCAAGGCAA
The DNA here is from genome assembly GCF_000001405.40 of Homo sapiens. Lineage (NCBI taxonomy): Eukaryota > Metazoa > Chordata > Mammalia > Primates > Hominidae > Homo > Homo sapiens. The sequence goes on from NC_000004.12 coordinate 4,410,306, forward strand.
CGGGATTAAAGGGAGGGGAGATAAGGGTGGAAAGAGAAGACGGAGCCAGGGGAGGCCTGGCCACGCATCACTTAGTGACGGGAATACGTCCTGAGAAACGCGTTGTTAGGCGACTCCATCATTGTGCCAGCCTCACAGAGTGTCCTGTACACCCACGCGGCCCAGCCTGCTACACACCCGGGCTGGAGGGTATGGCCGACTGCTCCTAGGCCACAAACCTGGACAGCATGTTGCTATACTGAACAATGTAGGCAGTTGTCACACGATGGTAAGTATTTGTGTATCTAAACATAGAAGAGGTCCAGTAAAAACACGTTATAACGCATGGTCCACCTGAATAGGGCATTTCCATCATGAATGCAGCTTGCAGGACCGGAAGCTGGTCTGGGTGGGTGAGTGAGGGAGTGGGTGGTGAGTGAATGCGAAGGCCGAGGCATGGCTGTGCACTCCTGTAGACGAGTGAGCGCTGGACATGTGGGCTACACTCCATTCATAACATACTCTTTCTTCAGTAATAAATTAACCTGAGCTCACTGTAACCTTTTTACTTCATAAACTTTTTGTGTGTGTGTGATGGAGTCTCACTCTGTTGCCCAGGCTGGAGCGCAATGGTGCGTTCTTGACTCACTGCAACATCTGCCTCCCGGGTTCAAGCGATTCTTCTGCCTCAGTCTCCTGAGTAGCTGGGATTATAGGTGTGCGCCACCACCCGGCTAATTTTTGTATTTTTAGTAGAGACAGGGTTTCACCATGTTGGCTAGGCCGGTCTCGAACTCCTGACCTCAGGTGATCCACCCACCTCGGCCTCCCAAAGTGCTGAGATTACAGGCGTGAGCCACCACACTCAGCCAATAAACTTTTAAAATGTAAGTTTTTGACTCTTTTGTAATAACACTTAGCTTAAAGCTCAAACATCTTGCACAACTGTATATTATTTTTCTACATGTGCTTTTTCTATTAAAAAATTTTTTAATTCTTTTTTTACTTCCAACACATTTTTGTTAAAGCTAAGGACACAGACACACACATTAGCTAGGCCTGCACAGGGTCAGGATCCACAGTATCACCGCCTTCTGCCTCCACACCCTGTCCCACTGGAAGGTCTTCAGGAGCAGTGACAGGCACAGGGCTGTCATCTCTTAGGATAACAATGCCAGGCCAGGTGCAGTGGCTCACGCCTGTAATCCCAGCACTTTGGGAGGCCTAGGTGGGTGGATCACCTGAGGTCAGGAGTTCAAGACCAGTCTGGCCAACATGGTGAAACACCGTCTCTACTAAAAATACAAAAATTAGCCAGGCATGGTGGCGGGTGCCTGTAATCCCAGCTACTCAGGAGGCTGAGGCAGGAGAATCGCTTGAACCCAGAAGGCGGAGGTTGCAGTGAGCTGAGATCATGCCACTGCACTCCAGCCTGGGCAACAGAGGGAGACTCCGTCTAAAAACAAAACAAAACAAAACAAAACAAAACAAAACAAAACAAAACAAAACATTGCCTTCTTCCAGAATCTCTCTTGGAGGAGCTCCCTGAAGCTCTTTTAGAGTTAACTTTTTTTTTTTAATAACTAGGCATGCACTCTAAAATACTGATTAAAAAGTATAGTACGGTAACATAAACAAGTAACATACGCGTTTATTGTCACTGTCAAGTATTATGTTCTGTATGTAATTGTATGTGCAAGACGTTTATACAGCTGACAGTGCAGGGGGTGTGTGTATACCAGCACCTCCGCAAAGTGAGGAGTGTGTTGTGTTCCGTCTACACGGTGGCTGCGAGGTCACCAGGCGACAGGAGGTTTCAGCTCCGTGACAGTCTTATGGGGCCACCATGGCATGTGGTCCATCGTTGACCCAAATGCTGTTATGCCGCGTGTGGCTGTAAAACGCACTTGCTGGTTCCCCACAGGGAGGAGGGGGTGGCTAAAACTGCCTTCCCTATCCTGCAAGCCCAAGTCCCGCTGGATACCTGGCCTGGGTGGGAGATGACCCAGGAGATGAAGCCCCAGTCCTGTGTCCGGCTGCAGATGAGACTGGCGGCCACAATGGAAGGGGCCTGGCACCTTTTGTTTAAAAGGCGCTCCAGGTGATTCCCATCCACAGCCAGCCTTGGGAATTGAGAGTCCCCTGATAAGTTGTTCTGGAGTGATGTCCTGTGGGACTTTGGCATTTTCCACTAGCATCTAATGAGGGGGTGTCCTTTCCGGAGAAGGCACCTAGGAAGGCCAGGGAGCTGCTGGTCTGTATCCAGCTGCCCTTGGCCAAAGCTGGAGAAAGGAGAGGCGTGAGCTCATGAAGTCCCCTTGACCTCCTCCCTCCATATTTGTGCGTGTGTTTGTCACACACCAACGCTAGGCAGCTTGTGTGGGGCTTTTACACCTGTTGCTCACGGAATCCATACACTCGGTAGCTGTGGGCTCCCGTTATCCATACACTCAGTAGCTGGCTCTGAACTTCCCAGAGTCAGTGTGAGATGCTCATCTCCAGGGCTTGGCACTGCTGAGATTAAAATAAAGCAGGAGAAGCCAACTGTTTCTAGCACTGAGCACGTGCACAGGGAAGCCTGGCTTGGCAGCTGTCACTGGGTAGCTTGGGTTTGGGTTTCATTTAGGTTTTGTTTTTTGCTGATATGAGGACGCAGAGAGTCCTTACGCGATTAGCAGGAAAGGCTGGAATTCACGTTGTCCAGCCCAAGTCCCTTTTTCTCCTTGCACATCATGCTGTCCTTCAGGCTCCCGACATTCAGCTCTTCCTCCCTTGGGCAGGCATGTACATGGCACCCACCCCGTGCCAGCAGCTCTTGCTATTGTTCTAGGCGCTGGAACACAGCCGAGAGCCAGTCAGGTACAGCCCCCTGCCTTCACGAGGCTCTTACATTCTCAAATGAACGGTGAGGAAGTCAGTCGTACACTGAATGTGAAGGCTATAGACAGACAGGAAAGAGGGCCCAGGGGTTGGGCATGGGCATGTGGGCGGTAGTTTCTAGAAGGATGGTCCACATTGGAGGAGCGGGTCTCCAGGAGGTGAGCCAGGGAGCTTGCGGGTCTTGGGGGAGTGTGCCCAGCCAAGGAAAGCCCCCACCCTTTCACTCATGTTTTATTCAGCAAGCCCCGTCCACGCCCTAGGCTGGGGCTGGGAGAGTTTGAGTCTGTTTTGGAGGCTGAGAGGACACCAGGGCTTTACAACAAGCAGAAGCGGAGGGTGCGGGCTTCAGGGAACGAGGGCAGTGCTGGCCCTGACCCAGTGGGAAGGGGTTTGTGATGGTAGAGGAGCACAGAGGGAGCAGCGGGCAGTGGGGACGTGCTGGTGGGGGTGTGCTGGTGGGGGGCTAGCCACAGGCACAGGGAGGCGGCAGAGGATGAACCAGCTTACGGCCAGAGCGGGTGCATCCTGAGTGCCAGGCACAGGCCCCTGGAGGAGGGGGAAGTGATAGGGTGACCTCTTGGGTCACCTGGGGAGGCTGGAGATTGGAAGGGAGAGACGGGGCAGTGAGATGACCAAGGAGACTGCTGCAGTGGCTGAGGGAAGAGAAGACTGGGGCGCTGGGGATGGAGGGGAGACTGCAGACTGGAGAACTGATTTAATCTGGGAGGCAGAGGGGTAAAAGGAAAGGGCCTGGTGCAGAGCTAGTTACTGAGGGAGGCCGATGTCATGGAGAGGGAGCACGGGCAGGCCCAGGAGCTGGCCCTGAGCCGGAGAGAGGACAGCAGAGGACAGCTTCCTGGGGGCCGGAAGTCCCCACCGAAACTGGCTACTTACAAATAACTGAGGCCAGTGGCTTCACCAGCTGCCCTGGAGCTTCCTTCCTGGCTCATCCTCTCTGAGCCTGGAGCAGGTTCCCCACAGGGAGGAGGGGGTGGCTAAAACTGCCTTCCCTATCCTGCAAGCCCAAGTCCCGCTGGATACCTGGCCTGGGTGGGAGATGACCCAGGAGATGAAGCCCCAGTCCTGTGTCCGGCTGCAGATGAGACTGGCGGCCACAATGGAAGGGGCCTGGCACCTTTTGTTTAAAAGGCGCTCCAGGTGATTCCCATCCACAGCCAGCCTTGGGAATTGAGAGTCCCCTGATAAGTTGTTCTGGAGTGATGTCCTGTGGGACTTTGGCATTTTCCACTAGCATCTAATGAGGGGGTGTCCTTTCCGGAGAAGGCACCTAGGAAGGCCAGGGAGCTGCTGGTCTGTATCCAGCTGCCCTTGGCCGAAGCTGGAGAAAGGAGAGGCATGAGCTCATGAAGTCCCCTTGACCTCTTCCCTCCATATTTGTGCGTGTGTTTGTCACACACCAACGCTAGGCAGCTTGTGTGGGACTTTTACACCTGTTGCTCACAGAATGCATCCAGAAGCCCTTTGAGGTGGATGCTGTTATATCCCCATTTTACCAGTGGTTAGAGGGTGTACAGAGGCTCTTCGTGGAGCCCAAGGTCACGCCCTTCAGTTCACTTGGTACAGTCAGCATGTACTAAGTACCTCCTACTATGTGCACACTGGACTCGACACCTTGAGGGCAGGGACCTCAGAGCCCCAGGCAGTGGGGAGGGGACAGGCTTTTTCTGGACAGCCACTCCCAGTGGCCCCAAGCTGAGGCATATCGTGAGGAGGGTGAAAAAGGCAGACGTGGCCCGAGAGGACACTAGGTTTCTACCTCTGCCTTTAAAAAAAAACAACAACAACATGAAATTACTACATGTTTTATAAAAAAGTTTTAAACATAATGGGGAAAGTGCCCCAAATCCCACATTTTTATACTGGCTTTTCCCTTTATATTGGCCATTCTTTTTTTTCATGTAGACAGGTTACACGTTCTTGCTATGTTGCCCAGGCTGGTCTCGAACTCTTGGGTTTGCTCAAGTGATCCACCCTCAGCCTCCCAAAGTGCTGGGATTATAGGCATGAGCCATCGCACCCGGACCTTAGTGGCTACTCTTTTCCAGTGCTGACTGAGTGCTGGGTGCTGGGAACACACTTACGTAGCTACCTCAGTCCTCCCGTGCCCCACAAGACAGGTCCGTCATCAGCTTCACTTCACAGGTGAGGGAATGAGGCCCAGAGAAGTTGGGGAACCTCCCCAAGCTCCTCCAAGTGCAGGCCCAGCTGAGTCACGCTCCCCTCAAGGCACACACCCCACAGGTGAGGGTGGCTCTGTATGAGATGGGTATGGGGGGCGGCAGGAGCCTCTCAGAAAGCCTTCCCTGGCCCATGTGGGCTCACGGCAAGGCCTCTGCATTCTGCTTCCGTTGGGAAGCCCTTCACCCCCTGGGGTGCTCGCCACCATGGGCACCAAGGTGCCTCCCCAGCCTTGCCTTTGGGCAGCCACGTTGTCTGGGAGGCATCTGGGGACTCCATCTGTCCTTCTCCCTGGGCGGGGCACCTGTAGGGCAGGGCCGTTTCTGAGCCATCTCGTATGCCAGCCCTGAGCGGGGCCGCCACTCCACAGGTGTTGGCCGCATCAGGTCTTGCAGGACTCTGCTGGGTGCCGAGGTGGGAGGGAAGAGGGGAACCCTTGGTCCGTTTCCCTGAGGGATGACGAGCAGCAGATGGAGAGGACAGCGTGAAGGGGCGTGGCGGTGAGGCTGGAGGGGAGTTTGTCTGGCCTGCAGAGCCTCCTTCCTGATGCACGCGCTGCTGGTCTGAATGGGCTGTTTGTTCTGTAGCGTGTCAGGTGCTTCCCGACGTCCTGGTGGGACTGAGATCAAGACGCTGTTGATAAAAGGGCTGTACTTCAGTGGTGTCTTTTGGCTTTCTTTTCTGTCCACACTGTGACCTGGGGCACATCCTGGCTTCTTTACTTGAGCCACTGTGCATTGACTTGAGTCCTCAGCAACACGGTGGTGTGACTCATTGGCCGCATTTTATAGGTGAGGGACCTGAGATTGAGAGAGAAAACACTCCGCACGTGAACTCAGCTGGTACGGTGGGCCTGGCTCCAAAGCTTCCCTTCTCCTGTAGCGCCGCCCTCCTGCCAGTGGCAGCCCCTGAACACTGGATGCGGGGCAGTGTTGGTGAGAAGCACATTCCATTTGTCATTTCTCTTTTGAAAATAGCTCTTTGTTCACAAGGGCCTTGCAGGTATAAAGTATTCTCATCTTTAGACTTCAGGGTTCAATGAGCTGGTAACAGAGAATGGATTCCCCATGGGGGCTGGGTGGCATCAGGAGCTGATCCCTGTACACCTGCCTTAAGCCCGTGGAGGTGAGCCACTCACCTCAAGGACAGGCTGCAGCCACAGCTGCCAAAACAGGGAAAACGCCCCCGGCCCTGCCTGAACCACAGGGCCTGGCCTGCAGGGAATGGGGGTGTGGATTTGCTGCCAGAATCCGCTTCCTGATAAACCTCTGTAAGACCCAAGTGCTGTCTCGCACTCCCCCAACCCACGGCCCCTCCCTACCCCCTCGCCATCTTCCCAGCCCCTAGTCATGACCACCTAGTGGCTCTGTGTGCCTCTTCTGACTCCCGCCCCAAGGCCCCTCTCTGCTCTGGTTTCCTTTGCCTTGAGTGCTGCCCCTCCCTCATCTCACCTAGCTAAGGTCTGCTGAGAACCTAGCTCAAGGGAAGCTCTTCTCACTTCCCTTCCGTCCTCATTTGAATTGGTTGTTTTGGGATATTTCATAAGTTGTTGTTTTCCAATTGATTAAAAATGACAACTAGTGCAAGATCTTCAGTGAAGTAAGGCCTGCTGTCCCATTACACTGGCACCCTTGGAGCCCAAGTGCCCATCTGCCATGGCACTCACCAGCCAGTCTATTAAGAATAATCAAGGCCAGGCTTCCCCTGTGCTGTGCTCTCTCAGGGCAAGATCCATGCCCGTTTTTGCTCATCACTGTATCTATTCCTCCAAGCTCAGGGAAGGTGCTCAGTAACTGTTGGCTGCCAACTGGAGACACACTGGCACCCCCTCTTGCACCGACGCGTGCTCTCAGTGGCCTCTTGTCTTTCAGAACACCCAGTGCATCCCAGAAGGCTTGGAGAGCTACTACGCGGAGCAAGACTCCAGTGCCCGGGAGAAATTTTACACAGTCATAAACCACTACAACCTGGCCAAGCAGAGCATCACGCGCTCCGTATCGCCCTGGATGTCAGTTCTGTCAGAAGAGAAGCTGTCCGAGCAGGAGACTGAAGCGGCTGAGAAGTCAGCTTAGCGGGATGGGCAAGTTCCTTACAATGTGTCACTTGCAAATAACAAAGGGACTTTGAGGGACATTTCATTAAATATAATTACTGATACTTTAGAGGTTACTCATTTACGGTGCAATTGCTTCTGTTTGCTAATGCTGCTTTGCAAATAAAACTTGCTGCCGACCACCCACGGGCATAAAATCAAGTGCATTTCAGCATTGCCTAAAGAGCTCTGACACCACTTTTCATGTTAAGATCTTCATTTAGCTCCTTTACTGGGATTTATTGGATGCTGTAAAAAAATAAATTTACACTGGATATGCGAAGGGTTTGGATCTCAGATAAATGCATTTTGTGGAATTGATTTTCTGAACCGACCCTGCTGTCTGCAAACCTTCCTCCATAGCCATATCTAGAGTGATCTCTCGCTGTGCTAAGAGCAAGCCTACTTCGCATTTCTTCCTCGGCCATCAGCGGGTAACAGTGCTGACTGCTGCCAAGGTGCACTGTAGTAAGTAAGTGGCATAGAGAACGAGGAAAAAGACCCCCCCACCCCTCCCTGTGCTGACTCCTGAGTCGGGGTGGGACGGCCCTGCAATGTGGCAGGCTCGGTGTGGATTGACTACTCCCTCCCCTCTGACTCTGGCATCTTGGTAAGGAGGGAGGGGCACCACCCATCTGGGTGGAGACAGCTGGGGTTTGCTCCAGTGTGTGTAGACTGGCAGAGCATGTGAGGGAGAGGGCTGGGAAGAGACGGCCCTGGGCCCGTGAGGTGCAGAACTCTCCCTGCAGGTAGTCTGTCTGCTCTGTGATGTGCTGATAGGAAAGAGCCCCCACTGGCCCTCTGGTTCACTTCTATTATGAATAAATTTGCACCAATAGCCCCATTAGTTTTTAAAGAAATGAGCTGGGTGGGAAAAGTGGAAATGTAATTTCTGGTAAGCTTGAGCTACTTTAATTTTTATTCTATGAAACTGATATCCCTTGATGTGGGAAACAGGCAGGAAAGGCTGTGGGGTGGGGGTGGGGGACTGGTGTGGCACCGTGCAAACAAAATGACAAATTTCAACTCACAATCTTTGTAAGAAAATTGTTCCAGTTTGAATCTTGATATTAAAGTTTATGTTTACAAAACTGCCAGTTAGATGAACTAAGTGTGTAAAACAAATAGAAAAGACATTCGCAGACATTTCTTCTATGTTATTGAATGTGTTGTTTCTGGTGTACGTGTCAAAAGTTTCAGTTTTTTAGATCAGAAATAAACGACAAATAGTGTGAGATGTGTTGTGAACAGGCATGGTGACCGTGGTCAGCGCCACTCTTGTTTCCTGAAATGTGCTTCTAAGACAGAAAATGTATTTTCTCATCAAGGGTGTCTGGAGACACAGACCGTGACCTTGGCGCAGCGGTGTGCATCAGAGGCGTGTGCTGAGAAGGGTGGTGTTAAGCTGTGGAAAATGACTCAAGAGCAATAAATCAGTGCCAAAGCTTCCCTGCGCATCTGAATAGACACAAGTGAAGCCCGTGTGCGCACAGTGCAGAGGCCGAGCCTGTATTTCCAGGTAGACGTGGACTTTATTGACTGTGAATTCATTTACATGTAACTTCTGACATTTCACTCTGTGCAAATAAAGAACATGAGGATACCTGTGCTGCCCAGTGGACTGTCTGTACACACACGCATTTCACCAGGCGCAGTGCAGACTGTCTCATGCCCATGTGGGCGCTGGGATGCTTCCTGTACAGATGTCTCATGCCTTCAGTTACACATAGGTGTTCCTGTTTACAGTTCCTGGAGGTCAGAAGCACAGGCACGAGAGAAGCAGGCCCGTTCTTCCGTGGCCCACTTCTTCCTTTGAACAAAGGCTCCTTGGACCCAGTGGCGGGAAACTGGCCCTCCCACACCCCCTGCCTGTTCTGGGGGCAGCAGTCTTTGGAGGAGTAATGCCAGGCAGCCCCTCACTGAGGGCCCCAGTCTCCCCTGCATTTCTTCCCTGATTGATTGATAGGAGGTGGCTGGGCTGCCACTGAATTTGTCAACTTAGACTCATTGACAACACATTAAGGGGCTGTAATTATATTTATTAGATTAACAAGGCAGATGTGAATTTTCTCTTCTATAATCCAGTAAGTCTGTGTATTCGTTGACTCAGACAGACAAGAAGCCACAAGGAAACAAAGAAGTAATCATTTGTTGAGAGACGTTATTAACTATGATCTTCCCTGAAGCTACCGGGATGGGAAAGGTCAGTGTCTTCCTTTGAACCCTGAGACAATTAGGGGCTCTTGAGGCCTGCTGTGCCCCTGCTGCCAAGGCAGCCTCAAGTTCAAGGAGCAGCTAATCACCCACTCCTGCATTCAGTCTGTCTTGCCTGATGAGGGCTACGCAGGCTGCCTCCCATTGGTGTGCACTGTTTCCTTTTTCAGCTGCTAAATGGCTGAACACCATCGGCCTGGGGTATCCCTTTTTGGGGAATACGTCTGTCTGTCTGAACTCCTTTCCCTTCAAATGGCACTGTGATAAAATCTGGTCATACCATGCTCCAGCACTGGAAGTACATGAAAGCACGCAGTCTGTGAGTGCCCATGAGGACTCTCGTGCTGGGCCCCCGTGGCCCTGGCTAGCTGTCGTACCAGTCGAGGAAGAGCAAGGAGAAGGAGCACATCACGAGGAAGAAGAGGATCCACACGCGGAAGCCAGCGTTGTTTTTAATGGCCTGGGCAGGGACGGGAGCACAGGTGTTTTTATCACACAGGATTTTGGTTTGAGCAGCCCTGAAATGCCCCCCTCTTCCCACGTGCTCTCCTGATCCTGGCTGTAACTATGGGTGTCGTTCCATCTGTGCTTACCTTGAATAGATGGCTTTTGAGATCCACCAGAAGACAAATGGGTTATATTTCCCTCTGTTTGGCCATCATTTGGGTCCTGCACAATTCTCCCTCAACACAACTCTCGGAATCACTCCCTTCTGTCCCAGGGTTAAGGGCCCCGAGCAGAGTGTGACCGCAAGCTTTGTGTTTCCCAGTAACATGATGTCCGTGGTGACCCAACCCTGAGGACTGAGCTTGGGAAACAGTCCCCTCAACAGGATGGCTGTAGTGTCCTCTGTAAGCAGGGGCCAGGCTCTGACCCCTCGGTGGGGGCCAACGAGCTACCCATGTACATCCCTGGACATGAAGAGCTGGCCTGACCCTGCCAGGAGTACCCCCACCCACCCTGGATTGCTCCTTTGGAGGCTGGTGAGCCACTGCCTCTCGAAAGCAGCTGGAGGTGGGCGACAGGTGGTGGGTCTCATGAACACACGCAGCTCCGCGGTCACACAATTTTGTGATCAGCCCCGTGAGCTCTGCCCAGCAAGGCTCCTGGGCAGCTGTGCCGGCGAGACTAACACCCGCTGCTGGGACTCAGTGCTGCGCCACGTCGCACCTGGGGAACCTAAACAGTGCCTACCTCTCTTATGTCTTCGTTGCCTTCCTTGATATTTTCAGTTGCCCCCACAACTAACTGGTGAATGCTGTCAATCTCAGCTTCCTGTGGAAGAAAAGATAAATACAAGTTGAGTATCCTTTATCCAAAAACCTGAAACCCAAAATGCTCCAACGAGCATTTCCTTTGAGTGTCATGTCAGCGCTCAGAAAGTTTCAGATTTTGGAGCACTTAGGACTTCACATTTTGAAGTTTAGGGATGCTTGACATATACAGCCACTTCCTCCTCCCTGAAGCGTATATCATGACAAGAACAGTAGCCGTCACCAAGGGCTAACGGCTTTACTTGCATAGCCACAAATCCTCACAGCACCCCAAGAAGTAGGTATTACCTCTATTTTATGAAACGGAAACTCACGGCTCAGAGAAGTTTACTAACTTGCCCAAAGTCACATCACACAGCAACCAAGTGGCAGGACTGAGACTTTTTTTTTTTTTGAGACAGGGCTTAAACGATCCTCCCACTTCAGCCTCCCAAGTAGCTGGGAGTATAGGCATGTGCCACCACGCCTGGCTAAATTTTTAAAATTTTTTGTAGAGATGGGGGGTCTCCCTATGTTGCCCAGGCTGGTCTTGAACTCTTGAGCTCACACCATGCTCCCGCCTCGGCCTCCCAGAGTGCTGGGATTACAGGCATGAGCCACCGCGCAGGGCTGAGACCCCATCTTGTTGCAGTGCTCCTTCCGCCACACTTACCATCCCTCCTGCGCCACTCGCCGGTGACGGACAAAAACCTAAGAGCTATTGTTTGTGGAGCAGCCACCATATGCCAGGGGCTTCCCTTCTAGTCTCTCATTTCTTTCTGAAGTCCACAGAAGTAAGCTTTAAAATGTATGTGCTTCGAAATACATATGCTAGCTTCAAAAATAGTGCTTTGTGTTTTACTATCATCATATCTCTTAAAAAACAGGCTAAAATTTAAAAATCAAAATAGGATGCAGGATGCTTACAGAAAACGTTTACTCCAAACGAAGCCTTGAAAAGCTTGAGAAGCGTGGGATAACACAGGGGGCGTCTGGCCCCACAGGAGCAGAGACGGTGCTAGACGTCCTTACAAGCAGGAGTGCCTGCTTCTCTCCTCCTTTCGGTGGTGGTGAAGCTGCTTCCTAACAGGGTCAGGGCAGAATGAATGCTAGCGTGGGTTTTTAGAGAAACCTGACTGACACATTGTAGGGAGGAAGGCAGCATGTGGCCTCTGATTCCCAGCAATGAATATTACTGGGATGGCTTTGCCTCATCATCACCCCTTTTTAGAGAGTCTCAAAGTGTGAACTAAGTGACCACTGCCAAGGTTCCAATGAGAGAATCAATATGAACTACAATGCAACACTGATGGAAAAAACAAGAAAGACACATTGTTCCTCAGGACTTAGGAACTCCCAGTGGGCCGGGCGCAGTGGCTCTCGTCTGTAATCCCAGCACTTTGGGAGGCCAAGGCAGGTGGATCACCTGAAGTCAGGAGTTCGGGACCAGCCTGGCCAAGATGGTGAAACCCCGTCTTTACTAAAAATACCAAAATTAGCCAGGCGTGGTGGCATGCCTGTAATCCCAGCTACTCAAGAGGCTGACTGAGGCAGGAGAATCGCTTGAACCTGGGAGGATGAGGTTGCAGTGAGCCAAGATAGCAACATTGCACTCCAGCCTGGGCGACACAGCAAGACTCTGTCTCCAAAAAAAAAAAAAAGAAAAAGAAAAAAAAAGAAAAGAAAAAGAAACTCCCGGTGAGCCAAGGCAAGGCTCTGCCTATGCTCTGCACGCCCCTCCCAGGCCCCCTGGAGCCGCTGGGAGGTTTGAAGCAGGGTAGTGTTATTAAAAAGGGCGACTCCTATGAACCCGAACTTGCAAACCACTGTTAGACTTAATGTACCTCATTTACAATGATTTCACTCTGGCTGTGTGGTTTATGGAAAGTCATTTTGTGAGTGAAGTATCTTAAGTCAAGTAGTCCAGTTTAAAATACTGGAGAAAATTTTGTCTTTCAAACGTTCCCATAGTCTTTGGATGCTAAAAATAAAAGGGCAAATTTATCAGGTCTTGAAAAGTTTTGCCAGTTATTGGCTGGAAGAATTTCAGAAAATTCACTTGAAAAGAACAATCCTATTTCCCACGCAGACACCATCCCTGAGGTGGCATGGACCGCGCGTTGTGAGAGGCCTGGGTCTGAGCTCCTGTAACCTACTGACTGAAAAGCAACTGCCCGTCAGCATCGTGCTGGATGCTTCTGCAGTTATCTCTCAAACAGAGAATAACCCTGCAGGAGTCCCTCCCTCCTATAGATGGGAAACTGTAGCTTGTGGGGGCTACCTAGCTTACCCAGCACATCCAGAACCCTGACTGCCAGGCCTGGACTCTCCTCCCACGTGCCACCGCATGTGCTACCACATGGGGTGGTCAGTGGGTCCCCTGTGGGGAGCTCCTCCTCCATCACACGTGTGCAGAGGCAGCTCTGGGTAGTGAGAGCTTTTCCCTGAGGAGCTCTGCGCACACACACCTGCTAGCAACACATGGCTCTGCTCCTGGCTGTGTAGAGCAGCAGCCTTTGGGAAAAATGTCTCGTGCTCTCAAGTACATTCCCCTTTGAGTGAAAACATACAGCTCCTTTGTTTTTGTTTTTTTACCTGTTGCAAAACCTTTTCCGTGAATATCTCTTGGAGTCTGGAAATCTCAACCACTCTCCCTTCGATTTGCCTTCATAAAAAGAACAGATTACATATTAACTATTAGCACTTGGTAATCTAACAGGACTGTTACACACTTCTAAAGAAATCCTATCTTCTACGTGAAGGTGGGAGAGACAGGGGGCACACTGTGTCGGCTGGGGGAAGAGGAGATGGGAGAGGAAGGCGAACTCTCCTTACTGGGTCACCTTCCCTGTCTTCTGGCATAGCCTAGCACACTGGTCTTTTTGGAAGTCCACTCTACCATGCCAACTGACCCTCAGTCCCAAGAGGTGGGTGTGTGCAGTGCCCTTTGCATTCTGTGTCACTGCTCGGGGAATGGGGAGGGCCTGGTTGTGCCCCAGTTACAGAAAGCAGTCTCCAGTAAGTTCTCTGCCTAGCCTCATCACCATGGTAACACATGGTGGGGATTCAGAAGGTCAGAATATGCTGATGATCCAGCTTTGTTAATGCTCAGCAGGTTAAAGAAAAAAGTGTATTTACCTTCAAACCAACTCCCTGTTCCAAGAAAAAAGCTCCTCTGATTCATTTAGAAAATGCCATGTCTTGGTTTGGCAACGGAGTGTTCTGTCGGATCTGAAACACTTGGGCTAGCCATCTTCCTGGTGTCAGGGGCAGCATGGGCTACCCTGGGGGGCGGGTGGGGGCACATCTATTTAGAAACAGAAGCTGGCCCAAGCTGAAGTCAACTGCTGTTCCAGCACAAAGCAGCGACAGGAAGTGACAGGAGGCAAAAAGTGGTGGGAGCTGAGCTCCTGGCCAGGTGGAAGCAGTGATGAATCCCAACAGTATCACAGTGGCAGGGGGCAGGGGAGGAGATGTGGGAAGAAAAGCCAGTGAGTATCTGGGCATGGGGGAGTAGCGGGGTGGGGGCGGTAGTGGGGCAGACAGTGAAAGCTAGGCTGTCAGAGGAGGACTAGGAGGTCCATCTCTGAGGGCAGAAGGCGAAGAGCCCCTTGGAGGCTGACACCTACACTGAGAAAGTCCTCAGGCTGTGTGAGTGCAGCATCAGGATTGATTTTATTTGGGGGACATGTCCACAATACAACAGGCTCTGCAAAGTCCTGGGCCTTACTTTCAGCATGCTCCAAGCCTTCCCACAGAAACTAGAGGCTAACGGGTGCATGTGTGAGTGACCAAGGCCTTGCCTTCTGCATTCCTGACTCCCTGGTGGGTACAGGAGCAGGCAGACCCCAGTGGAACCATTTGCAGAAGAGGGCTTCCCTTGGTTAGCTGCCCTTCATAAGGGCCCCATTTCATTTCAGAGTCGCTGCGTGGAAACAGCCCGAATGGTGGTGGAAATTATACGCAGGTAATCTGTAGTCACTCCTGTATCTCTCGGGGTGGGAAGCACCTGGGCCCCCCGCAGCAGTGGCAGCAGGCAGGAGGTAACCCACAGGCCCACAAGCTGAGGGAGTTGTGGATTCAGGCCACATGCCCACCCCAGCCCAGTCAAAATGGCTGAGGGGGGCTGCACCAGCCCAAGGGCCCCATGGGGATGCCTGGGCACCAAGGTAAATAAAGTTCCTAGTTCCTGGAAAAGTTGTAAAGCAGGCTATCAGCTCACAGAGGAGCTACAAACATACCTCACTTCATCAAACAAGCTGTTCATTTCACCAATTAGTCGCTGATTTTCCTGTTCAAACTGTGAGGAAACAGACACACTCAGGATGACATCATACTGAACTTAGGCAAGAGTCTAGCAAGAAAGCGGACCTACGCTCCAGGAATCACTGCCGAAGCCCCCATTTCCAGCTGCGGCAACGTGGCAGCCGGTGCTGGACGACCGTTAGCATTAGTGTGAACAACGTCCCTGCTTTCAGGAGAAAGTTTTAAAAAACAGCTGTGCTGCCTGGTAATTGACTTCTCCATCTCAACCACTGCACTCCAGGGGTACAAGCTGACTGCTATGGCTGTAGCTGTATCTACCTACCCGCTCTCCCCTGGGATCCCACGGCCTGCTTCCTGACTCTAGTACCATTATTAAGAAAATTCTTTTGTTGTTGTTTTCTCTCATGAACTATACTGAAGGACTATACATATTTTTTAATATGGAGAAGGATCTGGTGTGGGGAGGGTCTGGAGAGGAAGGGGAGGTGGGCAGCTTGGCCGAGCTGCCTCTGGGCCCCTCTGACTTCAGAGCCTGGCCACTCCACTGCTCAACAGGGACAGAGGCCCAGAGCCAGAGGAGCGTGTTTCCCAGTGCTCAGGCTGGGTGAGGACGGGTGCCCTGACACCAGGGATACATGGGAGCTTCTTGGAGCTGAGTGAGCTTGGCACAGACAGTTGCTCTCCCAGCCATTCTTGCCAGTTTGATATGGGCCAAAGAAAAGGATGGAAGCTCCTGAAACTCAGCACAGAGAATGGACAGGAACAGCTCCTTGCCCTCACTGCAGGCCCCCACAGCCCTGTCCTCGTGTGTCCACTCAACTCCCGCAATGTGCAGGGAGTCAGGGGCGTCCTGCATTTCCTCCCCGATGCATCCCGCAGGCCCCACTTCTCCAGGACACCTACCCTGGCCCCTAAGCTCAAACTTATTTCTCATATTCCTATCCTTGGCCTACCATTTTCTGAAAATATCTTAGGATAGTAGCGCCCAACGGTCCCTTTCTGCCTTGTAATAAACTGTGCCCATCCCAAACTTCCCGTGTCACCCTGAGCTTCCTGAGGGCGGGAACTGGGTGGAACATAACTTTGCAAAGGCATTCCAGTTGTTCTTTCTTTCTTATAGATTAAAGCTGCCATCAAATCCACAAATATTTTCTGAGGCATTCTGTAAGCAGGAGTGGGAGGGATACATACAAGCAAGCCTCTGGAGGCTCCGAATCGATGGAAGATCTGGCTTATCACTTGCTTAGTAAACCAAAAATACAAGGGAAACAATGGTTATGGGAGGCAGCTGACCACCACGGGCTATGCTGGCACTTCATTCAACAGCCTGACCTTGTTGCCATTGTCCTAGGGCGGAAATGAGTTGCAGGGTCTCCCCAGCAGCCTCCTTCCCACCCAGGACCCCTCCCCTCCAAGTACCCCAGCTGTGCTCTATGCAGGCGCTCTTCACACACACGCCCCTTCCTAAGTCCACCAGTTTCGCCCCCGCACATGCACTTGCTGTATTCAGCCCTTCCCCTACCGTCCACATTCCACCCTCACCGTTTCTCACTTGCCTCCAACCTGTTATCCAATCCTTGGTCAAAGTGATCTCAAGTGCTGGTCATGCCAGAATGCCTCATGGTGGCCTTGCCCGCTGACCCTACAGATCAGGTCTAGGGCACACTGTTATCCATGCCCTGGCCACGTGACATCTCCCATCTCAGCTCTGCTCTGACAGGCTAGTTTCCTGCCTGGCTGCAGAACTCCACGTGGTCCCTCAAAACCCCAGGCATCTTCCTAGCGATCTGATACCTCAGGGCAGACTGAATCACCTTCTCTTACTTTCTCACTCTTGTTACCAAGTTCCCCTGTACTTGGCTCTTCAAGGACATTTCTCACACTTGTTCAGGGGGCTTGTCTTCTCTCTGTGGAAGGCAGCTGTCCTCCTTTGGACACTGAGCCCAGCCCAGGGCCTCACACATGACAGAACACCAGTTCTCGGCCCCGGCTACTCAAAACACAAGGAGGCATCTGCTGCACTCCAGACCCACCGGGCCAGAAAACGGGGAAGGGGCAAAGCTCTGGGAAGGGCGGAAGTGCCAGGAAAGCTCCCTGCAGGACCAACTCATCCACAGCAGGGGGCCGTGCTGGCTGCTGACACAGAATTGCTTATGGCCCCTTTAATTAGGCAAGACAAAGGCTATTTAAGAGAGTAAAACTTTCACTTTTGAGTTTGAAAGTATCCGCTCTGTTAACTTCAACAGTTACTTAAGAGGACAGTATTTAAGGAAAACATGTAATTACTAAAACATGCAGGCGCCAATTCACTTTGGCTAATTCAGGTACTACTCAGCTTTCCCTGGGTGGCGGCATTTTCTTGAATTTTTCTAATGACAAAATATGGCCCTGGCCCTGACCTTTTAAATCCACAGTCCCTTTTATGCTTTGAAACTGTTCCTAAACAAAATTAACTAGTGGTTTGGGGTGATTCATTCCTGGACTGTTCCTTGGGAACAAAGCTTTTCTTGTTTCCTCCCCAATTTGAGGGCCTGTGGTATAAGGCACTTAGGTGCGGCACCTCCTCTTAGGCCTCTTCGTAATTGTTAACTTCTGATAGCTCCATGTCCGCCCTCCACTGCACTCAGGAGTGGGATCAGATGCTGGCTCTAATTTCCTTCCACCCCACCTGAAAAATACCTAGTCCCTAGAGGAAGAGAAGCAGGTGCCTCAAGGATCAAAGGTGCTAAGGGCTGAGGAGAGAGGTTTGCCAACGGCCAGGAGTTTTAATGGAGAGCCGCCTCTGTGTTTAAAAAACAAAAGGCCTATTTCCCAGACAACTACAAGGTCACTATTACTTAAGGAGGCTGGCAGGGCCCAGGACAATTAGATCATGGCAAGGCTGCTGACAACACTGACTTGTACCAGGTTTCAGTATGGCTTCCAACGCTGTCTAAATGGCAAACCTGTGTGCCTCCCTTCGTCTGTTGCCAGGTGGCAGGCATAGTGGTGGATGTACCACGTGGATATGGGAGCCAGTTCTGGGGGCCTTATAGGAACCCTGGGGCAATGCTGGGCCAGTCACTGGCTTCTGGTGGGCCTGTCAGTTTCTTTGGGGACAGATGTGGTGATTCTTATCCTTTTCTGCCTGACCCTGAGGATGCAAAGTCACGGCTGGACTTCCAGCCCCTCACCTTCTAAGCAGTAAGCTGTTTTGGAGGTCACAATCTCTGGGCGTCTCTGTCTTTGTCACTAAAATGGGGATAGTAACAGTACTTAAGTAGTGGGGTTGTTAGAAGGAATACATGAGTGAATACATGTGAGTTGTCTACCAAAGTGCATGGCATATAGTAAGCTCTCGGTGAAGGCTGTCTATCATGATTTAATCTCTTGGGTGTCAGTTTCTGGATATGCAAAATGAGCGGTCAGATGCTGTGGGACCCCTTCTACCCTCTAGTCTCAAAGTCCTAGAGGCCTGCTGTGGCTCTCAGCCATTTCACTCTCCCAGGCACTGGGAAATGCACCCATAGCATCTTCTTCCAGAGCTCGCTGAGCCTCACTAGCTAGTATCTGTCTCTTTGTGGCCACACTTTGCAAGGTGCGGTGCTGAATGAAAGACCTGGTCTCCAAGGTCAGCACGACAGATGGGTATCTAGATGCTTTGTGAAGACAAACCTGAACACAATCAAGGAAATTCTTATTTTCCTATGGAATTGCAAAGGAAGGTGAGAGGCCTAGATGGTGGGTACGGTGGGCAGGTTGGGCCCTCCATGCATGGTGGTTGCCAGCCGCTGCTCTGGGCTCCCTGCATTGGCCCATCTGCTCTACGCTGTTACGGTCTCCTACCAAAACACAATGCTTTCCTTCAGCTAGACCAGCACTCTCCCCCACCCTCCAACCATGGCAGCACAGCATCATGTTGAACAGCCTAGGACTTGGGACCTATGTGACCTAGGGCTGGTGACTTAAGCTCTCTGTAAAACGGGGCCAGCAATACTCTCTCCATATGGGTTGCATAAATGAACATATGCTGAAGGGCTCAGAGCAGTACTTGGCACATGGTATGTGTCACATGCGCATTAGACAATATCATTATTCAACTGCTTTATCCCATTTAGAAGTCAGTTAGACTTTCCAATCAAGCCCTGCTAAAAGGTTTCTAATCTGGTTTAAAGGATACAAATCCACATTGTGAATATATTGTTATAGAAATCCTTTTCTAATCTAATCCTCTTTACTATAATTTTCAAAAGAAAATCACTCCTACAAAGGCCTTTCAGTATAAAATGACGCCAAGAGAAGTATTTGTGTCACAAAGAGCCAAGAAAAGCTGAGGAGCACAGGGGGACCATCCCAGAAAGCCCTCTGGCCCTCATAGCTCAGGAGTCCCCTGCCCAGCCCTTTCTGGACTCTTCCAGACGTGCTTTCTCTGTACCAAACCCCTTCACACTTCTGGCTGTGTGACCCTCACCTCGATCCCCTATGATCCCCATAATGTGACAGTAGACGGACTCTGCCGTATCCTTCTGGTGGAAGCCAGCATTTGCTGTGCCCCTGTAAACCTGGAACCTCCCCAGGGTCTGTCCAGCTCTCACTATGTGGTATTCAGATTCCACCAATCCTTGTTCTAGATGCATGAGCTGAAAACTGGCGAGCCCTGCCAGCCAGCCACTGGGAGTTTCTACAGGCCTACCTCAGGGGACAGGGCCTTGGAAGACGCCTTTCATGTGGATTTAAGAAACAGAAGCCACATTCATGTTTTAAAAAAATTATCCCAAGGAGTACATCAATAAATGCAGGTGGTTTTACCTGAGGCAAGTAAAGTGAATGTGTGTTTAGAAAGGGAGAAATTTTCTTGATGTAACTTTGGAAAACAATTTGGTTCCACTCAGCCTGACCACAAACACCTGCAAACTCAAAGGCATTAATATACCTGTATCATGAGTTATATAGGGAAATTTATTGTGCAAATCATATAATACCCTGCAACCATTTTGAAATATGTAATAACTGTTCCTTTGGGTGAAACAATGAATTATATTGCTATTATTGGGCTTAATTCATTATTTTACCCTGAGGAAAAATTCCGAAACAGTGATTATGAATTATGACCACGATTTGCTACAATATTTTCCAATTTAAAACCAACAGTGTTGTATTTCTTTCTCTTTATTTTCAAAGTTAAGCCTTTTAAATAAGATTTGAGTTAGTCAGACTATAAGATATGGTACTTAGCTATTATTCCCAATTAAGAAAGAAGTTAACTGGACATTAAATAGCCTGTCATAAAAGTACTGAACATTACAGCCTTCTGCCCGATCCTCTTGCAGTAACACAATAAAAATTAGGAAGTCCTGCTGATTCTGATTGCTTTAGTCATTGATACTACCATGCTAGAGCTACCAGTGTTACTGGGAGTGGCCGCTGGTGTCTTTAGACAATGACTCGGGACAGTGGAATGAAACAGAAGCATGCTGCATCAACCTCAATGTGGGGAGAGGAGCCGTACTCTGACATATCAGTTGCTAAAACACGTGCAGGGCATGCCACAATGCACAGACATGGCAGTATCCTTCTGGTGGGAGGGAGTCACCATTTGCTCTGCCCTGCCCTCTGCTGGGTGCTCTTACAGGTGCTACTGCATCCAGCGCTTGAGACAATTCTGTGGGGTATTGATTCTGAAGAGATCACTGATGGCAGTGATTTCTTGCCTCAGCTTACAAAGATAGTAAGTGGTATAAATTCATAGCCAACTCTGTCTAGTCCCAAAGCCTATGTTCTTTCATCATCCCTCCACAGGATGAGAGCATCAGGTGATTACGAATATCCTCACTGCTAGCCTTCCTCTGGTCCAACTCTCACACCTACAGGCTGCTAAGTCACGCAGCTGTAAAGGTTAACATGCTTAGCTCACCATTGCCTGCCAGAGAAAGGCAAAAATCCTCAGACAAACAACCCACACTATTGTTATTCTAGCTATTTCCTTTATGAAGAGTGGTGGAGTGCATTAAAAAAGAAAGAAAGAAAAAAAAAGCCCAACACAGAAGGTAAACTCTTCTTAAATACAAACGTATTCTTTCTTAATGAAGAGACAGAGCTGTACACATTTTTTGTCTAGCAAAGAAATGGGGCAATGGTATAATATTTGGGGAAACGACTCATTTCCACTAATACAAGGATTTCATATAAACCGGTGAAAACCTAAGAGATTTTTAAGAAACTTCTGCCATTATTTGGCTGTAGGACGGGAATATGATCCAATCCCTCTTTACATTCCTTTGTTGGCTTCTCCGCCCCAGCCTCCCTCCAGTGGAGTGTACCCCAGGGTGGTGTCCATGACCCCTTCTCCTTTCTCGCTGTTCATCATGTTTCTAGAGAGCCTCACGCAAGCCCATCCTTCAAACATCAGCTGTAAGATGTCTCCCACATGCGTTTCTCTAGCCCGAGCCCTGGAGCCCATAGACACCTCTCATGAATGTCCCACAGGCGCCTCAAACTCACACCTGTCTACATGAAATTCATCATCTCCTGCTCAGCCCCAGCCTGCCCACCTTCTGTGCACCCTCCCTCCTCCTGATGACCCACGTCAGAAAGCTCAAGGTTCCTTCCTCATCTCACACTTCAGTGCAGGCCATTTCCTACACCACAGCTCTCAACACTACCTTCACTGCCACTCCCGGCTCAAGGCCCTCCTCATCTCTCAACCTGACTGACAGCAATGACTGCTTGGAATCCCTGCGGCTGTCTTCCTCTAACCACCGACTATACAATGTGCACCTCGAGGGCCTAGGTCCCACATTTGCTGGATTTGGTGAGCACTTATTTCAAGTCATAAGGTGAATTCTGGAACATGAAAGAAGCTGGAAAGGAAGGCAAGGACCTTGCAGGGCACTTTAAGGTGTTTGAGTCATTTTCTTAGTTCAGAATTATTTTTGTCTGTAAAGGACAAAGACAGCTCTGCTTAGTATTCCAAAGAAAATATCACAGGCTCTGAAGGAGAACCCCCAAAGCAAGTCTCAGGAAAGTCAGGGCTAATGGTACCATCACTGGAATCAGTTTCAAGCTTTCAAGGCGATGATTTTAAAGGGGAAACCACTCATCTGGGTGGATAAATCTGTGTGAAACTGAATTGTATATGAAAGGCATATGAAAATGGTCTGAGCTCCAGCTGCCATCCTGCATGCCCTGACCCTGCCATGATGGCATGCATGCCACAGTCCTTCCCTGCTCATGGCACACGGGCAGCTATGCCCAATCTCTTCCATCCTGTGCAGGGAGAGGCTCTTCTGCCTCTTTGTACAACCTGCCACTCTCAAGGGTAAAGGAAGGGGAAACAGAATTTTTCAAGCACCCCATGTGTCTGGCTCTTTGTTGCATGCACCTCATGGGCCAGCTCACTCAAACTTTAGCCCCACCTGTGGGGTGGCCATTTTTTGCCCATCTCACAGATGAGGGAACAGAGGTCCAGAGCAGTGAGAGGGCCCAGGGCTGCAATGATGAGGCTGCGTGTGGACTCCAGTCAGACAGTACACTGTTCCCACTAGGCTGTGCTACCTTTTGGCTTTTTTGTCTTCACTTGTCCATGCCATTTTTAGGAAAGAGATTTGGTTTCCGTCTTTTATTTCAGGCATGGAGAAGAAACAGGAAGTCCAAAGAGCAAGAGGATGCTGAGCCAGTCCTCTGCCCTTGGCGGCCAATGCTCACGAGAGCAGACATGTGGACCTGGCCATCCCTGGAGGTCCCCAGCCTGCACAACTATGCTTACAATGACACTTCGGTGGGCCGGCGCGGCTGTTCTGACTTCTCTGCCTGGCTGGCCTGTGTCAGTGTGCCACGCTGCTCCTGTGCAGCAACACTTGCCTAGACCACCAGAACCAACTGGAAAAAAAGCACAGGTTGGAGCCAAAGGTTGGCTCTGCTGCTCTACTGGTTCTGTGACGTTGGGTAGGGCTTTAGTTTTTGTGCGTCATTTTCTTCAACTGTGTAATAGTGATAATTCCTACTTGACTGGATTGTCATGAAGATTCAACAGGACAACATATGTAAAAGGCTTGGGATAGAGAAGGCATTCATAAGTATCCATAATACTAGTAATAACTGAACACTAGAACATTCTAATAGTTATTACTGATGATCCCATTTTACCATTGAAAACAACCTATAGCTTTTATGTTATACTCATCAAAGTCACTCATGCATTCAACAAAGAATTCCCCTGCGGAAGGCCGCAGGGTCCTCTGCCTAGGAAAACCAGAGACCTCTGTTCACTTGTTTATCTGCTGACCTTCCCTCCACTATTGTCCTATGACCCTGCCAAATACCCCTCTGCGAGAAACACCCAAGAATGATCAATAAAAAAAATAAATTAAAAAAAAAAAAAAAAAAAGAATTCCCAAACACTGTTCTGGGCTCTGGGTGAGGAAAACAAGACAAGATTCTGCTCTCACAGAGCTTGTGCTCTATGCGGGAAATCAAGTAGGGTCATGGGACACAGTATCTGGGAGCTGCTGTAGGTGGGGTTGCCGGGTCTGTCTGAGGAAAAAATACCTGAGACCTGTAAGACATGCCAGGAGTGGATAGAGAGAGCTTGAAATTTCAGGTGGCTTAAGCAGCAACACAAACGCCTCAGTCTGAGAAGCTCAAGGCTGGGGAAAGACTGGATCCCATTCTTCCTCAACAGAGCTGTCTTCATGCTCCACTCCTTATCTTCTTGAGGGCTGGAAATCCAGCTCTTCCCTGATTAACTAGGGGACTCTGGGCAAGACCCTTTGCTGCCTTTTGCCAATGTTAAAATGAGATGCTAATGTTCCACCACCTCTTTGTGCAATTATTAAAAGTATCATGGATAAAATGAGAATCAAAAAGTTTTGTCTACTGCAAACTGCTGCACACTTAAAATGCTATCACTTGCCAGGCACAGTCACTGGAGGCGTGCCGTGTGGTAGTCACATTCCCCACGTCTTAGAGGACAGTGTCACATCCTAGCAGCTCTAGGTGACATCTATTCCCACACACAGATAGCATATTCCATCTGGCTTCTGTCACACCAGTGTCCAGATGAGCTGCACACAGACATTGCTGGACGTGAGCTGGCAGGGGCTTGGCAGACCTATCAGTTCCTTTTGAAACCCACCCATAGATGGTAAGCTATAGCAGCTGGAAACCAGAAGGCAGGTAACTAAAAGGAGGTGCTATCAGTAGTTAAGGTGTTACTCTTTTCACTTTTCAGTCATTATCTTACTTTTTTCACATTACCATAGCACTAGCAATTCAAACAATTAAAAAGCATCATAGTGGCATTTATAAAAGACCCATTTAGTCTAGAAGACTATTTTACTGTTGTTGAAAAGACATCTATTATTAGTAAAATTCTTCCAAGGCAAAATGTCTTCTTTAATTATGCTACTGCAAATTTAAAGCATATGAAAAGCACCGTAAGAATTAGGAAATCAAATGGGAAAGTGTATATAAAATACACATTTATAATTTTTAAAACTCAGTATAAAAATAAGGGCAAGGGCATTGAGGATGAGTTTCTCCTTAGTGAAACAGTCTTATGAAAACCAGTTAAAAATAAATAATTAGGCAGAGAATAGCATTACCATTTGTATTTCTTCTGGGGATAACTCATCTTCGCCTTTGCCATCTCCCCACGTTCCCAATTCAGGTTGTGTTTCAGCCAAAATTTTTTCTGTTAAAAAAAAAATTGAAAATAGAAGACCAAATATGTGTTTTAGAATAGGCTGGCTTAGGATGTAGTCATAACACAAACAAGAGATTAAACAGAATCTTACAGCTTTGTCTATATATTTCATGATCTTTGGGCTAATATTCAGGCACTGCAGACATGATTCTTTCACAACATTTAGGCTTTAAATTGTCTTTGTGCAGGCACGTGCATGTGTGTGTGTGATGGGGAGGGGGACCTATGCACGGTTTCAGTATCGCACTGATGTCAGCAATGGCTGCAAACTAAATGGACATTATTCAGAATGTCTTCAGAATTCTTCAGAATGAGTCTTAAAGTATGTTTTACTTCAAGACACATACACCCCTGTCTACTTTTAAAGACTGTAAGACATATTTTTATTGTAAAAAATACATATGCATATATACATACATATATATATATATACAGGAAGTGATATACTGTTCTCCAATCCTATTCCTCTCCCAGATGTTACTGCTTTGATGTAGCTTCATAGATTTTATCTAAAGATATTCACATACAAAGATATATGAGTCCCTGTCTACCCATGAAATTCAAGTAATACACAGTTTTGTGTGTATGGCGGCTTGCTTTTCACACAGATATCAATAGTAACATGCTGTTCTAAAACTTGCTTTGTATGATTTATTGATACATCTTGGAGATGGTCCAAGTAGATCTACCTTGTTCTTTTAAATTGCTGCATGATATTCCATCGTGAGGATACACTGGTCTTTAGCCATAACTACGCTGACAGACCTCAGTGGTTTCAGACTGTTCACTGGTGTCATGGTACTGTGTCCCGGTCTGTGCTATGTGCACATGCTGGAGTGACTCTCTAGGACAGATACCTGGGCATGCAACTGCTGAAAGGGAGCGTAGGAACATTTTAATCTGGAGAACTTTTTCATTATGATCAAGGAAAGGTGATGCATCCTCCATTGAAGCATGTCAATACCACAGGCCCCTAGAAAGGACTGCTGCCGCCCAGGATGACGGTAAGAGGTCTGTGCAGTTCATCACCGGGGTAGGGTTGGGAGCGGAGGGGAGAGGGATGGCAGGGATGGATCCTCGGGGGAGACTGTAATGAAGTCACTTTGTGTCTGTGTCTCAGGGCTTATCAGTGAGCTTCCAAGTACTCAAAGGCAAATACTGCTTCTTTTTCCTTTTTTCCTCAATCTCAGTAAATTTCCTGTAGTCAGTCTCAGCCCCATGAGATGGCAACAAGTCCAGATCTTTAAATAGGGGAAGAGAACGTAATGATAGCAACAATGTAGAGAAAGCTCACTAGGCAGGCCATGCCTGAAAGTTATGGTTATTTATTAGAAATATATCTTTACAAAAAAAACTGCATGTCATCCACAACTTAGTGCATGCAGGCTTTTAGAAAAATGGCTGTTTTTACCAGAAGTGTCATTATAGAAAAACATGTGTTTGTAAAAGGTTGGCTAAAAGTATCTTTAGAAATGATCTGATATTTTCCTGAGATGACATTCTTTGGGTAGGAACATTTGTACTTTCATCTACCCCCCACCCCCACCTTATGAGCTGTCTCCTACTTGTCCTCATTATGGTATCCATTTCAAGCTTTTACTGTTGTTGATTTCTTTTTTAAGGAAAAAAACATCAAAATTAGAAACAGAAACCTTGTTCATATCTGAACCAAGCATAAATTAACTCTGAGCTAGAATGGGAAAGTTTTCTTAGCAGAACTCACACTCTACAACATGCTCATTTGTGGCCATCAGAAGCCTTCTTGATAGGCTGCCCTAAGGATCAGCCTGAAGCACAGCACCCACCATGCCAGTCCTCTGCCCAGGCCACCCGTGCACCCTGGTGCCACAGAGGCAAGTCCAGACTCCCTACTCTGGCATTCAAGGCCCTACCCACCCTTCCAAGCTTACTCCCACCTCTCCTCCCACTGATGGGCTTCACTGATCCCCACGGGTCTTCTTTACTGACTATATCCCACCCAATCTCCAGGCTTTCTGGCCTCTGAGCATTTGCTCATGCTGCTGCCTCTGTCTAGAACTTTCTAAGCTTTCATTTTTTATTTTTTCAGGTCCAGACTCACTTTTTTTTTTTTTTTTTTTTTTTTTTGAGACGGAATTTCGCTCTTGTTGCCCAGGCTGGAGTGCAATGGCACGATCTTGGCTCACTGCAACTTCCGCCTCCCAGGTTCAAGTGATTCTCCTGCCTCAGCCTCCCCAGTAGCTGGGATTACAGGCGTGTGCCACCACACCTGGCTAATTTTGTATTTTTAGTAGAGATGGGGTTTTTCCATGTTAGGCTGGTCTTGATGTCCTGACCTCAGGTGATCCAACCCGCCTTGGCCTCCCAAAGTGCTGGGATTACAGGTGTGAACCACTGCGCCTGGCCCAGACTCACTTCTTAGTGCCACCTCCTCTTGAAGTCTCCCTGGCCCTCTGCTCTCTCTTGAGGTACTACTTACTTTCTCCCAGGGGCTAGAGCCTTATCTTTCCCATCAACTGTGAGCTCCCTGAGGGCAGGAATCACATCCCTGAAACTTATTGAGCTCCAATGTGACACCCAAAGGAAATACTCATTGGAGCTTTCCAGATTTTAGTTTTCAGATTAGAGATGCTCAACTGGTAAGGACAATGCAAATATGCAAAAATTTGAAAAAACCCTAAATCCAAAACACTTCTGGTCCCAAGCATTTCAGATAAGAGATACTCAACCTGTAATTTCTGTGACATGTCCAGGACCATGCCTAGCATCTGGAAGACAAGAGTTAATAAGAACTGCCATGAGACTACGGAGAAGGATGCTAAAGGGGACTCCCAGGTCTCTCCTGGCTCCAGCACGCCATCACCCTGTGATTCACACAAAGAACCCTGCTCCACTCTGCCTTTGAGATATGGCAAACTATGCAGGCATCCCTACGCAGGGGTACCAGCCAGACACACAGATCGCAGACATCCATGACCACACTGTGTATGTCCCCCTACATTTTCGGACTTCATGGAGACCCTGTATTTCTTCTGCATCTCCTGTGCATCAGGAACTATTCTAAGCCATGGGCCCTCTAGTATCTGTGGTGATAGGCAGCACGTCAATTCAGATTTGCATTTTGTCCTGTTGGTTTGACTGGCTGTGCAAGGCTGCTGAGGTTATACACTCTACCCGGATGCAGGCCTGGCAGCTCAGAGCTGACATGCAGGGCATGGCTGCCAGGGAGGCAATGCTGCCTCTCCTGAGGCCGGCACACAGGGCTCCTGAGGCAGACAGCTCCCGGCCTCACCCCTCCAGCAGGCCCTTTCTCCCGGACCCCGCCAGCTCCCAGGTGACTGGGTGAATGCACCCCCTGCCTCTGTGGCACTCACGAAGATCAACTGTGACAGACACAAAGGCTGCCGCCTCCTGCTTCCTTTGCTTTATGCAAATACAAACACCAAAACATGTCTGAGACTGTGCTACTTCGTTCCTGTGCTGTACTCTTGCCAACATGTCACAAGGAAGAAATGCAAGGTGAGATTTTCATCTCAATTCGTACCTGGACGTTCTTCAGTGGCAGGGTTTTCTTCAGAGTCTTTTGAAGGACTCTGTGAAACTTTCTCAGAAGATGTGGATTCTCTTGTCTTTGTATTTGGTTCTGGTTCCAGCTTAGATCTAAAAATAAATAATTAGCAGGCAGGTATTTTATTTCCATAACAGGATTCCTTTTTGAAAACAGAAGGAGTCACATGTGACCCTGCGCTTTTGCTCTGTGTCCCTGTACTGGGGAGCAGTCACTGCCTCTGGGCCCAGTGGCCATCCGGACACACCTCCACTGGGGCACTTAACACTGGCATTATTGCCTGCAGGGTAGAGATTGTGCATGCCCTCTGCATTTGCAGCCACGGCACAGTGACCAGCATGCAGGGGGAGGCTGCAGTTGGTATGTGCTGAATACGCTCCATAGACTGACACACCGCACTCAACAAACCCAGGAAGCTGGATTGATGCTTACCCAGTAGTTGACACTAATGCAAAAAGATTGCTGAGTATGTTATTAATAATAATATATAATACATATTATACATATATTCATATATATATATATACCCCCACACACATATATACCCCCAACACATGTATACCCACACATATACACACACCACACACACACATATATACCACATATATATACCCATGCACACATATATACATACCCTCCCACATATATACCCACACACATATATACCACCACACATATACCCCCACACACATACCCCCACATGTATACACACAATATATATACCACATATATATACCCCCCACACATATATAACCCCCTACATACACACATACCCCATATATATACATACATGCATGTATATCCCCCACATATACACACACACCACATACATATATTCACATATACTCACCCACATAAACACACACACATATATACACACACATACCCACACATATACACATACCATATATACACACCCACATACATATACTACATATATATACCCCCCACTCACATATATACCCCCTACATACACACACACACCATATATGTGCAGATATGTATATATACCCCCCACATATACCCTCCCCCACACACATATATCTACATACACATATATACATACACACACACACTCATATATACCCCCACATATACATACACATATACTCCCACATACACACACAGAAACACACACATATATACCCCCTACCCATATATATACACACACACACCCCCACACACATACCCCCCAACATATATACTCATACACACACATATATATACCTATACCCACACACGTATATGTTCTAAGTCACATCTTAATATAAGTTAGCTCTGAAAGCACAAGTCCTTAAATACCCACTTGAAGGCACAGACTTGTTTCAGGACTGAGTCCTCTGCACTTGGCATTCCCCTGTTTCTTCCCCACGGGCTCTTCCCAGGGCATCGTCTTCCTTCCCATCTACAGGGCTCAGCTCAATTTCACCTACTCAGAGAGGCCACCTCTGACTCTTCTGTGAAGGAAAGGCCGCCTCCCACTCCTCTGCATCTGTTTTCTCCATAGCAGTTATCACAGTCTATAATCCCCCTGTTTATTTATCTGTTGGTTGTCAGCCTTGCTCCTAGATCCCAGATTCTGGATTAGTGCCTGGTATTCCATTGCATAAATATATGTTGAATGAATGAGTGCATTATAAATACAAGTAACTGGTTAATAAGAAAACGTTTAGGTTATGCAATAACAGGCTTTGTAATAGCTTTACTAGAATCTACATAAATGCTATAAAATTATAGGCAGAGTGCTATCTAGGATAAATTCCATATTGTTAGGCAGAGAGACTGTAATTAAAGGAACAATGTAAATGCATATTAGGGTGATATTACTAATGCCAGCTAACATTTGTTAATGGCTCATATAGTGGACATTTTTTCTAAGCAATTTGTATGGATAAATTTATTTAATTTCGAATATCCCCATCAGGTAGGTACTAGTATTAACAACCTTTTAACAAAGGAGGAAACTGAGGTGTAGAGAAGTTAGGAAACTTGCCCAGGTCACAGTCAGCAAATGGCTGGGCTGGGACATGACCTCAGGGAACCTAGCTCTGAAGCCCATGCTCGTAACAACTGCTCCATGTGGGGTATATTCTACCCATCCTGGGCTGTGGGAAAGGACTTCTGTGGTCGAATCAGTCTGAGAAAGCTGAGTCAAAGCTAGAAAGGTGTTTCACTATATAAGTTTTCAGAGCCTTTAATATGCTCAAATACATTTTGAATTTCCAAAAAGGATGGTATTTGCAAATAACCTGATTGCAGACACTCTCTTCACAGAGTTTTTTGAGAGCAGTTTTCTCAAAAAGACTATTTAGGAAATGGTCCTCTACAAAATTTAACAAAAAATTTTTTCAAAAGTCACTGTTATCAATCTTTTTAATTGTTCTGGTTACTACAGCTGAGTCATAAAACTTAGTGCCTTGAAACAGTGAGATTTATTACTGATCACTGCTTCTGGGGTCAGGAATTTGGGAACACCTTGGCTGGGTGGTTCTGGCTCTGTGTGTCTCAGGAGGGTGCAGTTAGAAGGCAACTAGGGCTGCAGTCATCTGAAGGGCTGACCAGGGCTGGAGGGTTCACTTCCAAGGAGGCCACACACATGGCTAGCAAGTTGGTGCTTGCTGGGAGCCTCATTTCTTCTTCATGGAGCTGCATGAGTGTGTTACTGGTGCATGGCAGCTGGCTGCCTGCAGGGCTGGCAGTCTTAAAGACTTTGGTGGAAGCTTCAGTGCCTTTCATGACCTAGCCTTAGAAGTCAGAAATCATAATTCTGGCCATATTCTACTGCCCAACACATTCACGATGGTCCACTGGAGTTCAAGGGGAAGAAACACAGACTCCAATTTGCTTTCTCAATGGAGCAGTAACATCACTTTTTAAGAAGAGCATGTGGTATGGGATCTATTTGGGGGCAGCTTTCTTTGGAAAATATAATCTGCTATTCTAAGTATCACAAATATGCACAAAGGTAAAGTTATAAGGATATTCACCACAAAACTGCTTATAACAACAACAAAATGACTTAAATGTTCATGATAATGTACCTCATTTACAGTTGGAAGATATAATGAAAGAGAAGATTCTACTTGCAATAGCCAAAACAAAACAAAAGATAAAAAACTAACAATATCAACAAAAACTTTAGAATAAACTTAAGCCCAAAGCCCATACGTAAAAAACCAAAAAAGATTCCTGAAAGACACAAAGGAAAGGACACATCATTCTTGGATAGAAAAAGAAATATAAAGATGTTGGTTCTCCCTAAGTTAATTTATAAATGTAATGTGATCCCAATAAAAAAACATCACCAGGTCCCATCCTGAAGCCGGAAAAATCAACTATGAAATTCATCTGGAAATAAGCAAGAATGGTCAGAAAAACTGTAAATAAATATTGAACTCTAGTTAATGATATGCATACTAAAGTATTGAAGGGGAAGGGCACTGTTTGCAGTTTACTCTGAAATCTATTTTAAAAAGAGACTAAATGCATATGGAATGATAGGCAGGTAAAAGAAGCAAGTATGGTAAAATGTAAATGCTCGAATCTAGGGTATAGGTATATGGGTGTTCACTGTAAAATTCAATTCTGCCATATGTTTGAAAAGGTTTATAGTGAAAATATCATGGAGATTAGGAAGGGGAGGCAATAATAGCCAAGATAACCCTAAAAAACCAAGTGTGGTATTAGAGCATGAAAAGATTGACAGACCAATGAATAGGATATAAAATTCAAAACCAGACTCAACTGCATATATGTATTTAATATATGATATGGTTTAATAAGTTGCACTGGGATAATCGGTAGTTATATGAAAGAATAAATGTTTTCCCTCTCCCTACACTGTACACCAAGGTAAATTCCAAATGCATCAGAGATATACACATAAAAAAATGAACCACACATATGAAAAAAAAAACATGGGTGAACTGGGTGCGGTGGCTCACTCCTGTAATCCCAGCACTTTGGGAGGCCGAGGAGGGCGAATCACTTGAGGTCTAAGCCCAGCCTGGCCAACATGGTGAAAGCCTGTCTCTACTAAAAATACAAAAATTAGCCGGGCGTGGTGGCACGCACCTGTAGTCCCAGCTACTCAGGAGGCTGAGGTGGGAGAATTGCTTACGCCTGGGAGGTGGAGGTTTGCAGTGAGCCGAGATCACCCACTGCACTCCAGCCTGGGCGAAAGAACGAGAGTCCGTATCAAAACAAAACAAAACAAACGAAACAAAGCACCATGAGTGGTGGGGCATGTTGATGGCTATTGGTGGTGAAGGCTATTAGTGTATTGGCGGGTGGGGAGGACAGTGAAAGAGGTATATGGGAACTCTTGGTACTTTCTGCTCAATTTTGCTATGAACGTAAAACTGCTCTTAAAATAACAAGTTTATTAAAAAAAAAAAAAAAAAAGCCCCACCATAGGTAAAGCAGACAGAGAAAAAGACCAACAGCCCTACAGTAAACTAGGCAAGAAAGTTCACACAAATGCAAATGGCTTTTAAACACATGAAAAATGCTCAATCTTCCTCATAAGAAGATGATGCATATTAACAACTACACTGCGTCATTATTTCTTGCCTACTGGGACTGGTGAAAATACCCAAATGTGAAGACATACTGGGTAGGTCAGGCTGTGAAGTAGGCACTTCCGTATATTGATGGTGAGAGTACCAAACAGTGTGACTCCTATGGAGGGGACCTTGGTAATATCCTGCAAATTAACATGTATTTAATCTCTAATCCAGCAATCCCACTTATGGGACTCTATCCCAAAGATATAACAATAATATGAAAAAGTTATTAATTATAGCAATTTCGTAATTCAATTTTAATATGGCAAAGGCCTAGGAAAAAATCCACATGTCCATCAACATGGAACTGGTGGAAGACACTCTGCAGTACTATGGAGCTGTAAAATAGAATGTATACCTTTATACACTGCTCTAGAGCAATCAAACAAGATGGGGAAAAGCATGTATAGAAGGGATATTCCTTAATCTGATAAACACGTACAAAATCTACAGTTAGCATCATACTTTATGATGAAAGCCTAAGTGTTTTCCCTAGGATGAGGAACAACGTAAGGACCCAGTAGATCTGAACAACAGAGGAAGAGAAAACAATTACAAAATCATTTTATGAGGCCAGTATTACCCAGATTCAGAAACCTATGAAGGTATTACAAGAAGAGAAAATTAGACACATATCTTCATGAACATAAAAGCATCCTTAATACAAACAAACTGATTTTAGCAATATGTAAAGACAATAATGTATCATGACCAAATGAGGTTTAACCCAGGAATACAAAGTTGGTTTAACATTTGAAAATCGATCAATGTAATACACCCCCTTAACAAAAAAAGAAAAAAGCCTATATGATCATTGCATTAGATGTAGAAAAAGCATTTGAAAAAGTCAAGATCCTCTGATGATAAAAACTTTCAGCAAACTAGGAAAATAAGGTATGCAGTAAAGGGATGACTCAGCAGGTTTGTGGTGTTCAAATTCTGCACATTCCAAGGAAAAAACTGGCCCTTGCTTGGCTCCTGGGAGATAACCTCTAAGCTCCTAGTACGTCTTGTCTGATGAGAGTATCTTTGTATACCTGGGGGCATTCCAGATAGTTTATGCTAACAGAGTGATTTATGACTGGGGGCCTTGGGCCACTGTATCAGTGCATGGCAGACACACTTGATGGCAATTTAAGTAATGAGGGCTGCCATGTGGAGGTTGTTTGGCGGGAGGGTGGCTAAGTGAAGGTGTATACAAACTACATTCTTTTTACAAGCAGTAGTGGTTCTCCTGTCCAGCCCACTGCCACTGGACTGCTCTATAAATAAGTTCCCCCAAATAAACTCTGTTTTGTTTGTTGGCTCGGGGTCTCTTCTTCAGCCTCTTTGAACCAAGTGCCATCCCTACTGAAGTTAACAGGGGTCTGGCATGACCATCAGTTTGACCTCTGGAGGGGCTGGAGACTGAGTTAACTACGGCCTGCTATGCTAGCACTTCACATCTACATCACTGACCCCCAATGAAAACCCTGAACACCAAGGCTCAGGTGAGCTTCCCTGATTGACAATACATGGTGACACAGGTATTGGGAGACACATATTGGAAGAATTAAGTGCTGTCTACACTATTCCACTGGGAGAGGACAGCTAGAAGCTTGTACCTGATCTCTCCTGGAGTTTGCCCTATGTGCCTTTTAGCTTTGGTGATTTTAATCTGTATTCTTTCACTATAATATACTGTAACTATGAGTATAATAGTGTTTCTGAGTTCCATGAGTTCTTCTAGCAAATCCCTCAATAAGAAAGGAAATTTCCTTAACCTGATAAAGAACAGCTACATAATACCTACTTCTGTGATATACACATAAAAAAATGAACCACAAATATGAAAACAAACTAACAAACAAATAAACAAACATGGGTGCGCTGGGTGCAGTGGCTCATGCCTATAATCCCAACACTTCATACTTAATGGTGAAGTATTAAATCCTTGTCCCTTAATCAAGAGCAAGGAAAAGATGTCCATCCTAACCACTTCTATTCAACATGGTACCAGAGGTCCAGGCCCTAGCCAGTGCAATAAAACAAGAAAGGAACAAGAAATAAAAGGCATAAAGATTAAAAAGCAAAACTACTGTTATTCACATATGGTATGATTATGTATGTAGAAAATTGATAGAATTTACAATAAAAAGGTCACGTGCAGTGGCTCATGCCTGTAATCCCAGCACTTTAGGAGGCCGAGGCAGGTGGATCACCTGAGGTGAGGTCAGGAGTTCAAGAACAGCCTGGCCAACGAGGTGAAACCTTATCTCTACTAAAATACAAAAATCAGCCGGGCATGGTGGTGGGCGCCTGTAATCCCAGCTACTCAGGAGGCTGAGGCAGGAGAATTGCTTGAACTCGGGAGGTGGAGGTTGCAGTGAGCCAAGATCGAGCGACTGCACTCTAGCCTGGGCAACAAGAACGAAACTACGTCTCAACAACAACAACAAAAACAAAAAACAAAAAAAAAGAAAAGAATTTACAAAAAAAGCTACTAGAACTACATGTGAATTAATCAAAGTTGTAGACAGGTCAATATACAAAAATTAATTGTATTTCTATATACTAGCAACGAGAAACTGGAAAATAACATTAACAAAATGGTATCGTTTACAATAGAATAAAAAAAAAATCCAGGAATAAATCTAACAAAAGATGAGCAAGATGTCTACACTGAAAATAACAAAATATTGCTGAGAAAAAGAAATTTAAAAATAAAGTGGAAGACAGAAATAAATGCAAAGATATACTATGTTTGTGGATAGATGTTAAGATGTCCATTCTCCCCAAATTGATCTATAAATTCAACATAATCCCTATAAACATTCTAGCAGATTTTCTGAAGAAACCGAAAAGCTGATTCTAAAATTGATATGGAAATATACAAAAAATCTAAAATAGCAAAAACAATACTGAAAATTTAGAAATTTGAAGGATTTACAACTAGCTGATTCCAAGACTTATGATAAAACCACAGTAATCAAGACAGTGTGGCAGTAGCATAAGGACAATCAGACCAATGATACTGAATAGAGTCCAGAAACAGACATATACATGTTTGGGTCAACTGACTTTTGATGACGATGCCAGGTCAATTCAATGAGAAAAAGAAAGTGTTTTAAACAAACATTGATATAATAAATAGATATTTATATACAATAAAATAAACCTCAACCCCAGTTATTATATAGAATAAAATAAACCTCAACCCCATTTCATCCTATCAAAAAGTTGGTCTGAGACAGATGATAGACCTAAACATACCACCCAGAATCATAAAGCTTCTAGAAGAAAACATAAAATAATATCTTAGTGACCTTGGGGTAGACAAAGTAAAAATTAATAAAATTCAACTTCCTCAAAATTAAGCATTTCTGCTCACCAAGAGACACCATTAAGAAAATAAATAAACCACAGAATAGGAAAAAATATTTGCAGCATGTATATAAGGATATGTATGCAGAATATACAAAGAACTCCTATACAAATCAACAGCCAAACAATCCTCTAATACAGAAATGAGTAAAAGACTTGAACAGATACTTCACAGGAAGAAAATGAATAGTCAATCAACACATGAAAAGGTGATTAACAATATTAGTCAGTGAGGAAATGCAAACTAAACCCACAATGAAATACCACTCCACATCCAGTAGAATGGCTAGAAAAAATGGCCAATGCCAAATCCTGCCATGTGGAGGAACTGTAACTTTCATACATTGCTGGACAGTGTGTCAAATGGTGTTATCACTCTGGAAAACTTAAGACAGTTTCTTACTAAGTCTAAGAAACATCTCTACTATGACAACCCACTTTTAGTTGTTTACCCAAAAGAAATGAAAAGATAGATCCACACAAAGGCCTATAAAAGAATGTTTACAGCAGCCTTATCCATCATAGCCAAAAAAATGGGAACACCTAAATGTCCACCAACAGGATGGATAAGCCAGTGGGGTTACTTTCATGCAATGCAATACCATTCAGCAATGAAGAAGAACATAGCAAGGGTAAGTCTCAAAAATAAATGTGTTAAGCAAAGGAAAAGCCAGTTAAAAACCTAAAAGAGAAACCTATTTAAAGATAAACTGAGGATCTGCTCCATGTTTGACACTAGGTATACACATATGATTATTAAATTTAGCATCTATGACTTAATATTTTACCTCAAATATTAGTTTTGGGATGTAGGAATTGAGCAACCTGACACATTAGCAAATTTTCAAACTAGCTTGACAAGATACTCATCTGCCAGAATTTTCAGATTTTTTTTTCCAGTTACTAAATGACAAATAGCAAAATTTCTTAGCCTGTTTTCCCACCTATAAAATGGGGCTCTGGGCCGGGCGCGGTGGCTCACGCCTGTAATCCCAGCACTTTGCGAGGCCGAGGCGGGCGGATCACGAGGTCAGGAGATCGAGACCATCCTGGCTAACACGGTGAAACCCCGTCTCTACTAAAAAAATACAAAAAATTAGCCGGGCGTGGTAGCGGGCGCCTGTAGTCCCAGCTACTCGGGAGGCTGAGGCAGGAGAATGGCGTGAACCCGGGAGGCGGAGCTTGCAGTGAGCCGAGATCGCGCCACTGCACTCCAGCCTGGGCGACAGAGCGAGACTCCGTCTCACAAAAAAAAAAAAAAAAAAAAAAAAAAAAAAAAAAAAAAAAAATGGGGCTCTGACTATCTTTCTTGTTAGAGTTACTGCTTTATATGTAAGTGCTAACTCAGCACAGTCTACATCACATAGTAAGAGCTCAAAAAATTAGCTATTACTACAACGATTACACTACTGCTGCTGCTGCTATTATTACTGTGAAATAACAAAAGGCAGAATGGTTAATAAGACAATTTTTTTTGTGAAGTCTTAAAGCAATATACATTTTTTTCCTCTGACAAGATGCAGACCGATGGAGGAACAGAAGAAAACTGCTGAACCAACCCATAAATAATGCAAATAATTCAGAGAAAAGAGTATACTTGTACAATCTGTACAAGGGACTTAGCAGGGTCTTCAGTGCTGGCCCAACTAGCTGCTGATCTTCTGAATGTCACTGTGAAGGGGGAAGGACTGAAGGAGCCTTGACAGAGTAGCAGGGCAGTGGCCTAGGGTGGTGGCCAAAGGCTACTCGAGTGGTAGGGGGCTTTCTCCTTGGCCACACTGCACACCAGACTGACCTGATGCCCTCCCACGCTGTCTTGGCTGTCAGGTTACTCCAGCAATTCTGTAAATCCCATGGCAGTCTGGAGATGAGACTCCTTAAACCACTGGTTTACTGACTGCCTTGAAAAAGACACATTTACAATGGGATTTGGAGCCAACAAAGGGCTTAAATTCTAGAATGCCACTTATTTTTAGTGTGGCCTTGGATGGGTTTTATTTTATGCTTTTTTTTTTTGACAGAGTCTCACTCCATCACCCAGGTTGGAGTGCAGTGGCACGATCTCAACTCACCACAACCTCTACCTTCCAGGCTCAAACGATTCTTGTGCCTCAGCCTCCCGAGTAGCTGGAATTACAGGAGTGCACCACTACACCCAGCTAATTTTTGTATTTTTAGTGGAGGTGGGGTTTTGCCATGTTGACCAGGCTGGTCTCAAACTCCTGATCTCAAGTGATCCACCTGCCTCGGCCTCCCAAAGTGCTGGGATTACAGGCATGAGCCACCGCGCCCAGCCAATTTTATCCTCTTTGTCTAAGTTTTCTTCATCTGCAACATGGAGAAAATACTATCTTTCTCAAAGAGTTCTTTCAAAGATTAAATGAGATCACCCATGAGAAAGTGCCTGGCATGAAGCCTGGCACACAGTAGGTGCTCCCCTGGTTTACCACCTAACCTCTAGGCCTTGGTTTTCTTAACTGTAAAATGGCTTTCAGTATCTTTCATTCCAACCCAACACCACAGGGTTCATTCTGGCTTTATCCCTTTCATTTTTCTGAGTGAGAAACCTGGCTTCCAATATCCTTCCAACAATATCTACTACTAGAGTTGTTGCAAACACTAAAAAAGCAGTAGACCAAAAAAAAAGTTATGAAAAATATTATTACATTACTTCCATTTCTCCCTTGGACCCCATTCTTTTTTTTTTTTTTTTTTTTTTGAGATAAGGTCTCACTCTGTTGTCCAGGCTAGAGTGTAGTGTTGTGATCATAGCTCACTGCAGCCTTGAACTCCTGGGCTTAAGCGATCCTCCCACCTCTGCCTCCTGAGAAGCTGGGACTACAGGTGCATGTCACCACACCCAGCTAATTTTTAAATTTTTTGTAGAGATGGGATCTCACTATATTGCCCGGGTTGGTCTTAAACTCCTGGCCTCAAGCAATCCTCCCTCCCACCTCGGCCTCCCAAAGTGCTGGGATTATAGGTGTGAGCCACTGTGCACGGCACCCCCCCACCCCACTCTATTTTGACCAGTTATCTCAGTAATATCCTTTATAACAACAGCATCACACACTGCTCCTAACTAGTACTTCTCTTCAGTCTCCTTGTTTGGAACAGCTCTTCAGTCTCTCCTTGAGTTTCACGGCCTCAACACACAATAATGTGTCACTTATTCTGTAAGAGATCTCTGAATTTGAGTTTGATGTTTCCTCGCGGTTGGATTCAAGTCATGCTTCTTTGGCAGAAATCACAAAAGTGATGCTTTCTTCTTGCTGCATCCTATTAGGTTGTGTGTGATTTCCCTTTGCCCACTTGATGAAGGTGGTGACTGCTAGGCTTCCCCACTGTCAAGTTATTCTCTTCCCCTTTGTAATTAGTAAGTACCAGGGGGAGCAGTGCTTTGACACTATGTATCAATTTCAATCTTTCAATTTATTCATTTATTTATTCCTATTTAGATGGATTCATAATGTCCTATCTCATTGAATGTGTTATAATGTGCTACTGCCATTTATTTTTATGCTTAAGTTATCTCTAATTTGGCCAGTAGACACCGCTTCAAATTGATGGCTGTGTCCTTTAGACACGTCCTAACATTCTGAGCCCTTCCTTGTTCCAGGTTTATATGTTCCCTGCTCCAGTTTAAGAATCAGCCATTTCCCTAAGAGGCCTGGCTCCCTGAAGGTGAAGTTGGTATTTAGAAGACAAGATCTGAGTGCTAACTACGCTTATTGCTATTACAGTGTCACTGTTTCCAGGCCTCCTCAGTGGCCAGAGCAAGAAAATATATGCATGCATTTTCATACACGCGTATAAATGTGTACATACGTACACATTTACAACCATAGTTACTTCTGTATTGATCTTTGGAAATTGAAAACCGTGAATTCGTGCCAATCTTTCATTTCCACCCAAGACCACAGACAGGGCTTTTCCCCTTTCACTTCTCCTATAGTGAGAAACCTAGCTTTCAATATCCTCCTTTATTTATTTAGAGACAGTGTCTCGCTCTGTTGCTCAGGCTGGAGTGCAGTGGCTCAATATCAGCTCACTGCAACCTGCACCTCCCGAGTCAAGTGATTCTGGTGCCTCAGCCTCCCACATGGCTAGGACTATAGGTCATGCTAATTTTTGTTTTAGTAGAGACGGGGTTTTGCCATATTGCCCAGGCTGGTCCCGAACTCCCGGCCTCAAGCAATCCACCCACCTTGGCCTCCTAAAGTGCTAGGATTACAGGCGTGAGCCACTACATCCAGCCTCCTTCTGTATTTATTATTTGATCTATTCTCCTAAATGTAACCACCCGCCTCTACCACCCCTCTCCATCCCTCTCCAGCACGGATCAGTCCCTCTCCTGGCTTAGGCTATGACTGCCCATGCTAAGCCACCCTCTCCTCCCTGCCCTGGAAAACTGCTGCTCCCCACGACTGCAGACGCCCACCTTACCCCTGCCTCACTGCATGGCTTCAGGACTGACTTCTTCAGGAAGTCAAAGGGCTTCACTGACTTTTAAAATAAAGGACTCCTTTAATGTCTGTCATCCTTTGTGTCCAGAGGATGCTAATGTACAAGTTTCCAATTTAAAAGGAATTAAAGACTACAGTGCAGCAGACTTAGACAAAGTTGAGTGCCTTTCTTTTCTTAAGTGATAAAAACAGATTCTAACTATATACAGAATGTCTACTAAAGTCCCCAGGGAAATTACAAATTAACTAGTTGAAGCCAATTTGGGGGAAAGAAAGCAATTTTTAAAAAGCCATCAGAAAGATCAGTTTATGCCCCATGATTTATTTAAACTGATTTCTCTGACTGAAGGCTGAACATTTCAGAAATGCAATCAACAGTTTCTACCTGGCCAGCATCTGCTTCCAGGTCCCTTGCTTGAAAACCCTCAGGATTTTATTTAAAATTTAAAGAGAACATAAAGAGACAGAAGAGAGACAGATTTTTTCAGTTTTGAAACAAGAAAATATGTGGGAAGTTTTTGCAAACCTTAAATACAGCCTGCTATAATTATTAGACAAAAGTAATTGTTTCAGATTTCAGCGTGGCTCTTATACAGCCGTACCTTGTTTCAGTATGCCTTGCTTTATTGCACTCTGCAGATATTGCATTTTTTGTTTGTTTTTACAAATGGAGGGTATGTGGCAACACTGCATGGAGTAAATCTATTGATGCCATGTTTCCAACAGCATGTTCTCACTTTGTGTCTCTGTCACATTTTGGTAATTCTCAAAATACTTCAAACTTTTTCATTATTATTATATTTCTGATCTGTGATCAGTAATCTCTGATGTGACTTTTGTAACTGTTTTGGAGTGCCACAAAGCACGTTCACATAAGACAGCGTACTTCATAAGTGTTGTGTGTGCTCTGACTGCTCCCCGGCCCAGTTGTTCCCATTTTCTCCTCTCTCTCCCTCTCCTCGGGCCGTCCTATTCCTAGAGACATAACACAGGCCAATGAATAACCCAGCAGCGGCCTCTAAGTGTTCAAGTGAAAGAAGAGTTGCGTATCACTCACTTGAAGTCAAAAGCTAGAAATTATGAATCTTAGTTAGAAGGCAGGTCAAAAGCTGAGACAGGCTAAAAGTTAGACCTCTTGTGCCGAAGAGTTAGCCAAGTTGTGAATGCAAAGGAAAAGTTACTAAAGGAAATTAAAGTGCTACTCCAGTGAATATCCAAATGATAAGAAAGCAAAACAGCCTTATTGCCGATGGGAGAAAGTGTGAGTGGTCTGGAGAGATCAAATCAGTCACAACATTCCCTTAAGCCAAAGCCTAATTCAGCGCAAGGCCCTAACTCTCTTCGATTCTGTGAAGGCTAAGAAAGGTGAGGAAGCTGCAAAAGAAAAGTTGGAAGGCAGCAGAGGTTGGTTCATGACATTTAAAAAAAGAAGTCGATTCCATAATGTAAAAGTACAAGGTGAATTAGCAAGTGCTGACACAGAAGCCGCAATAAGTTATCCAGAAGATCTAACTCAGATAATTGATCAAAGTGGCTATACTAAACAACAGATTTTCAATTTACATAAAACAGCCTTCTATTGGAATTGGAGGTAGATGCCATTTAGGACTTCCATAGCTACAGAGGAGAAGTCAATGGCTGACTTCAATGCTTCAAAGGATAGGGTGACTTTCTTGTTAAGGGCTAATGCAGCAGATGATTTTAAGCTGAAGCCGATGCTCATTTACCATTCCAAAAATCTTGGGCATGGTGGCACATGCCTGTAGTCCCAGCTACTCGAGAGGCTAAGGTGGGAGGACTGCTTGAGCCCAGGAGTTCAAGGCTGCAGTAAGCCATGACTGCCACTGCACTCCAGCCCGGGTGGCAGAGTGAGACCCCAACTCAAAACAAACCAAAAAACCTCACATTTCATAGGCTATAGCTGCTATAGATAGTGATTCCTCTGGCAGATCTGGGTAAAGTAAATTGAAAACCTTCTGAAAAGGTTTCACCATCTTAGACGCCATTAAGAACATTCGTGATTCATGGGAGGAGGTCAAAATATCAACTTTAACAGGAGTTTGGAAGAAGTGGATTCCAACCTTCCTGAATAACTTTGAGGGGTTCAAGACTTCAGTGGAGGAAGTCACTGGAGATGTGGTGGAAACAGCCAGAGAACTAAGATTGGAAGTGGAGACTGAAGATGCGGCTGAGCTGCTGCAATCTCACGATCACACTTGAATGGATAGAAGCTGCTTATTATGGATGAACCAAGAAAGCGGTTTCTTGAGATGGAATCTGCTCTTGGTGAAGAGACTGTGAACATTGTTGAAATAACAAGGAAGGGCTTAGAATATTGCATAAACTTGGTTGACAAAGCAGCAACAGGGTTTGAGAGGACTGACTCAAATTTTGAAAGAAGTTCTGCTATGGGTAAAATGCTATCAAACAGCACTGCACACAATAGAGAAACCTTTTGTGAAAGGAAGACTCAGTTGATGCAGCAAACTTCATTGTTGTCTTATTTTAAAAACTGCCACAACCACCCCAACCTTCAGCAACCCCCACCCTCAATCAGTCAGTAGCCATCAACACTGAGGCAAGGCCCTCTACCAACAAAAAGATTACAACTCACCTAAGGCTCAGACAAACATTAGCACTTTCAGCAATAAAGTATGTTCTGATTAAGGTATGCACATGATTTTTTTTAGACATAATGTTATTGCACACTTTATAGTATAAACATAGCTTTTATATGCACTGGGAAACCAAAATGTCTTTGTGACTTGCTTTATTGTGATATTCACTTTGTTGCTGTCTGGAACCACACCTGTGATATCTCCGAGGTACGCCTGTCCTTCTTTTATGCCTCCAGCAAAGGCTCTGGGTAGAAAGAAGATATTTTTGATATATAATATCATAGTACTATAATTTTAAAACTAGCTTTCAGACAAATGTGTCCACTCAGGCACAGGTACCGTGGACCCCCAAAGCAGGAGATGCTTCACACTACCTCAATGAAGCCACCTTCACCACTACTCACTCACTGAACAGATATTTACTGGGCATACACTACATACTAGGTGACTTTCTAACCCAGTGCTACTCCAAGTGTGGTCCATGGAACAGAACCAGACCATGGACTGTTTGTTACTGGTCTGCTACAAGATAAGTACAAAAATGAAGAGTAAGCATCTAGAAACATAGCATAAATGACACTGCCATTTAATCAGTGGTCTCATTTCGCTGGACAGAGTATAGACAAGCTCAGGAGTTGTCACACTACTGTGGTGAGTTACTGTGGCTGTTGTCCAGGCACATGCCATGCTGTCTAGCCTTTGTAAGACATGGAAGCAAGGGAGTGATAAAATCACATGTACGTTTTAGGCAGATGCCTTCTGCCTAAAGATGAGGAAAGGACAAGAAGGAGGGTGCTGAACTACATTGTGAAGGGTCACATCATTATTTCCCTCAAGGTCTTTTGTGCAAAGTAATTGGCACAGGGCAGCTAACTATGTGGCAGGAGACAAGGCTATACTTCGCTGTCTAAATGAGAACAATTCCCATCTGACTGATATTAATTTGTATTTTAGTCAAGGCCTCTGCTGAGAAACAAGAACTAAGGTAGCAGCAAAAATCTCTTCTTACTTTACTTGGGTACCTGTGAAGTCCACTTGGGATAGTGAAGGAGAAATCCGCATTCCTCTCCCTGGTGAGTGTGAGACCCAGTGACCACCACACCATCTTGATGACAAATCACGCATCATCAGAGGCCTACCTCCTTCTCCGTAATGTCTTGGAGCTAACTGGTCTCATCGTGTCCCAGATCTTCAGTTCAAACTCTTCCCCAAGTCTGGACTGCTTTCTATCTCTCTAATTCACACACCCAGATATTTTTCTTTTGACAGCCAACACAAACCCCATTGCTTGAGAAATCTGCTCCAATTACCCTGAGATTCAAATCTTGATTCAGCTGTGATGCTGGACAGCTAACCCAAATTTGCTGAGCCCCAATATCCTAATTTAGAAAATGAAATACTAATATTTAAAGA
This sequence comes from Homo sapiens, assembly GCF_000001405.40. Taxonomy (NCBI): domain Eukaryota; kingdom Metazoa; phylum Chordata; class Mammalia; order Primates; family Hominidae; genus Homo; species Homo sapiens. Next base: position 4,454,843 of record NC_000004.12, read on the forward strand.
TATGGTGGCTTTTTGAGGATTAATGAAATAAAATAATATACTGCCTGGCACATGGTAAATGCTTAGTGGTAGATAATAGTACAAATTAACATTTATTAACTCACTGTAAGTGTTTTATCTGTATCTTCATTTTGTTCTCACAACAGCACTACAAGTTAGGTACTATGAGTTTTCCCATTTTATAGGTAAGGAAACAAAAGCCCAGAAAAGTTAAGCAACCTGCTCAAAGTCACACAGTTTGAAAGTGGCAGAGCCAGGATTCAAACACAGGCTGTCTGGTTGCAGAGTCTGGCTCTTAGGCATTATACTATGCCACTTGATCGTACCATTTCCCCCTCTGAGCTTACTACCGATTTCACTAATTATGACATATCCTGATTAAGCTGACTAATTTTTCATGTTTAATAGCAACCCAGCCTGCTTCTAAGCTCTCTAAGCACAAAGACTTAATCTATGGCTTCTCTCAAGCTACCCTCTCAGTGCATTATATAATAGTAGCTGTTGCTGACAGATAACTTGACTGATCTGCTTACTATCTTCCACAAATGCTTCTATTTGTTGGCATTAACAATTTCACATCTGTTTCACAAATGTGCAGAAAAGGGTTCATGTAGTAGGCCTGAGGCTGCTATCCTTAGAAAGGCCTGCTTGCAAGGTTAACCCTTGCCTGGCATCTGAGAAGTTGGACTTTGGCAGAGTTCATGCCATCCTAATTGATAAAAACAGCTCGCCGTGCCTGAACTGTTTTGCAAAACATGCGGTTTGAATGCAGTTCAGTGCTGAGCACCTGCTTTCCTCCTGGGAGTCTAGAGTTTCGGTAGATGCCAGGTGTGAGGTGCCTATGTGACCAGCCCCTAACAGAATCCTTGGGCAATGAGTTACTAATGAGCTTCCCTGGTAGACAACACTTCACGTGTTGTCATAGGTCACATGCTGTGTGACTCCACTGGGAGAGTACTCTTAGAAGCTCATGCCTGGTTTCCTCTGGACTTTTGTCCCACATGCCTTTTCCTTTGCTGTTTTGCTTCGTATCCTTTCAGTGTGACAAATCATAGCCAGGAGCAGGACTGTATGTTGAGTCCCATGAGACCTCTTAGTGAATCCTAGAACCAGAGAGTAGTGCTGGGGACCCCTGACACAGTAAGAATTTAAAAAATGTGGGCCAGACATGGTGGCTCACGCCTGTAGTCCAGCACTTTGGGAGGCAGGGGGATTGCCTGAGCCCAGGAGTTTGACAGCAGCCTGGGCAACATAGTGACATCCCACCCTTATAAAATAAAATTAAAAAATAGGCAGACATGGTAGCACATGCCTGTAATCCCAGCTACTCGGAAGGCTAAAGTGGGAGGATTGTTTGAGCCCAGGAGGTCGTGCCACTGCACTCCATCCTGGGAGACAGGGTGAGACCCTGTCTCAAAAACAAAAAAAACAAAAAAAAACAAAAAAGAAAATGTGTCCCCAAACAGTTATGTGATGTTATCTTCTGAAAGAACATCCTAAAACCTTTCTAAAGCTAGTCTAGAAATGGTCCAGGTTTGGATACTTGCTCACTGATGTATTCCATCTCCAAGACTGGCTGAGTTGCAGCGGGAACGACTGTGAGGACACAGCTCTTGCATTCCAGATGCTCATGTGAGCCCAGAGGGGAAACCAGGCAGGCGCCATGGAAAATACAGGAGCCTGGCCCTCCTGCTTCCTGTGGCCTTGGATGAGTCATTTACCCTGCTGGAGCGTCAGCGTCCTTACCTGCTGACAGGGCTCCTAATAGTGCCTGCATGGGACAGGTAGTGGGGTTGGAGGGAGGTGTGCACTCAGAGCATGTGGCATCGAGCAAGTCTGTCACAGGTGACCTGAGGACAGCCTTGTGGTGGCCTGCTTGTTGTGCCCTCGCTCTTCTCTCAGGAATACACTTTCAGGGACGACAAGAAGGGGTATGGGGGTCAAAGAGATTGAGGTAAAATGGCTCAAGATGTGCCAGCCTCATCGGGTTAAGAGACAAAATGGGCAAGAGCACAGATTTTGGACCAACAGCCTAGGCTCAAACCCCAGCTATGCTACCTGTGGGACTGTGGGATCTAGGGTGAGTGGCCAAGCCTCCTGAGCCTCAACTTCCTCATTTGTAAAATGAGGGAGGAAACAGTACCTGCCTCATGGGGGTTTGTTGTGGGCCAATAAAGTGGCTGGCATGCTGCCTGGCACACAGTGAGTGCCCGGTAGCGCCAGCTATGGCATTTTGCGAAGAAGTTCAAACACGGTACATTGCATAGGGTAAGTGCTCTACAAACTTTAACTGCTATTATTAGTAGTACTATTATTAATTAAGAAACACCAATGAAAGCAATACTTACAATCTTTTCTTATCCACCACTCTTTTAACTCGGATGGCTCTCTGTTCTGAGTAAAGTTTACATACTCCTGTTGCAGAAGAAAATACCAGAAGAGAGACTGCTTAAAACAGCTTCTCAGGCAAAGCCATCATTAAATATAATGAGATACTACAGTCTTCAGCTAGCAAAGCTAAATTCTGCATCACATCTATTGTGAAATGTTACATTTGACCTTTAAAAGAAAATGAAATACTTTTCAAGTAATCTTCAATGAAATCCAAAACAGCGGTCCTGTGCTCCTTCACTTGCTGGGAATGTATCTCCTTGTGAGCTGTAACAGAAAAAGACAATGTTCAGGCCTTCGCACTCAATTATCCTAAAGAGCAATTCATCAGCTTCCTCACAACACTTTCTTTATTGAGAGTATTTTTTAAAACACAGCTATAAAACAAGTCTTGTGCCAAGTGACACTACATTTTTAAAACAGTAAGATGTATCAGGCTTCGCAAGAGTGAAAGATTAAACCTGTAGAAAATCTATAGTCAAATAATTTATGGTTTATCAGAACACTTAAGGATAGTATTTGACGCAGCCACTTCTTGAGTGCTGACCCCATCTGTGTTAACAGCATCCAATGCTCAAGCTGACCTTCAGCGAACATGTTTAAACAACTGAAATCACACACTCCTCCCTGCTTGAACCTGTGCTGCTTTTCAGCCTGTAGTGCCCCATCCTCTCCCCTTGGCCACTCACATTCTAAGGGTCCCTTAGACAATGAGTCAAACTTTCTGTCTCCAGGAAACCTATGACTCCTAGCCACAAAGATGCCTTTCTCCTGGGAACTACCACACAGAAGTGTGCTAAAAGGCCTTACCAGACCTAAAGTCTGTGCCACTGGTTTTGGTAAGATAGTGACCACTGACTGAGAGACTGAGTGCCTACTGCGTGCAGGTACTCTGCTAGCACTTTACATATGTACTGCTAGTAATTACAATAGCAATTCCGAGTTTCCTGATTTTTACACGTGAAGAAACTAAGGTTCAGAGGCAATAAATAGCCCAAGGTTAGATGGTTTCATATGTAAATGTAGGTTTTGTTAAATATTCCTGTGCATTTTTTAGGTCTCTCAATGAATGTATATGCCCTTAAGGGTAGAGGGCATGATTTCTGCCTTACTATAGGGCTGCTTAACCCAAGATTTGTGTGGGGGACTCAGGAGCTCTGTGAAATTGCATATAGAATTTTGTGTATGTACATTTTTCTGGCAAGAATGCCTATTGCTTCCATCAGAGTCTCCAAGTGGTCCGTCAGCATTCTAATAAAAACCTCCCCAACAAAAGTCTGTGTTGTGAGCACAACAGCATCTGGCAGCTTTGAACTCTACTTACTATTTAATGTACTCTGTAAATGCCTAAGCAAATTAAAAAAGAATCAAGAAAGAGGCGTGACTTGGGAAGCCATCTCATTGTCTCAGTGAGAATTAAACATCAACGAAAGTGAGATAATAAGCGCTCTTGTGCCAGACACAGTTCTAAGCATGCTGTAGGAATTTAACTTAATGCTCATAACAACCCTAGAGATACATTCCCTAATTGTCTGCATTTCATAGACAAAAAAACAAGGCCCAGGGAGATTAAGTGATTTGCAGAGGGCTATATGGCTCGGACGGGTGGAGTTGGGGTGCAACCTAAGCAGCCCTGGCTCCAGAGCCTTCCTCCTAACCTTGAAGGTTTGATAGGAAAGTTTACTTGAATATTACAAGTAGAGCTTAAGTACCCCAGGCTGCTGTCAACTCCCATCCCACTAAATGCCACACAGAACAGAGGCACACATGTGCATACACACATACACACCCACACACATACAATTTGCCACACAGAACACACACACACGCACACACACACACACACACACACACACAAATTTGTCTTCACTGCCCCTGGCCCCTAGATATATTTTTGGTTCTGTTTGGAGAGGTCCTTTCCATCTCCCTCCTCTCATTGGTTTAACTTGAATGATACAGCCTTTGCAGTACTTTTAACAGCTTTGGTTAAAACATTGATCAAGAAAGAAAAGATTTTAACGTTTTAAAACCTAAATCGAAATAAGAAGAGGGAATTTTAACTGGCCGCACCATATGCATCTTGTTTAACTACTTGCTATATTCATGGTTGCTTGTTTGCATCTTTCAGAGCACTTTACCTTCTGTTCGTAGTTGCTGAATTGCTTCTGAACAGGTCCTCATGAATATCTGGGCATCCTGGTCTATCTGGTCTCGTTCTGTGTCTGTCATCCTCCCATATTCAGACATGGTATGGCTAAAAAAAGACAGCAAAGGAAAGGGCAGCAGCAAATGAGAACATAATATAGTCTGAGTGGGATGGGAAGAGAAGAAAAGGCCTCCCTGATCAGGTGACATTTAAGCTGAGACTTGAAGGGTGAGGAGGAACAGGCCAGGTGAAAAGGTGAGAGAACCATCTAGATAGATAGTAGAACACATATGAAGGGTGTGTGGTAGAAAATCCTCCGGAATAGACCCAACTGACGTAAGCCAGATGGGGAGAGGGAGAGGGAGAAGGAGCGTGGAGTCAGGGCTACAGCATAAGCCAGGCTTATAAAGAATGTAGGCTCTGCTTTTGAGAACAATGGCGCAGCTACTGAAGGGTCTCACACTACAAAATGACTGAATCAGAGGGTGGAGGGTGTTCCCTAAACATTCCAGGCACACTCCCACCTCAGGACCTTTACATGTGTTGGTTGTCTCCTCCTTCTGGAATGTTCTTTCCCCAGATAGCTGCATCAATGCATCCCTTACTTCTTTTAGGTGTTTACTCCATGTTGCCCTCTTAATGAGGCCTTCCCTAATCCTTCTTTATAAACTGTCCCCTCCCTGACATTTTCTATCCCACTTCCCTTCTTCCTTCCCCGTAAAGATACTTACCCCACTCTAACATTCCATATATTTTGTGTAATTATTTCTTTTCTTGCCTGTCTCTCCCCTCTAAAAACGTAAGTTCCACAAAGGCAAGGACTTCTGTTTGTTCACTGCTGTATCCCCATCATCAAGAGCAATGCCTAGCATTTTTAATAGGCTGATCAATTAATAAATCAGTAATAAATACTTTTGAATGAACTGAACCAATGAATGAGCCTGAGTTGGAGAATATGCTTGATACACAGCTACGACTGTGCTCCCTAGTAAGTTCCTCCTAAACCGATTTTTCCCCCCACCCCAAGACAGGTAGGCATCCCCCTCCCAAAGCCTTCTCTAGGAAACTTAAGGCACAAACAAACAGGGAATACATCCATCCTGAGGACAGGCCCTTCTAAAAAAGAAAGGGGTAAGATGAGCACGAAGTCCTTCTCACTCCCAATCACCAGATAAGCATCCTCTCCTCCCTTGGAGTCACCCCTATCCCACGGCCCCTACCCCACTTCCATATTTTCTAAGGAAGAGTTGGAAAAAGAAATCCCACAGCCTCCAGCCTCCTAGGGAATAGATGATCCTCTCTCAGTGGAACTTGAAGAGTGACATGGAATTAGTTCCTTATTCCAATGCTCCTTAGGATCTTGTTCTATTAGTTACTTAGGCTTGGGATGGCAACCATGAGAGAATGGACTCTGTCCGAGGGAAGACCCAACAGTGAGACAAAGGCGCTAAGCCAGCAAGCTCGATCCCCTCTCCCCAACCCCAGCCCACCTCCAACACCAGATGAATGGCTCCCCTCTGGGGAGGAGCCAGAGTGGCAAGCAGAGGGGCCAAAGCCTTAGGTTCATCCCTACTAGGAACCTTCTCATCGGAAATAGAGGCTAACGGGGTCAGGGACAAATGAGTCAGAAAGGTACCAACTCAGTGAATATGTACCCTGCAGACAGAACAGACCTAGAAATGACTAGTTCCAAGAACATTCGATTAACATCCTCCTACTCTATATTTTGATTTAATGGAAACTCAGCTCAGTGAAATTGAAAAGGTCTAAAGGTTAATTTGATAAAACTGATTATTTAATTAAAAGGTAATGTTCCTTTAGGAAACATTATATATATACATTAACCTTCTAAATTGAAAATTGACAGTATGGTTATTCTATTAGTAAGAACAACAGAAACCAAGGAAGTTTTTTCTCCCAGATTGTTTTGTTGCCAGGATATTGTGGAAAAAGTCCATCTACCAGAAGTGGAGACATTATTTTTAATTAAAATCATTCAGAGATCTAGCCACAGGCTATCTAGGTTACATGCTGTTCTGCTCTAGTAAAATGTCATTATTAAAAAAAAATTAAATGGGTCAATAAAGTCTGAGCTCTACATTCTGGAAAAAATTACAGCTTCCTAATTATGTCAAACTAACAAAGCCTCATAGGTCTGAAGGCAGTATTTCTACACATATTCTTTCAATTCCATGATCATACTCCACATAAAATGTTCCTAGGAGCAGGCCAAGGCTAGCACATTGCACTGGGAGGGCAGAAGAGTAAAAAAGAAAGGCTTTAAGCAGTCTACCACCTTTGGGAGGGAGAACTTGATGAGAGACAATAAGGGTGGTCTTTCTCCACCTGGACAGAACCTGGGCTACCGGGGGGAATGCTTATTCCCTAATCCTCATGTTTCTGTGGGAACCAACTTCCCCAAATGACACCTTGCCTCCTCCCAGAGCCTCCTCCCTCTGGCCCCCTCGCAGAAAGCATGGGGTGTGCATATAGTCACCACACCTTTCTCTCCTCTCTTTTACCTACTTAGAGACAGCAGAGGTTCCGCTCTGTTCCTCTCTCTCCTATGTTGCAAAGGGGCCTGTCCCTGCTGTCTGTGCTCCAGGGGCTGCGGCTGCGCAGTGGCACTAATGCCTGAGTGTGTCTAATTCAAGAGCAGAGTATCAACAAGGCCACCCGCCTGCAAACCAAAGCTTTGTTTGCTGACCTAGATTTTACCAATGATAAAGCTGATATGACACGTGGGTCTCCACTGTGTTGATCTGACTCCTGCCTCCATTTCTTTCTTTCTCCCTCCTCCCAGCTCTCTGGCAGGAAACAGAGGTGGGTTTTGTCTTGTTCAATAACCAACACCCTCCAACCCCCTGCAACTGCAGCATAGGTCAAATGGGGTTCCAATTCAATTATCATTCACCAGGAGACTTCTATGTGTCAGGAACTCTCATACCCACCTAATTTAATCCTCACGAGAACATCATCCACATTTTATAAAAAAGAAAACTAGCACAAAGGCAAGTTATATTCATTCACATGATAAATACATGGCAGGATTGGGACTGGAACTTAGGTGTGACTGACCCCAAAGCCCATGCTCTTTCACAGGGACCAAAACAGGGGGTGGAGTAGAATTCAGTGTGCATGAGTTGGCAATGAACAACTGGCCTCGGGAAAATGAGTAAAAGATAAAAGACTGAGTTTCTAGCTGGGTATCATGTCATATGCCTATAGTCCCAACTACTCAGGAGGCTGAGGCAGGAGGATCACTTGAGCTCAGGATTTTGAAGCTAACCTGGACAACATAGCAAAACCACCTTAAAAAAAAAAAAAAGACTGAGTTTCTAGAATGAGGCGATGTACCTAACAAAATGAAGAATGCCTCGGGGACAACAGTTCTATCTTCTGAAGTTATCTGCCCTTAAGTGGCAGAGCTGGCACTGGCCCCTAGGGAACCCAATCCTCAGTCCTAGCATTTGCTGCCCTTGTAGCTGGGAAAGGGGAAGGCTTAGGCCCTTCTTTACTGTACTAAGATGAGAATCCATGCTGCAGTAGTCTGGGAACACTGAAAAACAGTGTGCAGGAGCCTCCTTTTGCTGTTTGAGTATAATAACTGCCTTAACATCACTATTACATCGAAAGCTTAAAACAACTGCAAAGTTGCAGAAGAACACCCGGATGCCACTGTGTTGTTCTTTTCACATTGCATTTGAATCATACTGTCTGCTTTGAACCTCTCAACTGCTTCCTGAGTGAGTATCCCTCCCACTGTTGGCTTTGCAAATTTTTTCTGAAAAGGGCCAGAGAGTAAACATGTTAGACTTTGTGGGCCTTGTAGCCCATCACAGCTACTCAACTCTGCTGTTGTAGCATAAAAACAGCCCTAGACAATATGTAAACAAATGAACGTGGCTGTGTGCCAATAAAACTTTATTATGGGCACTGAAACTTGAATTTCACATAATGTTCACATGTGATAAAATATCCTTATTACTTTTTCCCCAACATTAAAATATGTAACTACATTTAAAAGTATATTTAAAATGTAGATTTGGCCTGTGGCTGTTATTTGCTGACCTGTAGCATTAGAGGAAGACACTGAGTTTCACAGATTCACATGGTTCGTAAGGAGTGGTGTGAATCAAACCAACACTCTAAGCATTTACTTTGCTGGATTTCTTTTCAAGGAAAAGGGAAGTTAATAAGTGATTTGTATGAAAGATATTTACAACCACCTCGTCAACCTAACTTGTCAGATACTAAAGAAAGAAGCTACAAATTGAGAGCTTTATACAAGTTTTGTAAAGTTTTACAAAATCACTGTAGCTTCCATTTTTTACAGCCTATCAAATCAGTATTTGATACACATACACACCTTTAGAAATAAAATTGACACTGCGATCTAGTGTTAACCAACTATTTTTAACTCAGAGCTTAAAAATAAGGTTTTCTTGGTACTATGCATCGGAATAATTATTTTAGTATATTCCAAAATAATGCAAATGAAGTGCATTTAAAAGCATAAAATTGCCTATGGATGTTAAGTGCAAGTAGACAAAGCATCAAGGATTATTTAAAATTCAACTAGGGTATAATTATTTTTCTCTATTGGAGAATTTATAAGAAGTATTTCCATTTTTGCATATATTGACAAAGTTAAAAAAAAGCAGGATTTATTTTATATTCTCTATCTTTGTGACAGGAATGCTTCTGAAAGGCAACCACCCCTCGTTTTATAAAGATGAAATCCTAAAAAGATGCTCCTAATGATGTTATCTTATCTGTCAAATCCAACTTTTTCATTAATTTACATAATACATTTGAAGATGAGTCCTACGGTAAAATGCCATCCTAAAGCCAGTGCAAATGGAGCTAGGGGAAGAGACGAGACAAGACACCTGTACTCCCACTGTCTATGGAGAGCTGGAGTCTATTCCAGAAAGCGTTTTAGAAGTGTTGCTTATAATGTTTTTTTCTCTTTTTCTTTCCAAATGGCATTTTCGATGACTTGCATCATTCCTTCATCTGCTCGATAAATATTTAGTGTGTGAGAAACTATCTTTTTCATCTCTGCATGTTTCACTACAGGACAGACGCTGTCTGCAGGGTGTATGCACGTGCCAACCCCTTTGCATTTGGATTCCCTTCCCTCCTTCTTGCTTTACCTAGGTAACTCGTACTCCTTCAGAGCTCAGCTCAAATGTCACTTCTTTAAGGACACTTTCTCTGACAAGGCTAAATTCCTCAAAAGCTACCTGTTTGCAGTAGTTTCAAAGAACTTCTTGATTTCTGCCTTAATTTCATTATTTACCCAAGAGTCATTCAGGAACAGGTTGTTTGATTTCCATGCAGTTGTATACCTGTGGGGTCAGTGGTGACATCCCTCTTAACATTTCTAACTGTGTTTATTTAAATCTTCTCTCTTTTCTTCTTTATTAGTCTAGCTAACAGTCTATCTCATTAATTTTTTGCAAAAACCTGGATTTTTCCAAAAAAGTGGCTCCTGGATTCATTGATTTTTTCGAAGCGTTTTTTTTTTTGTGTGTGTCTCTATCTCCTTTAGTTCAGCTCTGATCTTGGTTATTTCTTGTCTTCTGCTAGCTTTGGGGTTTGTTTGCTCTTGGCTCTTGTTCTTTTAGTTTTGATGTTAGGTGTTAACTCGAGATCTTTTTAGCTTTTTGATGTGGGCATTTAGTGCTATAAATTTCCCTTTTAACACTGTGTTAGCTGCATCCCAGAGATTCTGGTAAGTTTTATCTTTGTTCTGTTGGTGGGAGCATAAATTAGTTCAACCACTGTGGAAGACAGTGTGGCGATTCCTCAAAGACCTAGAGGCAAAAATACCATTTGACCCAGCAATCCCATTACTGGGTATCTACCCAAAGGGATACAAATCATTCTATTATAAAGACACATGGACAAGTACTTGTATGTTCATCACTGCATTATTCACAATAGCAAAGACATGGAATCAACCTAAATGCCCATCAATGAATGATAGACTGGATCAAGAAAATGTGGAACATATACATCATGGAATACTATGCAGCCATAAAAAGGAATGAGATGATGTCCTTTGCAGGGACATGGATGGAGCTGGAATCCATTATCCTCAGCAAACTAACGTAAGAACAGAAAACCAAATACCACATGTTCTCACTTATAAATGGGAGCTGAATTATGGGAACGCATGGACATGAGGCGGTGGGGAACAATACAAACTGGGGCCTGTTGGAGGATCAGGGGTGGGAGAAGGGAGAGCATCAGGAAGAATAGCTAATGGATGCTGGGTTTAATACCTGGGTGATGGGATGATCTGTGCAGCAAACCACCATGGCACACATTTACCTATGTAACAAACCTGCACATCCTACACATGTACCCAGGAACTTAAAAGTTGGAAAAATAAAAAGCTATCTGTACTGTTTTTGCAGTACCTATCATATCTGCAATGTTACCTGTTGACATGAATACCTTAGCAGCTCCATGAAGGCAGGGACAACCATGTTTGTGTTTGTTCACTATTTTATACTCCATGCCTGGCATAGTCTATGGCACATGGTAGGCACTCAATAAATAACTGCAGAATGAATAAGCTGATTAATGAATCAAATTGATCAAATCATGGCACTATAAACATGCAGAGATGAGTAGGACACAGTTTTTCACCTCAAGAAATGTGGTAGAAGTGATTACGAACAAATTACTCTTCTACCAGGCACATGTGAAAAGTACCATAAGAAAAGCACAGAAAAAGAGCTGTCAGTATTCAGAGGCAGGAGAGATGGCTTTCAGATAGGAAGGCAGGGCCAGGGCAGGCTCTACCGAGAAGGTGGTGGTGATAAATGGGTCTCTCAGGATGGAAGCATGTGAACATGTGACATGTGTGGATTGGAGTGAAGAGCAACAGGCCAACCTGATAGTGTGAGTAGAGGCCTGGAGGCAGAACAAATGTTAATTCTGAATGCAGCTGTAGGGCACATGAAGGAAAGGGGTAGGATGGAAAAGTGGGTGAGGGTAATGAAAAGTCTTGCTTATCTAAGAAGTATGGATGGGCCACATCCTGCAGGCAGAGAAGGGATTTGAAGAGGGAAGCACGTGATTCCATCTACGATGATAAGGACTACACCTGTGCCTTCCAGACAGACCAGGAGAGGAAGGGACAAAGAGCAGGGAGTTGAGAACAAAGAGATCAGGCAAGTGACAAAGGCTGCACTGAAGCACTCTAGAGCGGATGGGAGGAGCGGGCAGCATGCATGGGAATGGTGCTGCTCACAGGTGCTGGGCGAGCAGGACAGTGGCAATGGGGACTGGGAGAAGCCTGTGCCTATGACATGCATTTAGGAACAACTGTAATTGCCCAACAGGTTCATCTTGCCCACCGCCCAGATAGAGCTGATTTATCAAGACAGGGGAACTACAATAGAGAAAGAGTTAAATATACATAGAGCTGTCTAAAAGGGACACTGGGGTTTTATTATTACTCAAATCAGCCTCCCTGAAGATTTGGAGGCTCGATTTTTAAAAGCCAGTTTGGTGGGCAGGGGGCTAGGGAATGGGGAATGCTGACTGGTTGGATTAAGGATGAAATCCTAGGGAGTCGAAGCTGTCCTCTTGCACAGAGTCAGTTTCTGGGTGGGGGCCATAAGACCAGATGAGCCAGTGTCCTGGTCTGCATGGTGCCAGCTGATCCATCAAAATGTGGGGTCTGAAAATACCTCTAACATCAATCTTAGGTTTTATAGCAGTAATGTTATCTATAGGAGCAAATGGGGAGGTTAGCAGTCTTCTGGCCTCTGGCTACATGACTCCTGAGCCATAATTTCTAATCTCGTGGCTAATTTGTTGGTTTTACAAAGGTGGCCTTGTCCCCAAGCAAGAAGGGCGTTTGTTTCCAAGAGGGGCTGTTATCACATTTGTTTCAAAGTTAAACTATAAATTAACTTCCTCCCAAAGTTAGTTTGGCCTACGACTAGTAATGATCAAGGGCATCTGGGAGGTTAAAGGCAAGATGGAGTTGATTAGGTCAGATCTCGTTCGCTGTCATAACTTTCTCACTGTTACAACCTTTGCAAAGGTGGTTTCACTACTGGCATACTGGTGAGAGAGGAAGCCACAGTAGGTGGTAAGAATGTGTGGTGGGCAAGGGCAAGGATTCCATGGCCAGCCCTGGCTCAGAGCTCACCAGCTGTGATCTTCAGGTTATGCCATCGCTATGCTTTCATTGCCTGCCTGCCACACAGGCTTAACAGCAGTGCCTTCCTCATAGGGTTGATGTGAGGAACAAATGAGATAAAATATGAATAACTGGTGCTTATCAGAGTACCTAACACAGAATAAACATTCAGGATGGAAAGATAAGGTGGGCATGGGGGGTGGGTGGGAGGGTAGCTAGGGAGGTAGATAGAACTTTTTTTCTAAGCAAAGTAGAGACAAAGAAAAGAAAAGGGCCTGAAACAGAGCCCCGGAGTTCTTATGGGATAGATGAAGGACAAAGAGGCAAAAATGAGTGGTGAGAGGAGCCAAAAAAATACTGTAATGGAAGTCAAGGGAATAGGAAATTTCAAGAAACTGATGATGGTCAACAGGATCAAAGGCTGTGGCAAAGTAGAAGAGCTGAGAAAAAACCATCAAGGCGCTTAACATCATTCTCATTAGAGAAGGACACACTTCAAGTACAGTGACTTGCCATTTCACATTTGTCACTGGAATTAGACAGGCTAGCCTGAAAGTGCACTTTAAAACTTTTTATTCCTTTTTCTCTTTTCTCCCTAGTCTCAAGATGTAATCCTAAGGCTTACTGCAGAAACCCTTTTTTTTCCTCCTTAGTCTTAGAATACAGCCTTGAAACGTACTTTCTCTGAAACACCACGTCCCCTCCCTTTCTCACCATACATTCCCTTACACCATGCACATTTACCTAACTGTATGTATCTAATTATGTGCTTACCTGGAAGTTGCAGGGGCTAACTTGAAATAGACTGAGCACGGAGACCTAACTGCAAAATTCCAGAGATTACCTCAAGGCGGGTAGTCTACAACCCGGCCATTGCTGACATGTCGCCAGCCTGCGATGATAGCTATCAGAAAGAGACACACAGACCTAGTACGCAGCATCGCTCCTGCCTTCCCACTGCTTGCTCTGGAAATAAAGTCACCTTCCTTTCGTCCTTGTTATTGGCTTTGCAAGCGGTGAGCAGCCAAGCCTGGGCTCGGTTACATTATCATGGTTAAAACTGAAAAGCCTATTTACACCAAATGTTGGCAAGGATAGGGAGCAATTATAACTCGCATGCATTGCTACAAGGAGTGAAAAACCACTTTGGAAAATTGCTTGGTAGTTTATTTTAAGGCTGAGCATGCACCTACCATTTGTATGACCCACTAATTTCACCCCTAGGTATTTATTCAAAGGAAATAAATCAGTATGTCCACAAAGAGACTTGTAGAAGATGCTACTCACAAAGGCTTTATTCCTAATAGTCTCAAAGTGGAAACAGCCCCGTATTCTCTATTAGATAAATGGATAAGCAAACTATGGTAACGTCACACAATGGAATATTAAAAATAATAAAGCAACAGAAAGGAACAAACTACTGGTATACACAACATGCAAGAACCTCAAAAACATGTGGAGTAAAAGAAGGTAGACACACCAGAGTGTGTACCATACAAGTCTATTTATATTCCCCTTGAGGAAAAGCCACTGGATTTGGTGATTAGGAAGTCACAGATGAGCATTAGGAGAAAAATTTCAGAAAAGTGAGGGAAACCGAGCCATATGGTTGGCGCAGAGTAAAAGGTGAGGAAGCAGAGGTCACGTCACCTGCAGTCCGTAGGCCAAGTCTAGCCTGCAGGCATGGCTCCCTATGGTCTGAGAACTAAGAATGGTTAAAGGTTTTTAAAGGTTGTAAAAAAAACAAAACAAAAAATATGTGACAGAAACCATATGTGGCCCACAGAACCTAAACTATACTACCTGGCTCTTATAGAAAGTTGGCTGATCCCTGATTAGACTTTCTCCCCATGTTTGGCACTGACGTGAAATGAAGCGACAGGGCCTGTTGGCTTAAGGAGCAAGCAAGGTCAAATGTATAAACTAAAAGGAAGAAAAGAACCGGATGACCAAAAATAGCTGGGAATCATGAATACAGCAGTACCTGAGAAGCGGTGTGAGGGATGAGATAAAGGATATGCTTGTACCGCTGAATGTATAAACTAAAGGGAAGAAAAGAGCCAGATGATGAAAACTGGCCAGGAATCATGAGCACAGCGGTACCTGAGAGGCGGTGTGAGTGATGACATAAAGGATGCACTCGCACCACTTCTCAGGTACTGCTGCATTCATGATTCCCAGCTATTTTTGGTCGTCTGGCTTTTTTCTTCCCTTTAGTTTATACACAAGTAGGACAGTATCCTTAAAAACAAAGAGAGGGGTTTCTCTATGACAGGTGGAAAGAAGGTGATGAGGTGAGGAGGAAACTGAGAGACCCTATTAGAGGTTCCAAACTTTACCGAGGAGTAGGCTCTGATGCCACCTCGATGGGGCCTTCCTGACTACTCTGTGTAAGAATCACAAGCTTTCCCAGCACTCCCGATCCCTGTTACCTTGGTTCTACTCTTCCTTTTCTTTCCATAGGACCTATGACCTAATGTACTATACACGTAGTGCTTGTCTTTGCCAGCCCACGAGAATGCAAACGCCATGAGGGCAGGAATATTTGTATTTTACCCCCAGATGTGCCCTAAGCATCTAGAATTCAATAAACCTGTGACGAACCAGGAAGTTTAATCTGAAGTGAGGGGTCAGGCTGCAGCAGGGGATCTCAATGTCAGCACCTCCTCAGTTTTGGGCCGGGTAAGTCCCTGTTGTGGAGAGTTGTCCTGAGTTGTGCACATTCTTGGCCTCTACCCACTAAATGCGCAATACTCCTCTTCCTAGTTGGGAAAAACAAAAATGTCTCCAGACATTGCCAAATGTCCCCTGGGGTGCAAAATCACCACAGTTGAGTGCTGCTGGGCTAGTCATGGACTTTAGGACTAGGAGGAAATCATTCATTCAACAAGTATTTACTGAGTGCCAAATATGGGTGAGGAACTATGGAAACACGATGGAAACCTGACAAGGTCCTTGACCTCATGACATGTACAGCCTGGTGACAAAGACAGATAATAAACTGTAATTATTAAATAATTACAAATTGTGTTTTGTTACTGAAGAAAATATACAGGGTGGAGAAACTAACTAACAGAAGAGACCTACTTTATAAAGGGTAGTGAGAGAAGGCCTCTGGGAAGAGGGACTATTAAGTTGAGCCTTTAAGTTTGAAAAGGAAACCACCATGGGAAGAGGAGGAACAGCATAGGCCTGGGCCCTGCACCAGGAAAGGGCATGGCACCTTTAAGGAAGGCTGGCATGGCTGGAGCACCGTCGTGGGAAGGCGGTGTTTGAAATAAGGCCAGGGGCTAGATCAGGAGTGGGGAGACCGCAGTGTAGAGGCTGGTATTAATGCTAATTCCAATGCAGTATTCATGGTGGGCTTACTCAGGTGGTGACATAATCCAATTAAAGTTTAAAAAAGACTCTGGCTACTGAGTAGAAACTAGACTTAGCCACCAGAAGGAATGTCAACATGAGTAACATTAGGGGATGAACAGAAGGATTCAGCAAAAGTGCCGTAAGAAATGAAGGCTATGCCAAAGTGGGTGTGTAGCTGCCTCTAGCAGGTGTCAAAAGCCTGGGAGAAGGACAAAAGAAGAAAATGGCCATCAGGACTGAGGACTGGGAATTGGCGAGGGAGGCATGATCCAGCGACGTGAGGGTAAGGACTGAAATGTGCTCATGAGAACGTCACCAAACCAGCAAAACTGGTGTCACAGACTGGGACCGCAAGAGATGGGCAAAAATAGCTTAGCAGAGGCTTGAAAACTTTGTTCTTCCACAGGTTGAGGGCATACAAATACATGTGTCCCCAACTTCAAATACAGCTCTGTAAGTACTCATGGAGTTTCATTTGACAGGAGATAATGGTACATAGAGAGATACAAATAGACTGGAAGATATTGCTGTTGTGATTTCATGACTTTGAGGACATGGAGTACAGCAGAGCCTTTTGCTTTGAGGAGATTTTTCCACTGCCAAACTGGTCTTCCTCATTACAACTCTGAGTTATTAAGAAAAAGGTGAGGGCAAAAAGCGCAAAAGAAATATAGGTGTAGAAAAGAACACAGTCACCAAAGTCCTGGTAAAAAAATATGTACTTACCTATAAGCATTAATATAATCTTTCCTGTGTTCCAGAAGAAAATCTCTCAGTTTGCCAATGTGAGAAATCTAAAATTAAAAAAGAAAGCCAACAGTTTATATAGATATGTTACACTCATGTAATGAATTTTAAATTAATAGAGAATAAAATGCAAATTGCAGAAAGATTCTGAAGCTACAAACTGAGCACCGTCGGTTTTGGACTCTCGTACAGTCACAAATTAGTTACCATTCCTGGGCCTCAGTCTCTCATCGATGGTTCCTTCCACCTCTAATTATTAGGACCTATGACACTATGAGTAGGTGATTTCTAGGTAAGTTAAAGACGAAATGAGATAATGCATGTCTAGTAATTACATAGCATGTGTTCAATAAGGTTAATTCCTTTTCTTTTCTTATAGCTAAAATTGCACAGCAAGTATTCCTTCTTCCAAGTGTTCTAAGGGACAGTTCTAAAGCTGAAGCTGTTGCGTTTGTAAATAGGGCCCATGCAGAGCAGCAGAGTTAAAGCAAAGATTCAGGGGTAACAATTTATCCCCACATAGCAAATCTCTGTCTTTCCTATGGGCTATTTCCATGGATGAAGAAAAAGAACTCAAAGATACAGGTACAAAGCACTGTGTTTGTGATGGCTGTTTCTAGTATAATAAAAACCTATTCTAAAGCACCTACTACATGCCAGGTACTGTGCATGGAACTAGCAATTCACAAATAAATAAAAAGTGGTGGGAAGAACGCTCAGACCACAGTCAATAGGGACAAACGTGTTTCCAGAGGGAGAATGATTACTAGCCAGTGGCCTGCTGGTCCTCTGACGACGTCTTACTCCAGCTTCCGACTCACACACTTTGCACTCGTTCCAAACACACGTGGCCCCAGCCTTGCAAGGTCTGCGGAACTTTCATCTCTTCCATGGAAGTTTTTCTGTCAAGGCCAACCCAGGCTAATTTTCACTTTGCTCTGATCTTAAAAGGACTTCTGCACACCACACTCTTGGCACTCAATTATTCATGGCCATGTACTCTGACCTAACTTTTATATACACACTTCTTTGTCAGTGGCAGAACTATGCAAGGAGGGGCTGCCCATCTTTCCCTACAGTTGTAAGCACAACAAGAAGCACAGAGGTGATCAATAAACACTGTGGAATGAGTATATGCCTAAATACAAAATAGCATTGATCACAAAAGAAACATCCATGGTTTGTCTGGAGATATGTCAGTTTGGGTTCAGCTAAATTTCCCACATAGTCTAGACTCTTATTATAAATGTGATTCAGAAAAACACCCTAAGGCATTGTAAGCAAACAAATCAAAGAAAAAGAATTAAGTATGGTCACAATATTCATTTATTTCACAGATAGCAAATCAGGACTGAGAGACTGTCCACCATCCCTGACACTGCTCAACACTTTCACGTACATGGCCTATTTCTCTTCCCAACAACCCTGCTGTGCTATGATTCTTACTGTTCTCATTAACCAGTTTGGGAAAAGCTAAGTGACTTGTCCAAGGTTACACATTTAGTATGTGAGCTTGGTTTCAAAAGCTCAGGACTGAGTCCAAATTCAGCGTGTTTCCCAGTGCACCACCATGCCTGCCTGCCTTACAATCCTGTTCCTGCTTTCCACTTAGGCTGCATCAGGAAATCTGACTTTTTTTTTTTTTTTTTTTGAGATGGAGTCTTGCTCTGTCACCAGGGCTGGAGTGCAGTGGTGCCATCTCGGCTCAGTGCAAGCTCCACCTCCCAAGTTCACGTCATTCTCCTGCCTCAGCCTCCGGAGTAGCTGGGACTACAGGCACCCGCCACCACACCCGGCTAATTTTTTTGTATTTTTAATAGAGACGGGGTTTCACCATGTTAGCCAGGATGGTCCCGATCTCCGGACCTCGCGATCCGCCCGCCTCAGCCTCCCAAAGTGCTGGCATTATAGGCGTGAGCCACCGCGCCCGGTCGGAAATCTGACTTTTAAGTCTGTTGGGAAAAAAATTAAGAGATACGCAAGCAAGGTGTTCATTCCATCACATAAAAGATTTGACCAAGCTACTCCTCTGTTTCAAAACCTTCAATGGTTTCCATCTCCTTACCTCCTTCCCCTGCCTACCAGGGGTCAAACACTCAACTACTTCCAGGGGCCATGTGAACAGCATAAATGAGCAAAGCAAGGGAAATGCGTGGGTAGAATACATTCGACAGTGGTGAATTCTGGTTTCAAAATACACTGCAGTTAAAGGAAGCAGCTCTGCATGCTGATTTGCCAAAGGAAAGCCAATGAGTCATCTCAGTGTCTAAACAACGGGAAAAAGTCCAAACTCCCAAATGCAGCACTCAAGGCCCTTCACAACTCAGCGCTGAAAGTCCCTGCCGCACACCCCGCACCACTCCAGCCTCCAAGTCCCAGGCCTTCCCCTCACTTGCATACCCATATGGTTCTCCCTTTCCCTGGAACGCCCTACCCATCATTCTCTCCCAGGCAAATTCTTCCTCCTCATTCAAGATTCTCTTTTCCTCCTCATACTCACCCTACACTCCCAGCTGCAGTCAGATCCCATTCCCGCACAAAACGCTACATGTGCATCTATTTCAGCACCTGTTCCTTCATGATAACAATGACTAGTTCATAAACTGATTTCCCTTCACCAGACTGCAAACTCTGAGAGGGCAGAGAGTCCTCTCTCTTTCCCCAGAGCTTGTCAGGCAGTTTCTGGCACAAAGCAGACCCTCAGAAACTTTTACTAAATATTGAATAAATAGTGGGTACTGAATAATCCCAGAAGGATTATACCTGCTACCGTAGGCAGAATAATGGTTTTCCAGCTTCCCCAGGCCCATCCCCCTGTAAGATGTCCAACTCCTAATCGCCAGAACCTGTGACTATATGGTGTTACATGACAACAGGGCATTAATGCAGCACATGAGTTAAGGTTGCTGATCAGCTGACCTTAAAGTAGAGAGATTATCCTGAATTATCTGGGTAGGCTCAATCACAAGGGTCGGTAAATGTGGAAGTGGGAGGCAGAAGGGAGAGTGAGAGTAATGCAATGTGAGAAAGACTCATTCCAATGTTGCTGGTTTTGAAGATGGGGAAAGGAAGCCAAAGAATGTGGGCAGCCTCTAGAAGCTGGAAAGGGCAGGGCAATGGGCCTTCCTTAGAGCCTCCAGAAAAGAACACGGTCCTGCCAACACCTTGATTTTAGCTCAGGGAGTCCCATTTTGGACACTTGACTTATAGAACTATAAGATAATAAATCTGTGTTGTTGTAAGCCACAAGTTTGATGTAATTGGTTACAGCAGCAATGAGAAACTAATACACCTACTAAGAACCTTACTATCCACAACAGGTGTTTTTTTAGAAGCCATAAAGTTTTCCATACAAAGTTTTGAAAAGTGCAGAGGAATCTACTGTACAGGTTAGATCCAGCTGCCCACCCCTACTTTTAGTTAGTTCTATTCTACAAGGGAGGGATGGTGCCTAGGGATGAATGCCAGGAGCAAGCAAGCTCCACAGAGGCCCACAAGCACATAATTATTATACAAGAGGTTGCAGTTAGTCTAACAAATGTGATCCCAACTTCATATGCTCTGTAATGGGAAATTTCTATGAAACGAGGTTATTAAAACAGAGTGCAGGTGGTTCAGGATTAAACAGAATTCTTGATAAGAGGTGTGTTAAGTAATTACTGACTAAATTACATCAGTATAATAACTCAATACTTAACAGGAACACAATGTATGATATTTTAAATGCTGAGAATGAAAAAATAAAGGAACATTAAGATTTCTTTAGAAATTTGAGAGCTCTGAATTTTCTATTAATTTCTTTAAAAAAAAACAAAAAAAAAAACATGACAAATCAACAACAAAGAAAAAAGTTCAACAAATCTTTGATTTATCTACATAGGCATACCTAAGTCCCCAAATAGCATAATACAATTATCTCTGCAGAGAATGATTTGACTGTTTAATCACATGACTACCATTAACTTTATAAAGACTCTTGGCCAAGCTTAATCTATTTACTGTTAGACTCAGTCCTATTTTTCAGAATAAACTGGCAAAGACCGCATATTATAGCGCATACAATTCTGACGTGCTCATTACATTTTCACATTTTTAGAGAGGTTAAGTAGTTGTATGCTTTGGATTTTTCTTTTTTCTTTTTTGTAGATATGGGGTCTTGCTATGTTGCCCAGGCTGGTCTCAAATTCCTGGGCTCAAGTGATCCTCCCCCCTTGGCCTCCCAAAGTGCTGGGACTACAGGCATAAGCCACCATATCCGGCCTATGTTTTGGACTTTAAATGTTTCCACATGCAGTGCTAATTTTGGAAGAGTCACTTAATATGATAAAGTAGGAATAAGTATATACATCAAGAGAATGCCTCTTACTTGAGGTGTGTTCAGAAGGTGCAGCATCACCATGTAAAATCTACTAAGACTGGGCAACCTAACAGCTTCACAAGATCATCTGTCCTCACAAGTGAACAGTCTTCCATCAGACTGATGGTCTATCATGGAAAAGAGTTTTCATCAGTGAGCTACGGTTTGATTACACCGCCATATTAAATATGTCTCCATCAGAGAGGAAGGGTATGGACAAAGAATAGAGAATTCTGTATTTCTAACATAAAGTGTAGTTTAAAACAAGAATTGAACTGTAGATAAAAGAAAAAGGAAAGGAATGTAATATTTATTTAATGTCTCCTCTATACTAGTTACTGTAAATGAGTTATTTCACTTAACTCTGATAACCTGTGGAAACAGATATTCTTAGTGGAAAGAAACCAAAGCTCAAGACTGACTGAGCTGGAACTAGAACCCTTAACCATTACGGGGAACTAGCATGGGCTCCCTCAGTACTGTTAAATTAATAAATATGTTGGTGTTTTTTAGTTTCATTTGATGTTAAAGTCGTTTTAATGTCCACTGTATATTGTTATTTCACTAAAGAATCTCCTACTTAATATTTAGTGATATTAAGGAATAATAAATTTCAGTTAGGTGTAATAATGATATTATGTACTAGGATTATGTTTTCATTTATCTTTCTGTTTTTAGAATCCTTATATTTTATACACGGAACAACTTACAAGTAAAATTATACAATGCCCAGGATTTGCTTCACAATAAGACAGGGGGAGGTAACAGATGCAACAGGATGAGTCCTGAGTTGCTCAAGGCTGAAGGTGAGTACATGCTTATATGGGGGGTTCCTTGTGCTATTCCACTTTAGTATATATTTGAAATTTTCCATAATAACATGTTATTTTAAAAAATCTCGGGGCTTGGGCAGTGGCTTAAGCCTGTAATCCCAGCACTTTGGGAGGCTGAGGCGGGCGGGTCACCTGAGGTCAGGAGTTCAAGACCAGACTGGCCAACATGGCGAAACCCCGTCTCTATTAAAAATACAATTAAAAAAAACCAAAAAACCAAAACAACAAAACAAAACAAAACAAAAAAACTAGCCGGTGACGCACATGCCTGTAATCCCAGCTACTCGGGAGGCTGAGGCAGGAGAATCACTTGAACCCTGGAGGTGGAGGTTGTAGTGAGCCGAGATCGCGCCACTGCACTCCAGCCTGGTGACAGAGCGAGACTCGGTCTCAAAACAAAACAAAACGAAACAAAACAAACTCATGTAGTACTTTCTTCTTTTAACATTTTTAGTCATTTTGAGGTAGAGATTTTCTGCTACCAAACTAGGAACAACCCTTACTTAGTAACAACTAAATCCCAACAATCTCTGGCTACTTTATTTCTAAGTACTTGCAATCTTTGCTTAAATTCCATGTAACAGGATCAATGCCACCAAAAAACAACAACAAAACTTTCACTGGGACCTCACTCCCAGTCAGGCGGAAGTCCAAAAGAGCTCTGTGTGTGCTACTCACCCACTTCTCCCAGCAATGCCCAGGAGCAGTGACAGCATCATGGCTGCCCCATGGATGAGAAAACCGAGTCAGAGAGAGGATAAGGAATTTCCTCAGGGACATGTGGGTTGAAGCCTGGATCCAATCCAGCCAGTCTAAGTACCAGTCTTGAGTTCTTAACTGCCAAATTTACACAGAATCCTGGCAAGTCACAACTACAGTTTTCCAGTGCTATATTTGCAAGGAAGCACCTGGGAACTGAGAAAAAGCCTCCACGTGGGCAATATCAACATCAACCTGCTCTTTTCTTTTTGTACTACATCTCTATTCAACATGCAGTACATGCTTGATTTCACCCAATCGTGATCGCTACTTACAGAGCACCCGCCACGTGTGTGCCAGGTAGTGCATAAACTGCTTGACGTGTGCTCTGTGGTTTCCACCCCTCCATAACGATCGTACGAATTAGACATTACCTCCTCCTGCCCCACCTAGTAAACATGGAAACAAACCTAAGCAAGGTCACAAGGCTAATAAACGGAAGAATTGGCATTGATCACAGATCTGTATGACTCACGGTGTTCATGTTATGTTTAGCTTAGTTAGGTCTGAATTTTTCTTCATAGAAAGAAACTGAGCTTCATGAGAGTATTTGTGAGAGTATTTGTATATGTTGATTTTTTAACAAATTAACTACACTGGATACAGAAAGATCGGCAAAAAAAAAAAACAAAAACGTTTTCACTGATTGACATTTGTCTCCTCTGAAGTTGGCTACTACTGTTCCTTGTGTTTTACGACATGGGGGGCTTTGGATTGGCAAGCCCATAGGGGTATTGAGAAGAAGGTTCACAAATACAGCAAGGAAAAAGAATGGTCAGAAAGACTGGCAGTACAACGGTGACCAGTGCATTTTGAGTATCTATCATCAAGCCACCTGAAAACATGGTTTAAACAAGTAACGAAAGCAACATCCAGGATTGTTCATTCTCCCGTTTGAGTTCATCTATATTCAGTTTTTAGCTTAGAATAGGGTAGAGGGCAGAGGAAAAGACTCTGTGGGGGGCCTGGATGAATCAGGGTGGACAAAAGAAAGATGGGCATGAAATCCAGGGAGTTGGCCAAGGTGCCTGGGTTCTACTCCCTGCTTTGCCACTTACTGTGAAGGGATTCCTTATTCCCCACTGCCATGCATCATGTGGAGGGACTTCAGCTGGACCAGTCTTCCTGGCCTATCTCCCAACCTTTACTCACTCTTCTTAGAGGGAAGAGGAGAGAGCTGTGTTCAGATTTTGAGAAGGGAGAGCATGCTGCCCTGTCCTCTCCTCTTTTCAGATCGACCAGCCAGCAGAGAGGGTATATTCTGGCCCATGCCCCACTCGTATTGGGCCATAACTCTAAAGTCAGGTTCTCCACTTGGCTTTTTCTTGCTGACTCCTGTATTTTTCTTTCAGGTAGTTCCACTGGACTGGGAAGAAAGGGATATATTTTACAAGCTCCACTCAACTTTTAACCTTTGCCAGCTGAAATTTTGAGCAAGTTGCTTAATCTCCGTGGGCTTCACTACAAAAGGGAATTGGGTAAAAACTATTTTTAAAAAATAGTAGTGGCACAAGTTAATAGTCAATTTTTATTGAGTACTACATACTATACGGCAGGCACCAATCTAAATGCTATGCATCCGATTTGCTTCTCCTAACAATCCCTTAGGGTAGGTATCATTATTACCCTTTTGCAGATGAGAAGACAGTAAACTAACACATCCTGTATAAATGGTTTGAAATAAATACAAAAATAAATTTTTGTTTGGTATGTCTCAAACCGAGTGCCTGTGTGCTTTTAGCTTCTGCAAGTCTACCCACAAAGATGACTCTGCTGTCCCATCTGAGTACAATTAAGTCACTGCAGGTCGCATTTACCAGACCTGTAGAAGGGACATAGTGAGATCTAACTTGTTCAGGTGAAAGGCACTGTCTATAGCTATGGGCCAGCACAGAACTAACAGCCACAATCCAGGATCAGCCAGGCTCTGGCTCCTTCATTAGGCTAATACTTAACCAAACAAGTTATTTAAACTCCATTCTAAAACTACAGGCATTCATCTGACTCATCCCATTCTTTCTCCAAAGATAAATCAAGTTTACTTTTTAACTAGCTATATTTTAATGACGCTAATTTCCTAGATCATCAAGACATTGAAATTCTCCATAAAACCCATCTACCATAAAACCAAATTCATTATAAAACAGCAGTATGGTCCCTACATGAGATGCATTTGACAGGGGGAAAAAAAGACTCTCTTACATTATCTGCTCTTATACACATAAAGGTTTTACTAGGAAACACCAAACAAAACAACACAGCATCCCAATAGGCAAACAGGTCTCCTGTGAGAGCTGGTCCTATCAGTGGATCTACACAGTTGACATGGACTCAACACCAGGAACTACTAACATGGATGAAAGTCCCATAAGCATATTACCTAGTGGGGAAAAACTGAGACAAAACAGAGGTTGCCCAAAGCATGTATGGTGTGACCCATATGCGTGAAACATAGGAAATGCACACCTAGAGCTGTATACATACATAGAGGGGAATCTAAAAGACTGCTCGGCAAGGTATCAATGATTGTAGGTGGTAAGATTTGGAGACTGCTTTCTTCTTCATACTTTTTGCACTTTAAAATTTTTCTACAGTTACTACGTAAAATCCTTATAATCAGATAAAACATGTTATTAAACAATCAAAAAGGGTGAATCTTCCCACATACTTCCTTGACTAAAACTGTACATTACCTTCCCCTTTAACCCAGGATAAGCCCACATCCTCATGCCCAAGGCCCGCCAGTGCCCTACGCTCTGCTGCTGTCTCCAGACGCAAAGCCCTCCCTGCTTCCCAATCCTGTCTTCTGACTCACTCCTATGCGTGAGGCTCTGCTCAGGTGTCACACCTCCTAAAGGCTTCCCTGCTAACTCGAGGCCAGGTTAAGGATCCATCTTGCAAATACATCCCTTGCAGAGATGTCACCATCTTCTGAGTTTTGAATTGTTTTCATGTCTCCCTGACATAAGCTGCTGAGGCGTCTGCCTAGCCCAAAGTGGCTCCTCAATAACTATTTAATGCTCCACATGGGATTTTCTTTTTTTAAAAAACTTTTTGAATTGATTTTCTATCCCCTTCAAGAATCAGTAATAGGGTACAATAAACTCCAAACATACTAAGGCAGCCACATACTTCCCATTATCCACTAGATGGCAACACAAGTATTAGAGCAGCAGTAATAACAGGACCTCTCAAAAACAGCAGTTTTTTCCCAAGGACTTTAAAAATTTCTCTGATTCTTTTGATCTGGAATCAAAGGATTAATAAAGGTTCACCATTCTGTGCAGGAGGAAGCTGAAATGAGATTGTTTTTAAGCATACATATGCACTACAGATGAGTTGAGTCCAGGAATATTCTGAAACACTGCACTCTAGGCAGATTCCACACAAAGGGAGCTCTGGGAGCATGGCTGCCAGCTGCCATCCCAGGCGGCAGGCCCAGCTTTGTTTTTATGTGTCACCCACAGAACAGCCTTGCTAGCTGTTCCTTCGTGGGTGTTTTGTGAATTACCCAAAGCACGATATACTGTACAACAAAAACCCTGGTACAAAATGATGGGATTCTTCTCAAAGAGCGACCGCATTCTGACTGTGGGGAGAGTTCAAAGCAGTCGGCAAGTGTCCTTTGCTGATCACAGCAGTGGTTTGACTTGCAAACCCCCTCACCCTTCCCAGGATGATAGAAATTCTGTTCTGCTGGCACTCACAACACTTCCAACAAAGACCTGATTGATTATGGAACACTAAGTACTGATTTGCATAATTTGCCTCTGCAAGAAACAAGCATTGTTCAAGATTAAAGAGACTCCAGTAGGTCCCTCTGGCATATTGTAAAAAGGTCCCTGTAACACAAAATCATTATTTTTTTTTCATTCAATCAGTGGACACAGCTTGCTGTTCAGTTAGTATGCAGCCAAAGGCACAGCCAGAAAAACCACTGCTGTATGTTTGCCAACTACTGACAAGTTAAAGTGATTTTTCACAAGGATCATGTACCCAAGTTTAATTTGGAGCCCACTGACTAAATTCCGAGTCTAACTCCTTTCACTCTTAATTGAAAAATGCATCAATAGCAATTACTAAGTCAGAGCTAAAAGTTCAGAACTAACACACCTCTGGAGCATGTTGACCTGCTGATGTCACAGTGGGGACTGTCTGAGTCCTATCCCTGTGCAAAAGAAGCTCCCCAGTGACCAATCACCCACAAAAGAGGCTAGCACAGCCACAGACATTCCACTGTGCTCAGGACCACAGCAGCGAGTTTGTTGAGGGAATACATAAAGGAACTGTTCCTTTCTCGCTTTCTTCTTTTCTTTCAGCAGTTGTTGAGTAAGCAACTCCTGTCACTTTCCCCCAATTCCTACTGAGGGGGACACTCTTCACCAGGCCTCACCAAACTCGGATGGCTCTCCTCCCTGCTCCTGCCTCCTCCTTCCTTGTCCCCTCCTGAAGCACTAGCCTCCCTCGGGTTCCAGAACACCACTGTCTCTAGGTTCTTTTCTAAAACCTATAACTCCTTTTCTTCACCTTCATTCATTCCCTCTCTGCCTTTGTTAATCTCTGAAACTTCTTGTAAGTTCAGCCCTTGGCTCTTTCTTTACATGTTCTTGCTAAGCTCACTCATTCCAATCCATAGCTTTATTTACTGTCTACATGAATTGTCCACCCAGCCGCTGCCTCCCTCCTGTGTTCAAGCTGAGTGTATCCAAATGCTTTTTAGATACTGCCACTGTGTGTCCCACTGACGCCTCAAAAGCAATATGTCCCAACGGTATCCTCATGCAGCCACTCACACCCTCTGGCTTACTCCTAGTCCCTCCTGTTCTGACGGCCCCAAAGAGAAAGTCTTCATCCTTTCTAGATTCCAAGTTAGAACACCTTGGCCATTTTACACTCTTCTCTCTTTTTCACCCTACAAATGAAATTGGTCAGTCAGTCCCATCCACTCACCTTGTTAAACACTGGCTAAAGGAGCCAGCTCCATCTACCAGCTTCTGTTCCTGCACTTCCTGCAACCACCTGCGTGCCAGACCACAGAGCCTTTCCTTAAGCAAGCCTCCTCTTCTCTGCCCTGCACTCTGGCACCTGCTTCTCTCTGCCCAGAATGTCTTCATTCCCATCACTCAACTTCTACTCAAAATTGCAGGCCCAAGGAGGCTTTAAAATATAGTATTCTGGGTTCACTTTCCACCTTCCTTGAGGCAAGCTGTAAGTGATAAATGTTAGCTGAATATATCAAGTTCTTTATTCCATCAGTCTGGAAATCTTACCAGAAAAAATAAATAAGGCCATCTTAACCTAGGAAAAGTATAATCAATAGCTAAATAACCTATTGCTAAGAACCAATACTAATCTTACGGGACTGCGGCTTCCAGAATTCAGCATATGTCTTTTTAGAGACAGAAGGAGAGAAAACATGTGCACAAAAGAGGAGACTGACTTTTCTAGATCCAACCTTCTTACTGCAGAGAGTCTCAAGTAACAGACAATGAGGCTGGTTAACAGGGGGGCATGGGTGGTTAACACTAGGTAGGTGGATTTAGCAGTCTAATTTCTCATATTAGCAACTAACTTTCTAACAACCTGGAACGTATAGCTTCCTTTCTAATATTAAGCCCCTATCATCTTTAAAGAAACCCAGAAATTAAAAAAAACAAAAACCTAGAATCTTAGTGTTGATGACACAAAGAACTCATGATTTAATTTCAAAAGTTGAGTGGCACCTTATAATGCTTAAGATTCCCATTAAACTCAATGCAACTTCCATTTTAAAAGACTTCTAGGACTCTTACACCCATAGAAAAAAACAAATGTTTATTATGCACTCAACTCTTCCTCCTCACTCCTTCCAGCCCCAACTTACTAACTTCAATCTAATTAAACATCTTCATTCCCATTCTTCTAGTTCCCCAAACTACAATTATTTGGCATTACTGAACACATTCCCACTATTTCTGAAGCTCTGTCCACTCCCGGTTTACCTGACCTTACTATTTGCCTAGAACAGGCTAGATGACACACAGAGCAGTGACTACCTCCCTGCTTGGATGGTTAAGACTAGCAAGGATCTAGAAGACACCTGCTTTGCCAAAAGAGCAGCATGATAGGGCACCCACTGCCTCTCCCTGGCCATCCATTTCACCTCAGACAGTAAAAAGTTCTTTCTTACTCTGAATCGAGGTCAGCTACTGTGATCTACTCCACCTGAGTCTTCTCTCTTCTCCAAGCTAATCATTCCCAATCCTCTCAGGAATTTTTTTTTTCCTTTTTGAGACAGAGTGTCGCTCCTGTTGCCCAGGCTGGAGTGCAGTGGCATGATCTCAGCTCACTGCAACCTCCACCTCCCAGGTTCAAGTGATTCTCCTGCCTCAGCCTCCCGAGTAGCTGGGACTACAGGTGCGTGCCACCATGCCCAGCTAATTTTTTTGTATTTTTAGTAGAGATGGGGTTTCACCATGTTAGCCAGGATGGTCTTGATCTCCTGACCTCGTGATCCGCCCGCCTTGGCCTCCCAAAGTGCTGGGATTACAGGTGTGAGCCACCGTGCCCGGCCCCTTCCTCTCAGGAATTTTTTATATGAAATACATCTGCGGCTTCTGGCCATACTTACTACCTCTGAAAATAGTTCATGGGCCTCCCAAATAAAATACAGTTTCCAGAATAGAATCAATACTCTCTGTGTCAGCAGAAAGTGCAGAGGAAAACAGAACCATTGCTTCCCTTGTTCCAGACTCTGGGCTTCTAGTAATGCCACTTAAGGGCATGCTCACCTTCATGTCACTGAGTCGAGCTGAATTTACATCGACTAAAATGACTTTTTCCATGAGTGCTGCTGATAAACTAGGTCTTCATTATATGCACATTTTTCCTGGCCTCCTGTCATTTGCAATTCTGATCATTATGCCATTAAAGACATCTATAATGAAAAATCATCATTCAAAAAATGAGATGAAAATGGGATATAAAAAGTAACAAAGAACCGGAGACCCCTCCCTGTAGACAGCCAGCTCAACTAGTCACGAACACCCTAAGGGTCTATTTTAAAAACATTTCCTCCACAAAAACATCACGGAGAGGCTTTGCTAACTACTGCCGTCTAAAAACAAATATTCTCCTCCCCTACCTGCCTAACAACCCAATCCAAAACTACACAATAGGCTGGAAAGACATGGCTCAGGCTTCTGAATCCCTGCCGGTTAATAATGACTACTTTCTTTTCTGTGTGCTTGGAAAACTTTCTTTCATTTGTTCACTTGACAAATATGTAAGACCCAGCATGGGCCAGGCACATTAAGGACGGAGGTAATAAAGAAAAGAGGAAGGGAGGAGGGAGAACAGAACAAGAAGTTCCAACCCAAGGATCCGACCCAACTTCGCACTGCTTTGCGTTTCAATCCAAACCCCATCTGGTCTGGAGGCTGTGTGTGGAGAGTGTGCATGCATGCTGCATTCTTCTGAGTCTCCATACTGCAAAGGATGAAACCAGGTAAAACAGACCTGGGTTCAGATCCCAGCTCTGCCACTTACTAGTGACATGGCTTTGTGTCACTTAACCTCTTCCAGCCTTCATCTCTGAGGTATAAACTTGAGACAGTAATAATGCTGAAGGTGACTACAGGTCACTGATGAAAATAATGTCTGTGAAGAGTCTGACACTGTGTCTGGCACACAGTAGGTGCTCAACTACTCTAAGTTTTCTTCTTCATTTCATCACTATTTCAGTCTCACCCATAGGGCAAGGTGAACTTTAGTGCATAAGGTGAAAAGCATACACAATTCAAATGACAATTTTAAAAGGCCACAAGGCCACTCTGGACTTCAACACATTCTTGCAATGGGTTCAAACCAGCCAGTGCCCCCAGCCCAGTGTTGGAAAAGACTGCCATTTCTTCAGTTGTGAATCAGAGGAAGTGGCTGGTTTGAGTTTAGGAGACATGATGACAGTGAAAATGCTAGACTCGCAGGCAGTAAGCAAGATACTCTTAGTAGAAGAGGCCCTAGGGAACAAAACCAATGATGGGAACGGCAGATTCGCAAGCCCCATCTCACCCTCACCCCAGAGCTCACACACGCTGGGTGGACGGCAGGCACTGCTGAAACAGGCATTTCTTTTCTGCCAAGCACACATAGATAACCTCCTACCATTAGGTTTCTGTGGGATGCACCTACAGCGTGCAGCCTGTCCCTGCCCTGTCCCCTATGCGCTCTCCTCCGTATCTTTTCTCCTGCTCCCAAAGCTCTCCTTTTTCTCGATGCTACTGGTACTTTCCTGCACGGAACAGTCTTTGACTCACCACACACTTTTTCTGGGATCACTGCTTATACTAGAATTCCATGAGCAGCCTATATCCTTTGCTCTCTTAGAAGTACGAGTGGTGGATGGTCAGCACGCAGGCAGAGGGCGGGGACAGCGCCTCCAGGCACATGGTAACTCCCAGCTGGTTCTCTGACTTTGGAGTCACCGGGTGATGTGCAATTCCTCACTTGTGTGCTTTGAAGGTTGCATGGAAAGAACCCCCAAATGCTTTCCAGCTCAGAAATTCCAAGATAATTTTTGGGTGTTCAATCAATTTGAAAGCTCCTACCACCAACCCCGTCAGTTTCTTTCTACTTTTATGCTTTCCAAAGCTTCCAAAATCATTCTAAGGCTCCAGGTACATTTGGGATTCTAGTTACTGAGGTTATCAGACTTAGGGCATTTCAGCTGCAGAACTTTGGAAAGTCTGCTCATAAGAAATCAGAAATGTCATTCACATGTCAATAAGATGGAGGTAAAATAGACAAGAAAAGAATTACCTTGACAATTCATAACAGACAACGAATGTGGATACATTATAAATGTTTTTGAGTGAATATGCAACAAAAATGATCACCGCAAACACTATTATAGTACTTACTATATGCCAAGAAGAATTGTAAGGGCTTTTTACAGATTATTGCATTTAATCCTCATTATAAACTTAGGAGGCAGGTACCCCTAGGATTCCTCTTTTACAGAGAAGAGAGGCCAAGTTAACTGGCTTGAGGACTCATTAGGAAGTGTCGGAGCTGTATTTGAAATTAGGTCTACTCCATAGCCTGTATTCTTAACTTTTCCTTGCTCTTAAAATTCTTCAGAACCTTGACAAGAGGGGCGAGAGGAAAAAACATTTTACTCATATTTGAGTTCCTCAAAATATCAACTCTATCTTTAAAATTATTTACATATCTTCAAAAACAAATAGTGCAAAATTCATATTTGAGTTTCACTTTCTAAGAGGGGACTATATTTTAAATTTCTCCAGTGGCCTTACACAGAGTCACGAACATCTAAAGTATAGTTCTTGACCTTTTTAGGGGCACAGATGCCTTTGAGATACTGACAAAAGCTATGAATCTGATCTCTTCTATAAAAGAAATAAACATATACACAAAAACAAAAAACTTTCTGCCTGTCATTTTGAGCTTCAGAGGCTTTTGGTTCATGGAGCTCAGGTTAAGTGCCTCTGATTGTAAACACTGTTCAACACACACACACACACGAGACACACGAGGGTACACTCTTTCTGTAAACATCATCTGCATAAGGAAGAACTTTGAACTTTCTAGCTCAGCACCCGCAGACATCTGCTGGCCATCAGTGGGGGTTTGTCTGCATGGTCACACTAAGCAGGGATCTGGGGCCTGCAGGTGGTGGGGAGACTGAGTGCACCATGAGAACCACCTACACTGAATCATCCAAATCATCATCATAATAAACTTCCAAATCATCATCATAATAAATCATATTGAACATTTAGTGTTTCCTATGTGTCGGACACCATGTTAAACCCATTGTATAGACTATCTCATTGAATCCTCACAACAAATGAGAAAACAGATGAGTACACTTGCCCAAAGGCACACACCTGGCAAGTTGAAAAGCCAGGGTCCATACTCTGGAATAGACTCTAAGCCTGTGCTCTTAAATTCTTCACTCTATGCCTCCAAACTTGGGCTCTCCGAGGATAAAACTCAGTGAAGAACGAAACCAAAGAGGTGTTACCTGCAGCCTTCTGTCGCCTCCCCCCTGCCAAACCCATGAAAACAAACCCATCAATTTTATTTAGCAGTTTCTTCAAAAGCATTTGCTAAATGTCAGAAAATATTAAGCAAAAAAATGTATTTATACCCCAACATAATACATCCCACATCCCAGGAATACGCTCACTCTTTTTGTGTTGAAGAATTTTAAAACTTTAAAAAATTCTAAGTCCAAAAAGAACTATGTCTTCTTCACTTTGGATTCCCAAAGCCTGGCATAGTTCCTAGCTCAACAAATGTCTAGGAACATTCAACAAACGAAGAGGTGATACATTTTATCAAGAATTTGACATTCTAAAATAAATATCAAGGAATGGCTGTACCTAAAATTTGTGGTCATGATGTGTTAAAAGTTGTTTTTTTTTTAAATGTGGAATTGTTTCATCTAATTTTTGCAAATATTTTAGTACACTCAAAAGGCATATAGTCTCTATGACAAGCAGGTAACAATTTATGACCTACAGTTTATAATCAGCAGCAACTCCTCCTCTCGTGAGGTGAACAGATTAGCAGCATAGTATAAAGTTTGTGGCAACAAACAGGTTCTATCCAAAGCCGTCTCTTACTACCGAGGTTGAACATAAGCACTCAAAAACACAAAATTCCCAAAGACTAAATACTACCCTACTGACATTTAAAAAAAAAAGTTTTGTTTGAATTATAATATCAGCTTATAAGAATGTGGAGATGTCAAGCACCAGTACATACACCTATAGAAGTGCGAAAACTACAAAGAAAACCGACATATCTCACAACTACTCCCAATCTCATTCTCCTGGGGTCCTAGCGCTACTTAAAAATATGTGCTAGGACGATTAAAAATCACTTATTTGCAAGACAAGGGCAAGAGTTACATCAATGTAGACGAAATCTCCTACACAGCCCATCAAGTATGGGTCCCATCCACTAGGTGGTGCTCTCCACCACACTGTTCCTCAGTGAGCAGTACAGTACATCAAAATGACAACAGCCTAGTTTTAAGATGATTTGTCTCTTGAGGATATACATTTGGTTTAAGTTTCTACTGCAAAGTTAAAGTTCTTAAGATAGGTCATGCAGACCAATTGCTCCTGTAATCTGAAACTCAAAAGAGCAAGTAATATCTAAACAAGGGGAGGGGGTGGCCCTGAGCTTATAAGGGTCTCTAAGAGCCAGGAGACAGTCAGCCTGGCTACCTCTAATCTCACCATCAAAACTGTTACCTTGTTCATTTTCTGCTTCACATCAGCAAAGAGAATAGCAAAAGCAACTTCAAGCGGCCCATAGCAAGAACATACATTCAACATCCATTCTGCTTGTCAGATGTCAATAATTTAATCTCAACTGCTTTGTTATCATTCAAACCCCAAAAGTAGAAATGTTTTTGCTTTACTCAAACTGATTTTTTTTCTCTTTTAGCAAAAACAAAAGCAAAGGAATGAATGTTCATTTTATCTCAAAGTTCTGAGAAAGAGGGTTTGGTAACAAGATATATGTCCTTGCCTCCAAAGTCATCTTTCAACTAAGTGAATGGGAATAAAATGCAGAGTATGCTGGCCTTGACCAATAATACAAATGTCCAAATTCCAAGCAAAGTCCAGGGTCTTGCTTCATCATTCCCTGTCCTCAAAAATATACAGATCCCTTTTTTCCTTTTTCCTATAATGAGGAAAGTCATTATGATCGTCTTTGGAGTGAACAAGGCAAGAAACTCAAAGCACTTCAATACACATGCAAAATAATTTTTTTTTTTTTTTTTTTTTTTTTTTTTTTTTTTTTTGGTAGAGACGAGGTCTTGCCATGTTGCCCAGGCTGGTCTCAGACTCCTGGGCTCAAGCAATCTGCCTGCCTCAGCCTCCCAAAGTGCTGGGATTATAGGCATGAGCCACCACACCCGGCCAGAAAATATTATTTCAAGAGATAAGTTACAGAACTTTCTAACATCTTCTTTGTTTGGAAATAAATGAAAAGGTAAAACTTAGTGGTTTCTAGAATTTAAAGAAACTAGCAAATTGCCAACAGCTTAGTTTTACAAAATGAGGGCTCAACTGCTAAAAATGGATTGCTCCTTAAGTGTACAAAGTAACACAAAATAATCACTCCGTAACATAACATTTGCCGGAAAAAAATGTGTGAAAACTACTAGAAAAATAATAGTTAGGTCCTGAGCAGTATATTAAAGATCTTGATTTTGAGACTCAAATTATATCTTTTCATTCTACATGAGTTCTTACTTTCTTTGGACAAAAAATTTAAGGTCCTGTATCTGAATTCAGCTCAGTGTGAAAGCTTTAAATGTAAAACTAGTATATGCAATTTAAATCCCCTTTAACAGTTTTTCAGACAATTAATTAGGTAAAGCATTTGAAACACCATACATACAAAAAATTTTCATTCATATTGCAATGAATTTCACTCAAAATCACATATCGAACTGTAATAAATTTACAATAAAAATGTAACACTAACTGCCCCCCACAAATACATATACACTTTTAAGAGATACACAGTCATGTACCTAAGAAAGGAAAGTAAAACTTGACAATGTTCAAGAAATCTTTCGAAAGCTCTACAGCATTAGTCAGCATTATCTGATCAAATATTAGCATGACCACTATTTTCAAAAGGGCCCATATGTAACAATAGCCAAAGGGGCATCTTCCTAAACTTACAGTATTACTCTAATAGAACAGACAAATTTCCTTAAGAATTGGAGTTGTACTGAACACAAAATGCCGATTTGCAATTATGAGGTCAATCTCATAACAATGAGATTTAAAACAAATTTCAGATTACGGTTTTAAATTTCTATTCATTCTCTATACAGTGGTATATTTCAATAATTACATAAACTGAAACGTTTTCCCTCCTATTTTTTCTCCAAAAGGTTCTCTACAGATGCTTACTTCGTAAAATGCAGCTTAAAATTTATTGGAAACTAAGAATTTTTTTACATGGAATCTATAAATACATGCATAATTTCTGTGCCCATAATTGGAAAAGGGCACAGAGGCTCCTATAACAATCACTAAGGAAGCTCTTAAAAACAAAAAACTTCATCCATGTTCAGGCTGAAGAATTCACATTTAACCTTTATTTTAAATTACAGCCAAAGTCTTTGTTTCAAATCCACATAAATCACTGTTCTTCTCTCTGCAAATACATTTTAGAGAAAACATTATTTAATGTTACATCTGACTTTAATAGAGTTTCCCATTTGCTTTTGCATGTTTATTATCAAACTCTAATCATGACATTTCCAAACTTATTTATACTTTCACACAAACTTCCGAAGTTTTCCCAACTTAAATAAAAACCCACAAAAACTGTGGGAAATGTTTTGCTTGAAAGATAAAAGCAACGTGGTCCAAATGTACATTTGTAATAATCAGTGTTTACTTTTGTTGTTCAAACATTCGGCTTATAGCACTTTCAATATACGCATTCAACTTAATTTTCTTGTCTCTTAAAAAAAAAAAAAGAAGGAAAGTGTTTTCTTTCCCTGTTTTGCTCTCAAAATATAAACTCATTTAATGCAAAGCATTCCCGGATCAGGCATGTTTTAAACTACGAGCACGTCTAGCCTCAACAGCATTCATCCATATTATATACAAAATGCCATTTCTTTCAAAACTTCAGTCTGGACATTTTATAAATCTAATTTCACTTTTCCTAAAAACATGAGGATATTTTACTATATAAGGCTCAATTAAAGTTTTAGTAAATAAAAATAACAAAAGAAATGATACCATAATACTAACGTAGGAAAAAGGATATATATTAATTTCATTTACTGAAAACGTTGAGGGTTTTTTCCTTGAAGTGTCTCTACTATAGATTTTACACTACATTTATTAAAATATGACAAACCTTTAACCTGGGAACAATTTACCAGTTAACATCATCTACCGAAAGAGGAAGTATACTTTGGGTAAGTAAGACACTGGAAACGATTTATGCTGCCTTTTTTCAAAGCTGCTTAGAAAATGGCTATGTACTTTTAAAAAATAATCATTAAAAACAGTCTAACGGTTGTCTTGTGATATCGTTGATCACAAGCCTAGTGATGCCACCTAATTCTAAAGACTGAAATGTGCCTCTCAAAGGGATCTAGCGCAGCCACAGTGTAATATACGTTAAAGGTAATGAAACTAAAAAGTAAGATTTCCTAATAGAATGAACATATTTTAAAGTTTTTATGATTGACAAAAGACTTCTTTTTTTAGCCATTAAAAAACTAAAAGTATCCTGACAAGAGATTCTGGTTTTGAAGTATGTCACACTCCGGTTACCCAGCCATGAATCTCAGTTCATTTTTTAAAATGAGGTCTATTTCCTGTAATTTTAGATATTTTAGAGTACAATTATTTTACATTTTTATGATGCCTTTGGGGTATCATTACAAATATTTTTATGTGTTTAAACTTAGGAAAGAAAAATTAAGTAATAGCTTCTCTTATAGGGAGCTGTCAACTCTCTCCTGGACAAAAATCTTTGTTTTAAAGCAATCTAGAGATTTATATCCCTAGTAACCATAGAAATTAATCTTAAGCTTTAGAAAAAAATTGCATAAAATGCTCTTTATTTAATTAAAATCAGAGCTCATTCTTAGAAATAAGAACCTTCTTTCGAACAGAAAGAATTTTCCACAGAGTATAGGTGGTACTCTTTGTGATAAATGAATCACGCACATTTAATTGACTTTTGAATTGTGTGCATAGAAAGTTAAGTACTTTGTTGGAAAGGATTCGCTCAGGGACTATATTCACTGAAAACTTTTCATAAGAAAAGAAAGTGAAACACAGGATTCAAACAGTGTTTGTAGATTATCTGAGTGTGAGCAAGAAAAAAAGCATAAAGAAAAGCATTTGACAATAACAATTAGGAGAATCACTCATGGGGAGGTCACTTTGTTTTTATTAGGAAACTGAAAATATTTTTCAGCGTGCCTTAGTATGACGATGCATCAACACATCATAAATCAAATTTCATTTTGTGATGACTATCACTTTCTATTTCACATGCATTAAAAAAGAGACATGTTCTGAATTCTGCTTATCACCATATGACTAAGAAGTTTATTTCAGATTTAGAAACCAGTCGAGGATGTCTGGGGCAGTCAACAATGCTCTGCTTAGCCACTCTCTTCCCTAGTAGTCTGAAAAAAATGTGTGCATTTAAGAGATGGTAATAACAAACTCCTCAAATATTTTTAAAATGTCAAAGTTTTTAAGGCTTATAAAATTCAGATTCTGGGCAAATCTGTGTACTTCCAAATTTAACTTACATGAGATTTAAAATTCATGGCTTCAGATTTTTCTCTGCATAATAAATAATTTTAAAAGTTATTCACATTCTGATTCCATTATATTTTTAAAAACCCACTTATTTGGAAAAAAAGATATTGCTGATCATGTCATACAATATTAAATATCCATAAAGTGCTCAGAAAGTGTACTGTAAACACCAAGTAAAGTCAAACTGCAAATATTTCTGCTTTCAGACAATCAAAGTCTTTGGAGAGGCCTGAAATAGGTGTTTCTCTACACACATTTAGGCACCACTAAAAATGCTAAACATTATCATTTTCTCTAAGCAACCCCAATTTTTGGAAAAGGCACAGGCATTCCCAACCCCCCCGCCCCCTCCACTGCCCATGGTTAATTTCATAGTCCTACAAAGAGAAAATTTACTAGGCACTTCAGGGAATCAAGACATCGTGGTACACGTAATGAGTTGCAGAAAGAGACAGAAAGTGATTAGGAATTGTAAATAGTAAGAATAGGTAGTTTCCACTGTATTTAATTGACACCACAGCATATTCACCTGGTAGTTCTAAAAATGATTCCTCTATGATTAAAAAAAATTGTTTTTGTTTAGGTGGGAGAAATATTGATTCAAATGACGCATCTTATTATCTTCATTGTAGGCTGCACACTTCCACAGCAATTGGTCCTCCAAGTAAACAGTACCTATCATGAATTTTCACTTTTAATTCAAATTATAATAATCAATGATACTAGAAGTCTAAATCTATACTAAAGCATCAATAGAAAATATTGTTAATAATGGTTTTAAAATAAGCGCAAAGCATAATGCTGTTTTGAAGTTTTTACAGTATGCTTAGAAAAACAAAATGTAGGTGTTCTACTAGAAATGTAGCTGGAATATCTTCATTCCCCTCTGTTTTTAACCTTATACATGCAAGAAATTATGAAGATACAACAGCCTCATTTTCATGGGAAAACAGAACTGGAAAGAGGTTCGTGGGCTTTCAATCACATGTGGTTTGAATGTCTTTAACTCTTTTCCCTCTCATGCAAGAAAAGTCAACAAGGTAAATATATGTTATTTTTCAGTACCTCCATAAGCCCATATCCCATGGTGGTATCCTTTAGGATTTTATCTCAAAGTCTTACACTGGGGTCAGGTAAGCTAGGCCTACAAAATTGTTTTGAGGGTTACATAACATATACATGAGCACACTGAAGTGATAGAGAAGACAAATGCTACGAAGTAAAAACTGATAATGATCACAGCACCAAGAAAGTATTTATTAACTATTTGTACACTACATATTGTACAGTACATATATTTGGGCTCACAGTGTACCCTTGGTCAAGTTCCTTCTCCAGGCTTCAATCCTTGCTAATAAAATGAAGAGACTGCATTCCCTGATCCCTAAGGTCTAGTCCAGCTCCCCAAATTCCCTGGCTTCTTGCATTTGACTGAAGACTGAACAGCATACTTTCAAGTGATTTTTCATATCCAAGTCTCGGTGCTGTGCTTCACTTACAAGGCAATGGATTTAGCATTCATTTCTGATGACTACATTACAGAGCATATTCCATATTTCATTGAATCTTCACAAAAGTCCTCTAATATTATCACTTCTCCCATTTTATAGGTAAGAACAGTGTGGCTCAGATATGTTAGAGTTGCTATTTAATCCTAGATCTCTCTTATTAACTATCCTTGTTCTTCCCCTGATGCAAAAATAACAATATATTGAATCACATGCTGAGGAATTAACAATCAAGCTCCAGGTTACCTGTAAAATGCTTTGCGCAGGTTACATACAGGTGGGAAGCATCTCCCTGTCTCCATGGTGCCTGTCTTACAGAGCTAAACCAAAAAGCTGTGTGTCCTTAATTGCAAAAGGTCATTAGGAGCCCCACGTGTGCCAAGAAATCAAGGAAAGAAGAGATTACAAAGGTCTAGAAAACAGAGAGAGAGTGACTTTTAACCTGAAAGCAGGAGAAGAGGGAAGATCTGATTGGTCTCATGTAGGGCCCTGTAAAAATTATTTATCCCTTCCCCACCCTGCTCCATAAGGCCCCTGGATGATTCTAATGTACAATCAGGGTTGAGAACCACTGATGTAGGAGCCAGAGGAAAGAGGTTGAGCATGGACTTTGGAATCAGACTGCCTGGATCTAATGCAGGCTGACATTCATGAATTATACAGCATTCCAAACTTACTTAACCTGTCTTTGCCTCAGTTTCCTCACTTGTAAAATAGGAAAGATATAGTACATGCCTCAGAGTGTGTGTGAGGATGAAATGCAAAGGGCCTAGAAAAGTGCCTGGCATATATAAGTTCTAGGCTAATATTGGAAGACCTCAAATGTCTAGTGAAGGATTTCTGTAAGCCAACAATGTTAAAATGTTCTCTTACAAATGATGGGGACGCAAGATGGCAGCTTTTCTTCTTTCTTTCCTGTCTTTCTTCTCTCTCTCTTTCTCTCTTTCTTTCTGAGACAAGGTCTTCCTCCATCACCCATGCTGCTGTGCTGTGACATGATCATACCTCAATGCAGCCTCAAACTTCTAGGCTCAAGCAACCCATCTGCCTCAGCCTCCCAAGTAACTGGGACTACAGGCACGCGTGTCTGGCTAATTTTTTTTCTTTTCTTTTTTTTTTTTTTTTTTTGAGAGACGAGGTCTTGCTATGTTGCCCATGCTGGTCTCAAACTCCTGGCCTCTAGAGATCCTCCTGCCTTGGCTTGCTTTCTTTTATATTTAAATTGTACAACTAAACGCAAAAACAAAGATAATCTTGTATTAGTCCACCTCCAGCACCTCCCCCAGACCAAATTTTTAAACAGGAAAATGATCTAATAAAATTCATTTTTAGGCAAATGAATTTTGTTGAGTAAACTCAAACAAGTTTTTAATCCTAGTGCAAAGAAATGGAACAAGTTAAAATGCAAAATAGAATAGCAGAGCAGTGGTACTATCTGTCCATATTCACATTACAGGCTCTAAAAATTATTCATGTTTGAAATACTGGGAAGGTGAATAAGAGCATCTATGATTATCGGATAACGCAATTTTTTAATCCTATAGTTGAACTATATTTCCTCAAGTAATGTACCTTCATTAAGACACGTTAAACTTTCCATATACACTTTCAAAAATGAGATTTCTCTTTTTATAAATTCTTTACATTTCCAAGAGAAAGGTAAAGCAAACAATCTAAGATCCTCCATTTAAAAATGAAGAAACTGAGTGTCAGAGGGACTTGCCAAAGCTGCCAATAAGCGAGATGAACACTGATTTCTTAAATAGCAACGCCAGTGGTAAGGTAACAGAGAGGCCTAGGCAGCAGGATGAACTGGCACCCAAAAATCGCTGAGGCTCTCACAACTTGATAATCCCCCATCTCCAAACACAGTCCAGTGAGATCCTGTGTCTTGGTTATGAGAACAACCTCACAGCTGATCACTGTCTCCTGCTGAACCACTGCAGCCAACCCGCCATCAAGTCCTCCAGCTTCTACATCTTTAAGGGCTCCTAAATTCACCCCCTTTCGCTCACCCCATCAGCCTCGCTCTTGGATTCCTCACTTGTGGCCCTGTCTTTGCAGTCTCTACCCTTTCTAATGCAACATCCACTCTCCCACACCACCCACTGAGCTTACCCAAGCCTTTGCGCTAAGGAGGAAAAGCTGAGGCCTAACATATTTGTGCTATTTTATAATCAGGAGCTTCTGCATGTCATTCTTCAGCCTTGGATGGTGCTGCCCAATCCAACTGTGGGTAGAAAGGTTGACATCTTCTCTCTAATCCTTTCTATGCTAAACAGCTGTCTCACCATGAGTTTGGAGAAAAAATTACCACCAGTCATGTTACACTATGGTGTCATGCAGGAGACTAAAATTCAGTAAGCTTTAAGCACTTAGGATGCAAAAAAGAACAGATGCCTGAAATAACTACATGATATGCATGGGAAGCAGCGACTTACACACCCTTTCAAGGAGGTGGGGAGAACTCCTTCATAAGGCCAGGACAAACTAGCCTGCATCTAAAGAAGACTTAAGTAGAGTGCCTAGACAATGTCAGGGTGGGCTTCCTCATGTTTTACGCGAAACAAACCCCACAAAGCCAGCGTTTCAACCAGAGCAGTTTGTGAGGATGATGGCTCCGAATCTAGGCCCTGGATTGGCTCTACTGGCCCACGGTGGACACTGTCCAGGCTCCCCCTCCGGCTCCAGGGCCAGGCGAGGGCAAGAAAAGATGACTCACACACTCCCCAGTACAAGGTCTCCTTGGTATGGGGTCAGGATAGCTCGACCTCCAATTTGCTCTCAGAGGCACAGGCTGAATTCCCAGGATTACTGGACAATATGCCAAGGAGGAGCACAGACTTCTGTTTTCTAAAATGCTTATAATGCACCATCAGGGCAGAAAAACCAGGGGGAGAAATGTACTTAATCATCACTGACTGATCAGGCCCTGGAACTAGAACATGTTACTTTATTACAACATGTGATTAAAACCGAAAACAGCAATGAATTAACTAAATGTCTATTCACTCATTCAATATCACTTACGTAACGCTATGCACCAGAGTTTTATACTGTCCTACAAACATTAACTCATTTAATTCTCATTAATGACCTAATAAGATTGTCATTATTTTATACATGAGAAAACTGATTATCCTGGTTTTACATAGGAGAAAACTGAGGCCCATAAAGGTTAAGCACTGTGCTCAATATCCCTCAGCTAGTACATAGCAGAACTGGATTAAAACCCAGTTAATCTGTCTCTAGAATCTTTACACCTAATTACTGTCCATATTGCCTACCATGTTATCACTACCTTAAATACAAATAAGGTCTGCCAGTAAAAAAATGTGTTCGCCGATCCTCAGGATCACCTTGTCCTATTTTCCTGAGATATATCAACTGTATTTAGAATAAAATTTGTCTTGTTCCTGCAGAGGTAAACTAACATCAACTTTACCTTCCAAGACACAAGAATGTAAGGAGGTAATATGCCTCTGTCCAGAGAGAATGTATTCACAGGTGCCTCCGTCTAAGGTCTATGGTCTGTCAAAGAAAGGGATGATTACCAATTCATGTAAGTGGGCGATGTTGTGTTTTCCTTCGTACTAAAAACAGTCACATAAGACTTTAATAACGGTATTAATTAGGAAATTCAAACTAAGTCATCCTTTTCTAGATAAGGGGAATTCTTGTTCCACAGACACTCAGTGCATACTGTTTCTCATAAAGAAAAACTTACAACTCATGTATGTATGTCTTCCCTAAAGTTGAGGGCTTTTTTTCTTTTTAGATTTTTTTTTTCCCTGAAGGGAGGCACTCCCAGCAAAAAGAAGCAAGTAGATTTGCAGTGACTTTTCTTCGCAAAATAGTACTGCATAATAAGATCAATGATGATAATATACCCCCCAAAATAATATTACTGCCAATATATCAGAAAGGTGTCCCTATTAGACTTACTATATCTTAAAACACTAAATTAGAACACAGTAGCACTGGTGGTTTTTGTTTGTTTTGTATCTTCAATCCTCAGCCCAATGACTGGCACATAATAGGTACTCCATTAATATTTACTGAATAAGTAAATTAAAGTAAGCACCTGTGTTTGGATTATCTATATCATTGCTCCAATCCAAAATCAAAGACTTCATTATCTCTCCAAGGAGAATAGTTTTGTGATACTAATTCGCTGGTGTACAAACACTATTGTCAGAGCAAAACTATCAACTAATACAAAATAGGCAGTCAGGACATTTAAGGAGCATAATAAAAAATAGATTATATTCATGTAAGCATAAATCAAATAGCAAAGCAGTTTAAGTTTTAAGAAAAAGATCTAGGTTTTTTTATTTGATAAAAAGAGAGAGAAAGA
This sequence comes from Homo sapiens, assembly GCF_000001405.40. Classification (NCBI taxonomy): domain Eukaryota; kingdom Metazoa; phylum Chordata; class Mammalia; order Primates; family Hominidae; genus Homo; species Homo sapiens. The sequence goes on from NC_000004.12 coordinate 4,498,812, forward strand.
TGTGGACAACGAAAGAAACTAAACACTAGGAAGAATACAGAATTTCTTTCTCTGAAGGTCTTTAGAATAAGTAAGACATCACCTGTTTCACAGAATTTAGGGTTATTTTTGCAAGAAGACAAAGTTCACCTAGATAGCATATACTAGCTCTAGAATTCCTTGGTTATGGCATATGAAACAAAATATACAACTAAGCCAAACCAGCAAATGAAGAAGCTGAAAGTGCCACTTCTTAGGAGAGGAATAACAATTTGAGGCTATCATGAATTTACATAAGACAAACATTTCAAAAATTTATCCTAGTGCCTAACAAACTTTCCTTAAAAGATCTTTTCTTTCAAATTAAAAACAGTAGCTTTATTAATGCACAACCCATTTCAAATTTGAAACACAACTCTAAACCGTACCTTGTGGAATGGAAAGCCATAATTGTAATGTGGAATGAGACCAACTGAAATCAATACAAGAAATTTGAAGTAAGTAAATACTTTTTTTCCTGGGGGTAGTATAAAATGTATGAAATTACAGTAGTAAGAAGTTATTAATCTGAAATTATAAAGTGGAATGGAGGACTTCAAAATATTCAAAGATTTTTCAAAGATTCTGAAAGCAAAGAAAACCATACTGTGCTCTGGAAAAACTTACCTTTTAGAAAAACAGCATTTCATATGCACAGATGCTTGCCCACGTTGTACTGCAAAGAAACAGCAAAATGGATCCCAGCAAGCCTAGCACTGATTAAAGCTGCATTTTCAGATTCATAGGTATTCACTGACTGGCTTCTACACAAACATTCATTATTCAATAGCTAATCCAACTTAATCATTAAACCTGAACCAGGTGAGAACAGGAACTGTCAAGTTACTTACACAATAGAACATTCTATCAACGAGATTTATGAAAACTTCAACAATCACTGGGCAAAAAATCACTAGTAGCAGAATGTTATCTTCAGGTCAGAGGAACTAACTAGTAGGCACTCCAAACTGCTTGCTAAATAAAAGAATAAAAGAATGTGCGTTCAGTGGGGGGAAATGGCTTTTCAAATCGACTTTTTTTTTTTCAAATAAAATGACTGCTGTTTAAAACAGTTATTTGTGGATTTGACCCAACTGCTCATGTTCCAAATGGGTCACTGTCCCTGACCACTGGGATCCTCACCATGGGGGCAGAGGTGAGGCAGCTGTGTGTGACTATCCCAGCACAGGCATCAGGGACTATTTGTCTATGATCCTATCTTCAATGGGATTTTTAGAGTTTTCTATCACTTGGTGTTAAAAAAAAATTTAGCTCTTCAATTCTTATTTTCTCCAACCTTATTTTCTGCTTATAGTGGAGAGTTTACGAGATATGCAAAATATAAGGAGGAAAATAAAATCAGTCCATAATAACATCACCTAGAAAGAAACTCTTTTATCACTGTAATAATATATGCTTTTCCATTTTATGCACATAACTTGACCCTGTGTATCCATGGGTTCCACACCCACATCCGTGGATTCAACCAACCATGGACGGAAAATATTTTTTTAAAAAGGATGCTGCACCTGTACTGAACATGTGCAGATTTTTTTCTTGTTACTATTCTCTAACCAAAACAGTATAACAACTATTTACATAGTACATACATTGTATTGGGTTTTATAAGTAATCCAGAGAAATAAACAGGAGGATGTCTGTAGGTTATACACAAATACTGCACCTTTTTACCAGCAACCTGAGCATCCACAGAGTTTGGTATCCAGAGGGAGTCCTGAAACCAATCCCCTGAGGATACCAAGGGATGACCATATAGCCCTCATATAAGTTAAACCATATTATATGTAATTCCTGTATTCTACTTACTTTACTCAACACCATGAGTACATGTAATTACAAATTCTTCTAAAAAATTACCTTCAATGGCTACATAACATTTCATTGCTTAAATTTACCATAATTTGGCCAGGCACGGTGGCTCACACCTGTAATCCCAGCACTTTGGGAGGCCAAGGTGGGTGGATCACCTGAGGTCAGGAGTTCAAGACCAGGCTGACCAACATGGTGAAACCCTGTCTCTACTAAAAAATACAAAAATTAGCTGGGCGTGGTGGCGGGCGCCTATACCCTCAGCTACTCGGGAGGCTGAAGCAGGAGAATTGCTAGAACCTAGGAGAAGGAGGTAGCAGTGAGCCGAGATGGCGCCATTGCACTCCAGCTGGGGCCAACAACAGCAAGACTCCATATCAAAAAAAATAAAGTAAAATAAAAAATTTACCATAATGTAACAATTTCTCTGTTGTTGGACACCTAGTTTGTTTCTTCTAATTTTTCACAAGGACAAATTATGCTGTAATGAACATCTTTTTGCTAAACTATACCAGAGTATTTTTGTTCACTGAACCTGTGTCTGATTTTGTCATTCCTTAACATAACAGCTTTAAAAAGGAGTTACAAAGTTAAAAGTTAGGAGCATTTCTAAAATATAGCCACATTTTTGCGACATGGTTCCTCATTCTGTTTGCCTCACAGCACCCCTCCCAGCCTCCTAGGCAGGCAGGCCACACTCCAGGACCATTGCTGCCACCTCTCTCTCACTGTCGGTCAGAATGACTGCATTTTAAAAACAGTAAACAACATGATTATTCTAATGCAATTAAACCCAATTCTTTCACTCGTTAGTGATTATTTTGTGAGGGAAAATCTATATGAGGGAAAATAAGACCTCAGTTTCCTCATCTGGAAAATGAGGGGAGTCACACTACATGACCTCTCAGACTGTTTTGCGTTCTAACATTTTATGATTCTTATCTTTTGCTGTGGAGACACCGAGTGTTTGGGATCACAGGACACTAACAGAATAACAAAATGTAACCTATTCACTTAAAGCTGTTCAGCTGTTATTTAATCTTGCTTCTCTGGAAGCAGATCATGAACAATAACTCGGCAAATTGGAAATACTTAAATACGAATGCCATACTGTTTTATAAAAAGAAAGATAACATTTACTTCTGGTATTTAAATACATAACCCAGTTTTTGATTCTCAATTCAGGCTCCATAAAACCAGATGCCACAGCTGGAAATTCTGATTCAAACTTGTAACTTCACAGAAAACCAGATGCTATATTAAAGATAAGGTTTCCTGGAGAAGTATAGCATTTTAAAAGGCAACTGAAAATCTGTATTAGATTTTCTCAGAAAAACAGAAAGCTCCAGGATACTCCTAAGCATTAAGAACCTGCACATTAATGGAAAGATGAAGCTGCCAATCTGCAGTTAATATGTCTAAACAGCATAGAACATACTCATTTGATGTACACACAAAGACCTCTATTAGGTGTAATATACCTAAAAGTATCTGCCAGATACCTCGAAAGCACTATAGGCAAAAGGGAAACAAATGACAGCACTTTTTTTTAATTTGGTGAAAATTACATTAGTATAAAATGTACCAAAACCACCCTAACATTGTTTTAGTAAAGAATTTGAGTGGAACCTTCTTATTACCTGAAAAACAGTAAAAATTACCTAAAACAATGTAATTGGGAAAACAGAGAAAAAGAATTTAGGGAAATGGGCAGTGTTACTAAGTTAGCAAGAAGCTAGGAGTCAATAAAAACTGTCCTTGTAAAAGAATATTTCTGTTCTTGAAAATTCATGGCATAAAAGACTACTCAAGGATAAAACTTTTCCTTTTATATCTTTTCAAATGAAACTGAAAAGGTTCACAGGTTTGGAGTCAAATTTTACATAAAAAGTTTTTCCCTGTATTCATTATCAGTGAAAAAAAAATATTGAGTTCTTACTGGATGCCTTGAGTTGAGGAAACTGTGTTGAAGAAAAAAAAATACACAGCTCTTTGCCCTGTTGTAGCTCTCAGCAGCAGTCCACACAACGGAGGGATGGGTATCCCTGGAAGTGGAGGCTGAATTGCTAAGGTGTGTGTGCAGCACATGTAATTTCAAGGGAACTGATGTCTAGGTCCCTAACCTTCATCTGTCTTCCTATGCAGATCTGCATGAGAATCTGCCATGACACACACTTCATCGGCTCTACTTTCCCACATGCCCGATGCAATCTCCTCCTACTTCAGAAAACACAGAGTTCTCACCAAACCCAACCCCACTATGCTGCGCTGTCCCGGATATAAAAACCTCAAACAAAACAACGCTCAGAAATCCTGGGGAAGCTGAGAACGTGAATGACTCTAATGACTGGACAACAGAGCCTCTCACAAGTCAAGGGCTCCCAATTTTTTTCCATCCAACAAAATTAATAGAGAATCTAACTGAGTTGTCGTCTGGCAGGTCACTAAAAAAAGTTAATGACAGTTTCGGCATGTAATTCAGAGGAAGTTCCAAGAACTGCGTGGGGTGGCAGTGCCCTAACAAAAGCTCCCTTCTTATCTCCTTGTTTATGTAAATGAGGGTTCTCAGCTCTTAACGTCACTAAGAAATGAAAGTTAAGAATGAAATTGATATTAAACCTTGTCAGATTCTTTAAAAAAGTAATATTCATCTACTTGCACACAACATCAGTAGAAAAAACTAAACCTATGCATCACCTTGAGAGGCTCTTCTGATAAAATAGTGTATTTTTATTGTTGTTGTTTAATCCACACACACTAGTAATAATTACAAAGGTAACTCAACACAGAACTCAACATACAACACTTAGAGACTTTCAGTCTTCACTGGAAATTTTTTTAAAAATTAAATTTCAATTTGCATATCTATTTCTGTCGCACAGAACTATGATAAAATGATCAATAAAAGATTTCTGGGTCACAGGAGCACCAAAATCTCAGAAATCACCACTAAAGAACTTATCCACGTAACCAAAACAACCTGTTCCCCAAAAATTACTGAAATAAAAATTTTAAAAATATTTCCAAGCATAAACCGGGATAGGATATTATGTGGGGAAAGTGAAATGGAAATGTGAGTTCAAGGAGGAAAAGGTTGTAAAATTGATGACTGTAAAGTTTTTTGAGAATGTTTTTTTCAACAAATGATGGTGGATATCAAATATGGTATTCAGATTCCATGAGATATATTTAAAAGAGTGATAAAAACTTCCACTTTAAAATGTCAAGTTTTATAGCACACTGAAAACTATATCCTTTGCAATTATTTAAACTTACGATAAAGAATTATAGATGTCAGATTAATAGATACATATGAGCGGTTACTCAGTTTTTTTCAAAATTCTTTTAGGGGATACATGAATAAAAATGTGTAAAGGTCACTGACTTACACATCTGGTAGGGAGAAAAACACTAAACACGTATTTACAAATAAAATTCTATGAAGCAAAAACATAAGCATACCATGAGAGCTGCCTGAAACAGAGGAACAGCGTTTGTAAAGGCTGTGAGGTGGAGGAGAACATAAAATGTTCAAGGAATCAAGCTGGATCATGCCATGCTTTCTAATCTAGAGTAGAGATTACTTATTTTTTTTTCTAAAGAGATACCTGGAAGGGAGTGTTTTAATCAGGAAAATGATCTATTCAGATTTACTTCTTATGTATTTATTATCTCTCAGAAAAAATCTGTTGCTTATCAGTAAAAACAGGGAATTCATTCATTCATTCATCCATCAAATCTTAACTGAATATCTGTTTTGTGCCAGACTTTATTAGGCACTCAGGATACAGGAGTACACAGACAATAAAGCTCTGATACCTCTCGAAACTTAGCAAGAAGTATTTACTTTCAGAGAAGGAAAAGTGAAGTTAAATGGGAGACTAAGAGAAAATATTTGCAAATTATACACATGACAAAGGACTTGTTGTTCAGAATGTATAAAGTACTCTCAAAGTCAAAACTAAGAAAACAAAAAACTAAATTAAAAATAGGCAAAAGACTTGAACAGACACTTCACTAAAGAAGGCAAGGGGGGCACATGAAAGATGTTTGGCTTCATTAGCTATTAGAGAAATGCTAATTAACAATGATGTATCACTACACACCTATTAAAATAGCTGAAATAAAAAATACTAAAAATACCAAGTGTTGGTGAGAATGTGAAATAACTAGAATTCTCATACATTGTTGGTGGGAGCACAAAATTGTACAGCCACTTTAGAAAATAAGTAGCTGTTTAAAAAAAAAATAGTAGCCTTATTGAGCCCTAATTCACATAGCAAACAATTCATCCATTTAAATTGTGCAATTCCATGGTTTTTAGTGTATTTGAAAGTTGTGCAATCATATTTCCACAATCTGTTTTAGAACATTTTCATCACCCCCAAAATCCCATACCCATTAGTGGTCACTCCCCATTTCCCCCAACACCCCCAGTGCTGGGCAACCGATTTACTTTCTGACTCTATGGATTTGCCTGTTCTGGACATTTCATATACAGCAGTTCCTTCACTTACCGTGGGGTTATGTCCCAATAAATCCATAATAAATTGAAAATATGGGAAGTCAAAAATGCATTTAATACACCTAACCTACCAAACATCATAGCTTAGCCTTGCCTACCTTAAGTGTGCTCAGTACACTTACAGATGTATTTACCTACAGTTGAACAAAATCATATCCAAAGAATGCTGGCAACACAGTACACTGCAAAGTATGGGTTGTTTACCCTCATAATTGCATGGCTGACTGAGAGCTGATGTCGAGCATCAAGAGGGAGTGTCATACCGCACATTGCTAGCCTGGGAAAAGATCAAAATCCAAAACTCGAAGTATGGGGATGGGTGTGGTGGCTCACGCCTGCAATCCCAGCACTCTGGGAGGCCGAGGCAGGCGGATCACTTGAGGCCAGGTGTTCGAGACCAGCCTGGCCAACACGGCGAAACTCCATCTCTGCTAAAAATAAAAAAAAAAAAAAAATCAGCCAGGCATGGTGGTGCACATCTGTAATCCCAGCTACTCAGGAGGCTGAGGCATGACAATCACTTGAACCTGGGAGGTGGAGGTTGCAGTGATCTGACATCAAGCACTGCACTCCAGCCTGGGTGACAGAGACTCTGTCTCAAAAAACAAAAACAAAAACGAAAAATCGAAGTATGGTTTCTACTGAATGCTTATCACTTTTGCAGCACTGTGAAAGTTGAAAAATCATGTCCTGAACCTTAGTAAGTCGGAGACCATGTGTAAATGGACTTATGCAATAAGTGGCCCTTTGTGCCTGTTTTTTAATTTAACTTAGCATATTTTCAAGGTTTATCCATATTGTAGCAGGTACCAGTACTTCATTTTTTATTGCCAAATAATATTCCATTGTATGGATATACATTTTATTTATCCATTCATCAGTTGATGAATACTCAGATTGTTTTCACTACTTGAGTATTATGAATGATGCCGCTATGAACATTTGTGTACAGGCAGTTTCTTATACCATTAAACATACACTCACCAGATAACTTAGGAATCCCCTAGGTATTTGCCCTAGAGAAATGAAAATGTATGCTCATGCAAAAATCTGTATACAAACATTTGTAGCAGTTCTATTCATAATTGTCAAAAACTAGATACAACACAAATGTCCTTCAACAGGTGATAGATAATTGTAGTAACTTCATGTAACGGATACTACTTAGTAATAAAGAAGGAACTATTGATACACACACATCTAGAATCAACCTTAAAGGCATTATGCCGACTAAAAGAAGTCAGTTTCAAAGGGTATATATGATCTCATTTATATGATGTTATTGAAAAGACAAAATTATAGCAATGGAGAACCGTTTGTGGGTTCACGGGAGTGG